>NC_000023.11:151142272-151445302 GCF_000001405.40 Homo sapiens
ACCAGTACCATGCTGTTTTGGTTACTGTAGCCTTGTAGTATAGTTTGAAGTCAGGTAGTGTGATGCCTCCAGCTTTGTTCTTTTGGCTTAGGATTGTCTTGGCTATGCGTGCTCTTTTTTGGTTCCATATGAACTTTAACATAGTTGTTTTCAATTCTGTGAAGAAAGTCATTGGTAGCTTGATGGGGATGGTCTTGAATCTATAAATTACTTTGGGCAGTATGGCCATTTTCACGATATTGATTCTTCCTATCCATGAGCATGGAATATTCTTCCATTTGCTTGTGTCCTCTTTTATTTCGTTGAGCAGTGGTTTGTAGTTCTCCTTGAGGTCCTTCACATTTCTTGTAAGTTGTATTCCTAGGTATTTTATTCTCTTTGTAGCAATTGTGAATGGGAGTTCACTCATGGTTTGGCTCTCTGTCTGTTAATGGTGTATTGGGAATGCTTGTGATTTTTGCACATTGATTTTGTATCCTGAGAATGCTGAGGTTGCTTATCAGCTTAAGGAGATTTTGGGCTGAGACGATGGGGTTTTCTGAATATAGTCATGTCACCTGCAAACAGGGACGATTTGACTTCCTCTTTTCCTAATTGAATACCCTTTATTTCCTTCTCTTGCCTGATTGCCCTGGCCAGAACTTCCAACACTACGTCAAATAGGAGTGGTGAGAAAGGGCATCCTTGTCTTATGCCAGTTTTCAAAGGGAATGCTTCCAGTTTTTGCCCATTCAGTATGATATTGGATATGGGTTTGTCATAAATAGCTCTTATTATTTTGAGATATGTTCCATCAATACCGAGTGTATTGAGAGTTTTTAGCATGAAGGGCTGTTGAATTTTGTCAGAGGGCTTTTCTGCATTTATTGAGATAATCATGTGGTTTTTGTCGTTGGTTCTGTTTATGGGATGGATTACGTTTATTGATTTGTGTATGTTGAACCAGCCTTGCATCCCAGGGATGAAGCCCACTTGATCTGGGTGGATAAGCTTTCTGATGTGCTGCTGGATTCAGTTTGCCAGTATTTTAATGAGGATTTTCGCATTGATGTTCATCAGGGATATTGGTCTAAAATTCTCTTTTTTTGTTGTGTCTCTCCCAGGCTTTGGTATCAGGATGATGCTGGCCTCATAAAATGAGTTAGGGGGAATTCCCTCTTTTTCTATTGATTGGAATAGTTTCAGAAGAAATGGTACCAGCTCCTCTTTGTACCTCTGGTAGAATTTGGCTGTGAATCTGTCTGGTCCTGGACTTTTTTTGTTTGGTAGGCTATTAATTATTGCCTCAATTTCAGAGCCTGTTATTGGCAAGAGATACTTTTTATTGCTTTCACATTAGAATCCTGATTAATGCAGAATATTGCACCACAAGTAGTTTGCTCCAAGTAATAGATCTAAAAATGTAAAGTCAGCTGAGTGGAGGAGGTAAGAGGAAGGGCATTGAGGACCACATAATTGTAGGCATGGAAGATGGTGATTATTGCAAGACATTTACACAAGGGTGTATAATTAGGGAAAATAAGAAGGAAAATTCTGGATATCAGTGTGTATTGGCTATTTCCTGCAGTTCTGTGATGTCTTACAATAGACAGCTAATACTGAAGATATTCCACCTAAAAATGGAGAGAAAGGCAGAAAACTTAGCAGGAGGTAAGACTGAGGAAAAAGAAAAGCCTTTTCTCACCGTCTTCTTCCAAATGCTTCCAGGTGAATGGACAGTGTTATGGGTAATGACTTCCCATGAAATGCCAAAATAAAAGGTGAAGACTGATAAATAAAGGATAAAGACGATAGGTATCACAATAAAAAAAAAACCCTCATCCAACTAGGCATTGAAGGAACATACCTCAATATAATAAGTGCCGCCTATGACAAACTCACAGCCAACATCATACTGAATGGGCAAAAGCTGGAAGAATTCTCCCTAAGAACCAGAAAAAGATAAGTATGACTGCTGTCACCACTACTATTTAACATAGTACTGGAAGTCCTAGCTAGAACAACCAGGCAAGAGAAAGAAATAAAAGACATCCAAATAGGAAATGAGGACGTCAAATTATCTCTGTTGACAATATGATTCTATACCCAGAAAACTCCACCAAAAGACTCTTAGACCTGATAAACGACTTCAGTAAAGTTTCAGGATACAAAATCAATGTGCAAAAATCAGAAGCATTCCTATACACCAACAACATCCAAGCTGAGAGCCAAATCAAGAATGCAGCCCCATTTACAATATCCACACAAAAAAATAAAATACCTGGGAATACATCTAACTAAGGAGGTGAAAGATCTCTACAAGGAAGACTACAAAACACTGCTGAAAGAAATCAGAGATGACACAAACAAATGGAAAAACATTCCATGCTCATAGATTCGAAGAATCAATATCATTAAAATGGCCACACTGCTCAAAGTATTTACAGATTCAACATTATTCCTATCAAACAATCAACATCATTTTTCACAGAAGTAGAAAAAACTTTTCTAAAATTCGTGGAACCAAAGAAGAGCCCAAATAGCTAAAACAATCCTAAGCAAAAAGAACAAAGCCAGAGGCATCACGTTACCTGACATCAAACTATACTACAAGACTACAGCAACCAAAACAGCATGGTACTGGTACAAAAACAGACACATAGACTAATGGAACAAAATAGAGAACCCAGAAATAAAACACACACATACAGCCATCTGATCTTCAATGACAAAAATAAGTAATGTGGAAAGGACTCTCTATTCAATAAATGGTGGTGGGAAAACTGGCTAACCATATGCAGAAGAATGATACTGGACCACAATCTATCCCTATATACAAAAATTAACTCAAGATGAACTAAAGACTTAAATGTACAACCTCAAACTATAAAAATTCCAGAACACCTAGGAAATACCCTTTGGTATTGGTCATTGGTCGAGGCAAATAATTTATGACTAAGTCCTCAAAAGCAAATGCAACAAAAACAAAAATAGACAATTAGGAATGAATTAAACTAAAGAGCTTCTGCACAGCAAAAGAAACTATCAAGGGAGTAAACAGACCACCTATGGAATGGGAGAAAATATGTACAAACTACGCATCTGACAAAAGACTAATATCCAGAGTCAATAAGGAACTTAAACAAATTAATAAAAATATACAACCTCATTAAAAAGTGGGCAAAGGAAATGAATAAACACCTCTCAAAAGAAGACATACAAGCATGCAACAAACTTGAAAAAAATGCTCAACCTCACTAATCAGAGACATGGAAATCAAAACCACAGTGAGATGCCATCTCATACCAGTCGGAATAGCTACTATTAAAAAATAAAAAAAAAAACAGATATTGGCAGGGTTGCAGAGAAAAGGGAACATTTATACACTGTTGGTGGAAATGCAAATTAGTTCAGCCACTCTGGAAAGCAGTTTGAAGACTTCTCAAAGAATTAAAAATAGAATTACCATTTGACTCAGCAATCCCACTACTGGGTATATACCCAAAGGAAAATAAATTGTTCTACCAAAAGGACACCTGTACTCACATGTGTATCACAGCACTATTCACAATAGCAAATACATGAAATCAACCTAGGTGCTTATCCACGATGGATTGGATAAAGAAAATGTGGTACATATACAGCATATAACACTATACAGCCATAAAAAGGAACAAAATCATATCCTTTGCAAGAACATGGATGCAGCTGGATGGCATTTTCCTACGGGAATTAATACAGAAACAGAAAACCATATAGCATGTGTTCTCACTTATAAGTGAGAGCTAAAAATTGAGTACACATGGACATAAAGAGGGGGCAATAGACACTGGGGACTCCAAAAGGGGAGAGGGAGAGAGCGGGGCAAGGGTTGTAAAAGTACCTATTGGGTGCTATGTTCACTATTTGGGTGACGGGTTCAATGGAAGCCCAAAGCTCAGCCTCAAGCAATATACTCACGTAACAAATCTGCACATGTACCCTCTGAATTTAAAATAATAAAAAGAGAATAGGTAGGCTGTAAGCCTCATAACTAGGAGACTAGAGTTCCCATCCTCAAAACCTTGTCTAGATAGTCTCTGGGTCTGCTATTAACCCATACAATTGGTCAGAAGCAAACAGATCAAATGACTCCAAATCATTTACTAATGATTCACATTTTAAACTTTTGTATAAAACTAAAACAGATATAGAAAACTATAGAAATTATAATGAAATGAACACACTTGTATAACCACCATCCAGGTCATGAGCTAGAACATGGACAACACTCCGGAATTCACCTCCCCAATATTACTTCTCTTTCCTTTCCAGTTGTAAACACTGTCTAGAATTCTAACATTACAGATTAATTTTCCTGTCTTTGAAGCTTTTATAAATGATATCCTACAGTATATATTTCTTTGGGTCTTACATCCTTTCTTCAACATTGCATTTGTGAGGTTGATCTATGGTATTATATGTATTTGTAGTTTGTTTCTTTTCATTACTGCGTAGTATTCTGTTGTGATATTACCACAATTTATATATACATTCTATGGTTGATGGGCATTTGGGTTGTTTCCAATTATTGACTATTACAGATAATACTATGAACACTCTTGTGTATATGATAAACACATTTCTATTGGGTATATATTTAGAAGTTGAATTACTCAGTCTGGATTATACATACATTGACTTTAGAGATACAAATTGTTACAAATTGTTTTCCACTCAGCATATGTCCTTGAAATCCATCCAAATTGTTGTATCAGTAGCTCATTCCCTTGTTTAAAGTAGTATTCCATGTGCTTTTCAGCGGTGGTATGGACATACAACAATTTGTTTAACCATTCACCTGGCCATGTAGTTCTCCTGGACAAAAACACACCACCCCACAGATTGGGACACCTAAAATTCATGTTTATCATCAGAATTTCTTCTTTTGTGAACTTTGTTTTCATATTCATTACCCATTTTCTGCTGAGTAATTTGTCTTTTTATGTTTGATTTGTACAAGATACACATTCTGGACATAAAAAGTTTAAATATCATATACATCATAAATATCATGACTTGGGTTTTTTGCATCTTCACCAGGAATTCTGCTCTACCCTACAATCCTGAAGATATTCTAGATTTTCTTCTCTTGGTTTTAAAGTTATTCTTTACAAATGTAGGTCTTTAATAGATTTGAGATTGTTAAAAACATGTTTGTAGTATAACTCATATAAAGTAAAGTGCACCTACTGTAGGTGCACATTTCTATGAGTTTTGACAAATGTATACACCTGTGGAATTACCATCAAATCATACAATATTTTCATCATACCCGAAGTTTCCTCACGTCCCTTCCCAGTAAATTCCCACGTTTATCACCCAGAAAAAACCACCACTCTGATTTTTTCCCGACATATATTAGTTTCATCCTTTTCTAAAATTTCAAATAATTGTAGTCAGACAATAGGTAATTTTTGTGTAAGGCTTTTCTTCCCCCACTCAGCATAAGATTTCGGGGATTCATTCGTGTTGTTATACGTATCTATAGTTTATTCCTACATATGGCTGACTAGGATTCCATTCATTTTTCTCTATTCTTCCGTTGGTGACATTGGGTTGTTTCTAGTTTTTGGCTCTTATGGCTAAACTGCTATGAACATTGATGCAGGGGTCTTTGTGTGGACATATGTTTCCATGTCTGAAGTAAGTAGCTAAAAGTGGAAATGCTCAGTAGCATGGCAGGTGTATGTTTAGCTTTTGATGTGTTTGCATGGTTTTGTTTTCCCAACAGCAATGCATGAAAGTTGCAAGTTGCTCTAAATTCTTGCCAATACTTGATATTATCAACCTAAAAAAATTAGCTTTTTTAGTGGGTGGGTAATGGCATCTTGAGGCTTTAATTTTAATTTATTTTATGACTATGTTGGCCAGCTTTTCATGCGTGAATTGGACATTTGCATGTATATTTTGGTGAGTGACTGTTCAAATATTTTCCTCATTTAAAAAACGCTGTTGTTTATCTTATTTTTATTGAGTTACAAGGATTCTTTATATATTCTAGTTCTTTGTTAGATATGTGTATTACAAATGTTTAGCCCCATTCTGTGGCTTGCTTCCCCCTGCTCAATGGAATCTTTCAAAAAGCAGAAGTTTTAAAATATTAACAAAGTACAGTGCACTTTTATTTGGATGATTTGTGTTTTTTGTCTTGTATATAAAAATAATCTATGCCAACCCAATCATCACAATGATCTTCTATATTTTATTCTAGAAGTTTTATAGTTTTAGCTTTCACATTTATGTTGAAGATCCAAATTGAGTTAACTTTGCTGTACAAATAAAGTGTTTCTCTCCTCTGGATTTAAATAGATATATTTTTCTCTTTACCATTGGTTTTCATCAAATTGATTTCTTTTTTTTTTATAAGTTTATGCAGTAAATGTGAAACTTTGTTACATGTATATAATGTGTAGTGATCAAGTCAGGGTACTTAGGATGTAATTTAGGGTGCGACATTTTCATGAAGTATTGTCACTGTATTAGTCTGTCCTCATGCCGCTGTGAAGAAATACCCAACACTGGGTAATTTATAAAGGAAACAGGTTTAATTGACTCACAGTTCAGCATGGCCGGGGAGGCCTCCGGAAAGTTACAATCATGACAGAAGGCAAAGGAAAAGCAGGCGCCTTCTTCACAGGGCAGCAGGATGGAGTGAGTGCAAGCAGGGGTAAGGCCAGACTCTTATAAAACCATCAGATCTCGTGAGACTCACTCACTATCACGAGAACAGCATGGGGGAAACCTCCTCCATGATCTGATTACCTCCACCTGGTCCCTCCTTGACATGTGTGGATTAAAATTCAAGATGAGATTTTGGGTGGGGACACAGCCACCTACTTTTCTTCAGCCTCCCTTCTCCCCCGACTCACCCTTACCAGTCTCTGTTATCCCTCTTTCCACTCTCCACCTCCATATGATCAAAGTTAGCTCCCAGATGTGATATTTGTCTTATTGTCCCTGGGTTATTTCACTTAAGATAATGACCTCCAGTTCCATCCATGATGCTACAAATGAGAAGATTTCATTCTTTTTATAGCCAAATAGTATTCTATTGTGTATATGTACCACATTTTCTTTATCCATTTATTCATTAGTGGACATTTAGGTTGATTCCATGTCTTTGCTCTTGTGAATAGTGCTGCAATCCCTTTGATATATTAATTTCTTTTCCTTTGGGTAAATACCCAGTAGTGGGATTGCTGGATCAAAATAGTAATTCTATTTTTCATTTTTCGAGAAGCCTTCATAATGTTTTCCATAGTGGCTGTTTTAGTTTACATTCCCAGCAACAATGTATACAAGTTCCCCTTTTTCCACATTCTCTCCGATGTCTGTTATTTTTTGTCTTTTTAATAGTAGCTATTAAGAATGGGGTAAGATGACATCTCATGACGGTTTTGATTCGCATTTCTTCTGATGATTAGTGATGTTGAGCATTTTTCATATATCTGTTGTCCATTTGTATATCTTCTTCTGAGAAATATCTATTCATGTCCTTTGACCACTTTTTAATGGATTACTTGTTTGTTTGTTTGTTTGTTTCCTGTTGATTTGAGTTCCTTGTACTTTCTGGACATTATTATTCCCATATCAGGTGCATATTTTGAAAATATTTTATCCCATTCAACAGGTTGTCTCTACTTTCATTTGCTGTTCAGAACTTTTTTAGTTTAAGCCCCATTTGTTTATTTTTGTTTTTGTTACCTGTGTTTTTGAGGTCTTACCCCAAAATCTTTGCCCAGACCAATGTCCTGAAGTATTTCTCCAATGTTTTCTTCTGGTAGTTTCATAGTTTCAGGCTTTACATTTAAGTATTTAATCTATTTTGATTTTTTTATGTGGTGAGATATAGGGGTCTAGTTTCATTTTTCTGCATACAGATAGCCAGTTTTCTCAGCACCATTCATTGAAGAGACATCATTTTCCTATTGAATGTTCTTGGCATCTTTGTTGAAAATCAGTTGGATGTAAGTACATGAATTTATTTCTGGGTTCTGTTCTATTGGTCTATGTGTCTGTTTTTATGCCAGTACTATGCAGTTTTTGTTACTATAGCTTTGTAGTGTATTTTGAAGTCATAGTGTGATGTCTCCAGCTTTATTCCTTTTCAACAATTTAATTTTTATGTGCCTTGTGGTTTTCTACATGTTTAGTCTTCTTGGAGTTTGTTGAGCTTTTGATCTGTGGGTTTATAGCTTACAGTAAATTTTGAAAAATTTTGGCCATTATTTCTTTGAATATTTTTTCTGCACCCCCTTCTGAGTCCCCTAGATCACTGAGATTCTGTTTATTATTTTCAATCTTCATTTCATATAGATTTAATTGTTATGTTTTGAAGTTTACTAACCTTTTCTTCTGTAAAGTCTAATTAGTGTTACTCCTATCCAGTGCAATTTTCATTTCAGGTACTATATTTTTCTGCACTGGAAGTTCCATTTGGCTCACATTTTATTGCTTCTTAGTGTATCTGACAATTTTTTGATTGGATTCTGGACACTGTCAATGTTACATCATTGAGTGGATTTTATCTTCTTCAAAGACTGTGGGACTTTGTTTTGACAGAGAAGCAAGTTGTCTGTCACTCTGTTTTGTCTCTTTAAGTTTTGTTTTTAAGCTTTGCTGGAGGAGGTCCAGAGTAGCCTTTTCTCTGGGGATACCTCAGATTTATTACTAATGTATGATCCCTCTGGGGTCTCCATTGAATGACATAGATAACTACTGAGGATTCTTTACTCCTCTGGGCCAGAGTTTGAATGTCTGCTAGTCTTGTGTGAGTTCTGAGCATAGTTCTTTTAAAACTTCCCAGTTGTTCTTTGCTCACTCTAGTACTCAGTAAAGACCTAAGGAGAGCCCATGTCAGATTTCTGGAGTTCTTTCTCCATGCAGTTGCCTCATCTCTGGTACTCTGTCCCGCACATTTTAGCTACTTCAGCCTCCTTGAACTTTAATCTCCAATTCTTCAACTCAGGGAAACTTCTTTGCTCTGCTTGAGTCACTCCTCCATGCTCCAAGGTTTGGGCTTACCTCATTTCTTTCTTTATCTGTGATGCCATGCGTGTTGCCTCTTGTCTAGTGCCTAAAATTAGTTCTTTCGTATGTTGTATCCAACTTCCAGTTGCTTATGGTGGAAGAGTAATTCCAGATTCTGTTACTTCTTCAAGGCCAGAGATTTACTTTTATGTTTTCCAAGCTTTTTGAAATAAGTATAAATCAATTTTCTAAAAAAATATTAAAAATTACATTGTAAAGAAAAATGACATGCACACGTGTGCAAGACACCTACACCATGAAGAATATTCCAGAGCATAGGTTTGGCCCATGGGTGCTGTCTGTGCTCCTTCAGGCTTCAGACTCAGACCTATGCTTATAATTCCTGGAAATCCACAAATTCACCTCATGACTAATTGCTTTTCATTACTTGAAAGTATCTATGTGTTGGAGGAAAAATTTGGCTACAATCAAGGAAAGGTAGCAAGTTGAGTCTCATCTGGTTACTGAGATTGTGTACTTCTTATTCTTTCCAAATTCTTCAGTGGTGCCAAGGTCTCTTACGGACACTAGAGGGCGCTCTTTCACTGAGAATGACATACTCTCCCTTACCGATTGCCTCAGTTTGCACCAGCTCTAAGATGGAATCTTGCTGGATCTTAGTTCTTTAGTTGCAGCCCGGGCTTGCCCTGCCACAGGGCCCCAGGTGGCCTGTTCCCCCATCTCTGCAGTACCAGACCTATCCATTTCAAAGGCCAAATTTCTTTCCGCTCCTATCCCCACTCTCAGAATGATTCAGCCTGGCTTCCCGGGATACCTCCTAGCACCAGGGCTAACCTATTTTATTTCCTCTTCGCCAGTGGTCGCTGAGGAAGGAGGTCTGGGTCACTGGGTATTCCTCTTCAGGCTGAAAGTTTCTCTAAGGTCCATTATACAGATTTAAAATCAGAGAAATGGATTCCCCAACAATTCCATGTGCTTCAAAGCTTCTCTGGGGGTGCACCCAGGAACTGTGAGAAGTGACCCACTGGATCATCCTGGGACAAGTCTCTACCTGTATCCGGATCTTGGCCTCTTCATTTGTATATTGAGGCAGGTAGGTATGACAATGTCTAGCAAGAGCACAGGGAGAGCAGGGGTAGTGATGGGGGCTGGAATTTTTTTTTTTTTTTTTTTTTTTTGAGACAGGGTCTCACTCTGTCACCTAGGCTGGAGTGCAGTGGTGCTGTCACTGTGTTCTCAACTTCCCAGGCTCAAGTGATCCTCCTACTTCAGCTTCCCAAGTAGCTGGGACTACAGGCGTGCGCCACCATGCCCAGCTATTTTTTTTTTTTTAATCTTTTGTAGAGACAGTGTCTTACTATGTTACCCAGGCTGGTCTCAAACTCCTGCACTCAAGTGATCCTCCCACATTGGCCTCCCCAAGTGTTAGGATTACAGGCATGAGCCACCTCACCTGGCCTTGGAATTTTTCGTATGCAAGGAGTTAGCCTAATTAGACCTCTCCTGTCTGGAAAGAGGATAAGGAGAAAAATTTGAATCCATAAATTCAGCATGAGCATGGAGACGGTAACCAGGGTCTTGGGCACCTAATTACTGGCATATATTAGTGACTCAAGAAACATTTATGGAAACATGAAAAAAAAATAAAGGAGTGGATAGATGTCAGAATAAGAAAACTAAGGGATATCCATTAAGGCTTGGAAGCAATGCTTTACATTAGAATAAAGGCCCTAAGGAGTGAAGTGATTTGCCCGGAATCACAGGGCTAGTTAAAGGCAGAGCCAGTACTTGAATTCCAGAGTTCTGATTTCTGGTCTAGAGTTCTCCCGACTCCAATATGCAGCAGAAAGCCCTTGAATATACGCTGGGAGGTTGGTAGAAGTTAGGCATCATTGGTCACCTCATGGTGAATCACTGCTAGTGCTGGCTGGAAACCAGTACTTTTCCGGGGCTCCAGCATCCCCAGCCATCCATCCTAACTGCCTGCGGCGGAATTCCTCTTTGCATTGCTTGCGCCGTTCTACACGCTGGGGGTGCTGTTGTTTAACTAGTGGACTCATTTGCTCAGTTATTTTCCATTTGCATCATTGGGGGTGCCCTGATGTAGATTGGGGGCTGTTCAAACGTTTTCAGGTGTGACTAAACTTGGCTGCTAACCCCTCCTGGGCTTCTGCCCAAAATAACAGGCCACTGGTCCCTCAGGTACCTTCTCAGATCACTTAAAGATGAACTTTTAAGCATTTGGGAATTGTGAACTCTGTTGAGAATCAGAAAACTGCAGATGCACGAAATGTGGCATTCAGGGGGTCTGCTGCTGCTGAACAGATCGTGGCCATGGATTAAAAACCTCTGCTTTTCTCGGACACGTTTTTAATCCTGAGAAAATGTGAACATAGAAACCATGTTAGGAATAATTGGCACACAGAATGACTGCATTTGGAGGAGCAACAACATTTCTACTGGAGAACAGGGCGGGACTACAATGGGTGGGGGGTGGGAGGATAGAGGATTTCAAATGCTTCAAAGGAAGTCTTTTCCCAGTGGTCCGTTCCATCTTTTGCGGAGAGTGCCAGAGGCACACATCTCAGAGAGTCGTGACTGTGTCATTATGTTCTCGTCAGCACAGATGATTCAGTCAATGTATAAGCAAGCACAGTTGCATTTTATACGACTTTCAAATCAGTTCATTTCCAAGTCAGAAAAATCTTCCAGCAAGTCTGATCACCACACACACAGGGCAGCAACCAGTTCTAGGGGCTTCACCTGTTAAGATGATTTGGCTTGTTTGCAAGTCATTTTCAGAGAACAAGAGAGACAATCTTCCCACTACTCTATAATTAGAGTGCTGGGGGCAGGCTGGGGGGAAGACAGCATGAACATGGAGCTCTCATTCTTATTCAGGAGCGTCTCTAATTCACACGGCCCTGGGGACTGCTTCAGATGTAATATTCTCTCCACAAAGGATGGAAATCTTTTCTCTTAAAACGTCTCATCGCTGCAACTTTGCTGTAAGGCTTCATCGGATAAGTGTATAAAAAATCCAAAACTCACCTGTTTTCTTATTTCATCCAACTCTTTTGTGTTTATATAATTAAGCACACCCTGCTTGATTGGTGTGTGTGTGGGATGTGTGTGTTTGTGTGTGTAAATCTTAAAGGACTCAGAAGTTGGAGTGTTCGTGCGCTTATCACAGCTCCACGGACTCTATGTAATCATTTAGCTTCTTGAGGCTTTTGCTGCCCTGTGATTTTCAGAAGTGCAGTGTCTTCATCACTCTTTGAACCCCCACAATGCCTGAGGCAGGGAGGCAAACTACTGGACTTTTGGTAAATGACAATTTCATTCTGCAACAATTGGGTGGGAATATTCCAGCTTCCAGAGGGTTCCCACTTTCCTGGTCTGTTAAATGGAACCAAGCCTACCTGCGTATCTTGTTGTGGGAGCTTCAGACTCTGCAGCAGTTAAAGCCTTCATTTTTGGTCTTTACTTAACCACCCATAAGCTTCTTGTTCTGTTCCCTGCTCTTCTCCCAGTCCTTGCCTTGCATCATTATTCTCTCTATACCTCAGACCTCTGCCCAACCTAAAGAGAAGCCTGTCTGGGGCCTTGCTTTGTTTTTCCCTGTGTTTCTAACCCCCAGAATAGGGCCCGGAGCACGCAAGAGACTTGGGGCTGAATGAACGTAATTGACTTGCTTGGATTCCCTGCACAGGTGACTGGGATCAGATCATTTTCCTTCTCAGAGACCTAGTTGTCTCACTTGTACAAGAAGGGACTAACCTGGATGACTTCTGAAATCTTTTATTTTTGAGAAGAGGATTTCATAATTCTATGAATATTTTGTATTTTTCTATATTTATTCACTTATCACTTTCTTCTTTCCATTCTTTCTAGCACAGAGGAAGGGGAACAGCGAGAAACAACCCCCAAACAAGTGAACCCAAACACTAGTTCCTCTCTACCTTCCTAAAAATCATATTTTCTCTGTTGTACAATGGTTGTTTTTTTCCTATCTTATCAAGAGTCATCCGTTCAGGTGATTTCAAGATGACTAATGGCCAAGTTGGTTGTTCATGCTGTACGCTCCTGCTGCTGGAACTGAGCACTTGAATGCTAATAATACTCTCCACGTCACCAATCTCATTTTTTTCTGACGTACTGACTGACCCCTGGCAAGCCACCCTGAGTCCATATGACTCCACTGCAAATTATCCAAGGGTTCAGACACTGGGGTTTGTCTGAAAATAGAGTGGGCTCCATTAGCTTAATACCAAGTATGACAGGTTCTGAATCAGCTTTTCTTGTCTAAAGGGAGTGCAGGTAATTTCCACCCCAACATATACTGAGCCAGGAAAGTCTACTAGCAGGGCCCTCTGAGCTTACATGTCTCCAGTACCAGATGTGGCCAAATGCTCTTATTTATTTACTTATTGTTTTTGAGATGGAGTCTTGCTCTGTCACCCAGGCTGGAGTGCAGTGGCGTGATTTCGGTTCACTGCAACCTCTGCCCCTCAGGCTCAAGCGATTCTCCTGCCTCCCAAGTAGCCGAGATTATGGGTGCCCCCCACCCCCTCACCACGCCTGGCTAATTTTTGTATTTTTAGTAGAGACAGGATTTCACCATGTTGGCCAGGTTGGTCTCGAACTCCTGACCTCAAGTGATCCACCGCCTCATCCTCCCAAAGTGCTAGGAGTACAGTGCCCAGCCCAGATGCTCTTACAATGGCCTTTGAACAACCACTATATAGCTGTGAAAAGCCATCCTGAAAGAGGAAACTCTAAGATAGTTGTCACTTTGCCATTCGTAAACAACCATGAAATATATTTATGAACAAATAATGCAAGTATTTATCAAAAGAAAGGAAGAACAGACACTGCTTACTAGACCACAATATATGCAACAATGTTGACAGCATTACTGATTACAATTTGAAAGTATTTTATAGGAACCTGGTGTTCGTGTGGGTGTGAGGCAACAGAAAAAGGGAAAACTGGCACAACCAACTCAATCCCCATGAATTTATCCTCTAGACACTCACACACAAGGGGGCACACACAAAGATGTTAACTGAAGTGATAACTACCAGTGAAAAGCTGGAAGCAGTGTCTATGTCCGTGTAGATATAAATGATGATCCATTCATAGTTGGGAATACCACAAGCCTGTTAACGAAACCAAGGTATCTAGCATTTTCTCTGTACCAGGCACTGTTCCAAGTGTTTTGTGTACATTAATTTATTTAATCCTTGTAGAAAGTTGTGAGATTGGTACTCACTTCCCAGATGAGCCAGCTGGGAGGAGAGAGGTTAAGCAATTGCCTAGAATCATGCAGCTGGTAAGTGGTAGAACCAGGATTTGAACCCATACAGTACGACTTCAGAGACTGTCCCCTAAGGTGCTGCTGAGGAGCACTACCCGGGACAGCCTTCTCCCAGATGGCCAAAGGAAGACGGCAGAGGCTTTTTGGTAGGCGAAAGAAGCAAGTTACTTATCAGTGTGCAAAATAAGGTATCAGCTGGTTAAGAAAAAGGGTCTGTATCATCCCCACGCATGGGCAGCCTCTGGAGGGACCCCAAATGGGATGCTAAACACTGTCCCTTCTGGGGAGGGGCAGTACGACAAGAGGATAGGGAGGTAGAAGGTTTTTATGTTTCACCTTACACTCTCTTGACTGTTGAAATTGTTCCCAAGAGATTTTTTAAAATTACGTTGTTGGCTGCGGTGGCTCATGCTCGTAATCCTAGCACTTTGGGAGGCCGAGGTGGGCAGATCACCTCAGGTAAGGAGTTCAAGACCAGACTGGCCAACATGGTGAAACCCTGTCTCTACTAAAAATACAAAAATTACACGAACGTGGTGGTGCGGGCCTGTAATCTCAGCTACTCAGGAGGCTGAGGCAGGAGAATCACTTGAACCTGGGAGGCAGAGGTTGCAATGATCCGAGATCAAGCCAATGCACTCTAGCCTGGGCAACAAGAGCAAGACTCCATCTCAAAATAAATAGATAAATAAAAATAAAAAATTATGTTGAACATTAAAAATTCTTGGCCACGTATGGTGACTCATGCCTGTAATCCCAGCACTTTGGGAGGCTGAGGCAGGAGGATTACTTGAGCACAGGAATTCGGCCTGGGCAACATAGCAAGACCTTGTCTCTTAAAAAAAAATCTTGTTGGAAGAAAAAAGTCTTAACACAGCTTCTGAATTCAGAAATAGAGGTAAATTTAATTGGAGAAGCAGTGTGGGGCAGGAGAAAGAACAGAAAGAGCTTGGAGCTCTACCACTGTATTAGTTAACTGTGGCCAGAAGTCTGAATTTAAGGTGTCAGCAGGGTCACGCTTTTTCTGAAGACTGTAGGGAAGAATCCTTGCCTCTCCCTAGCTACTGGTGGTGGCTATCAGTCCTTGTTATTCCTTGCCTTGCAGCTGCATCACTGCAATCTCTGTGCTTCCATCTTCATGTGGAGTTCTCCCCTCTGTGTCTCTGTGTCACTGCGTCTTCACGTGGTATTTTTTCATAAGGACACTAGGCATTGAATTTAGGGCCCAGTCTAATCTGGTATGACTTCACCTTCACATAAATAATAACATCTGCCAAGACCTTATTTCCAGGTAGACATGAAGTTTTAGGAGGACGCTCTTTATGTTGGTCAGATTGTGCTGCCATAACAAAATACCATAGAGTGAGTGGCTTAGACAACAGAAATTTATTTTCTTACAGTTTTGGAGGTTGGAGGTCAGATAGTCTAAGATTAGGGTGCCAGCAGGGTCGGTGTCTGGTGAGGACTCTCTTTCTGACTTGTAGACAGCTGATTTTTTGCTGTTTCCTCACATGATCTTTCCTCTGCACATGCAGATTCCTTCTCTCTTTCTGTCTCTCTCTCTCTCTCTCTCTCTCTCTCTCTCTCTCTCTCTCTCTCTCATCTCTTCCTTTTCTTATCAGAATACCAATACTATTGGATTAGGGCTCCACCCTTAAGACCGCATTTCATCTTTTAAATTTTTTTTTTAACTTTTATTTTAAGTTCGGGGGATATGTGCAGGATGTGCAGGTTTGTTACATAGGTAGACGTGTGCCATGGGGGCTTGTTGTACAGATTATTTCCTCACCCAGGTATTAAGCCTAGTACCCATTATTATTTTTCCTGAGTTTCTCCCTCCTCCCTCCCTCCACCCTCCAGTAGGCCCCAGTGTGCATTGTTCCCTCTATGTGTCCATGTGTTTTCATCATTTAGCTTGCACTTACAAGTGAGAAAATGAGGTATTTCATTTTCTGTTCCTGTGTAAGTTTGCTAAGGATAATGACTCCAGCTCCATCCGTGTCCCTGCAAAGGATATAATCTCCTCCTTTTTTATGACTGCATAGTATTCCATGGTATATATGTACCACATTTTCTTTATCTAGTCTATCATTGATGGGCATTTAGGTTGATTCCATGTCTTTGCTATTGGGAATAGTGCTGCAATGAACATAGGCATGCATATGTCTTTATAATAAAATGATTTATATTCCTCTGCATATATACCCAGTAATGGGATTGCTGGGTTGAATGATATTTTTGTCTGTAGGTCTTTGAGGAATTGCTGCACTGTCTTCCACAATGGTTGAACTAATTTACACTCCCACCAACAGTGTAAAAGTGTTCCTTTTTCCCCACAACCGTGCCAGCATCCGTGATTTTTTGACTTTTTAGTAATCGCCATTCTTACTAGTGTGAGATGGTATCTCATTGTGCTTTGGATTTGCATTTCCCTAATGATCAGTGATGTTGAGCTTTTTTGCATATGCTTGTTGGCTGCATGTATGTTTTCTTTTGAGAAGTGTCTGTTCATGGCCTTTGCCCACTTTTTAATGGGGTTTTGTGTTTTTTTCTTGTAAATTTGTTTAAGTTCCTTATAGATGCTGGATATTAGACCTTTGTCAGATGCATAGTTTACACAAATTTTCTTCCATCTTGTAGGTTGTTTGTTTATTCTGTTGATAGTTTCTTTTGCTATACAGAAGCTCTTTAGTTTAATTAGATCTCGTTTGTTAATTTTTGCTTTGTTGCACTTGCTTTTGGTATTTGCATCATGAAATCTTTGGCCATGTCATGAATAGCATCGCCTAGGTTTCTTCTAGGGTTTTCATAGTTTTGGGTTTTACATTTAAGTCATCTTGAGTTGATTTTTGCATATGGTGTAAGGAAGGAGTCCAGTTTCAATTTTCTGCATATGGCTAGCCAGTTATCCCAGCACCATTTATTAAATATATGGAATCCAATCTTTTCCCCATTGCTTGTTTTTGTCAAGTTTGTCAAAGATCAGATGGTTGTAGATGTGCGGTCTTATTTCTGGGTTCTCCATTCTGTTCCATTGGTCTATATGCCTGTTCTTGTACCAGTACCATGCTGTTTTGGTTACTGTAGCCCTGAGTATGGTTTGAAATCAGATAGCATGATGCCTCCAGCTTTGTTCTTTTTGCTTAGAATTGCCTTGGCTATTCAGGCCCTTTTTTGGTTCCATATGAATTTTAAAATAGTTTCTTATAATTCTGTGAAGAATGTCTATGGTAGTTTAATGGGAATAGCATTGAATGTATAAATTACTTTGGGCAGTATGGGCATTTTTCCATTTGTTTATGCCATCTCTGATTTCTTTTGCACAGTGATTTATAATTCTCCTTGTAGAGGTCCTTCACTTCCCTTGTTAGCTGTATTCCTAGGTATTTTATTCTTTTTGTGGCAATTGTGAATGGGAGTTCATTCATGATTTGTCTCTCTGCTTGTCTATTGTTGGTGTGTAGGAATGCTTTTGATTTTTGCACATTGATATTGTATCCTGAGACTTTGCTAAAGTTGCTTATCAGCTTAAGGAGATTTTGGGCTGAGAGGATGGGATTTTCTAGATATGGGGTCATGTCATCCCATTTTCCTGTGCAGGTCAAGTGCACTAGGCACAAACACTGGACAAGAGTATGTATTTTGGTGGCATGCCCATGCCATCCCTACCCGGCTAAGCCTTCCTTTGGTTTCTTGCTGTCAGTGAGAGTATGCTCCCTTTTGTTTTGCTAACACAGTCAACCTCTCTGTTGCACAGGACTACAGGGTTCCACCTTGGTCAATGAAAAGTGCCTAAAACCACTACCACAGTCAATGCCCAGGAGCATTTCTAGGTTGGAGGCCAGGCCAAAGTCCTGATATGGCAGCTTGTGAGTTATCCTAGAGAGGTGCAAAGGAAGTTAACCTGGCTGTAGGGGGGACATGTGGCCCAGCTCTGATACCTGATTAGAACAGCTGGCATCTACTGAGTGCTAATTTTTGTCAGGCTTGGTTTGGAGAGATTTCCAATTATTATTTTCTGTATTCATAATGACAATCCCATATTGTTGCATTAGTTGTGTCATTATCCCTTTTTTTTAGGTGAGGAAAACAGTAGCAAAGAGAGGTGAAGGGACATGTCCAAACTAACATGACTCTTATATGGTAGCTCCAGGAAGTAAAATCGAGGCATCCAGCCTTCGGAATCCATCCTCTGAAAAGGGCTCTAGAATAGGCTCTTCCCAGGAGCTCCCTAGAAGGCTGGTCTGCACAGGCTTGGCCTGCCTCCCTCCACTGGGACAGCTACATTCATCCCTTTTCCCCTGACTCAGTCTCCTCTTCTCCCCATTTCCCCTCCTGGCTTCTTATGCTGGCCCAGCCTCACCTCACTTCCCAGCCCCTCATCTTGCCAGATGCATGAGTCCCTTTGCTTCTCTGCCGTGACCTCCCATAAATGCAGCTGTCCCCTGGGGCCCTGCACCTAGGGACTCTGCTCTGCTCTCAAGAACTGTGGGCCAGAAGCACAGCCTCTTCCCTCCCAATCTCCATGGGACTTCTCAGCTCTCAAGCCCTCTGGGTTTTCCCAGCCTGGCTTGTAGTCCCCACCCAACTGCTCCTCCCTTGCCACGGACCCCAACACAGAATTTTCAATTGGCACAGGGAAGCCACATGCAGGGCCCTGGCTACTGCCCTTGCAGTGTTCTTCTCTTTCCAGTCCCTGGCGCTGAGAAATTTCCCTTGGTGCCTACTTCCTGGCAGCTTCCCTCCATCCCTCTGTCACCTAGCACTGCCTGAGTACTGCCTTGTGTCTTATCACCTGATTGCACTTGTTATGTATTCACACTGCAAAGCCTCGGCTGGCCTCGCAACTTCTCCATAATCCTTGTGTTCATTACCTGCACCTTGCCTACAGCTGACTTTTTACATCTCTTCCCCCTCAGGCCAGGCAGGGTGCTAAGACTGGCAAAGGGCATGGTGGTGGTGTCTGAAATGCCTTCCTTTCTTTCCCCCCTTTCTTACAGGCAGGCTCCTCCATCTCTCACTCTCCGTCACCTTCAAGGCCTGGACTTTCTCTGGGCACATCAGTTACTCCATCTTGAAAGTAGCTCAGGTATACTGTCCACAAGTCTAGCTCTTCCACAGCACAGTGTGGAGGCCACACCTCTGATTTAAGGTAAGGTTTATCATAACTCTTCACAGTCTTAAACTCAGGTAAAACTGCACTTAGCACTTGGCAGGAGTGGCCCTTGCCCTGGAACCTGCCCTTTAAGGGGTGGCAAGGCTGGAGGAGGGCCAGAGCAATATCTGTTAAAGTGAATGACTCATGGCAGGGTCAACGAGTCCAAAGGATCAAGAGGTTGCACTAGACCAGAGCTGATACCTCTCCCCGCACTTCTAGACCATGCTTTAGTTGCCCAGGACTGAAGAATTCCCTGTCCATACTGCCCCTCGCCTGCTTTTAGGTACATCTTCCTGAAGGTGAACTGAGACATTGACAACGTGCAAGATGTGGCCAAGTGGTGGCTGTTTGTGGGGAGTTTGGCCAACGTGTGGATGTGCATGCTCAGGTGTCCACAAGCATGTAAAGGGAGCCCCTCACAGTGTTGGATAGAGTGGTAGTGGGAAGAGAAAGGGAGTAGCCTCAACCAGGAGCTGGGGGATGACTATCCAAGTTCAAGAGTAGAACTCTGAAGAGTCTAAGAATTTTAAATTTGGACCTACCCTTTTGGTCATTAGGAAGTTATAATTGCAAAGCTAGGAGAATAGAGCACATTTTTATTTAACGTCTTGTTACCTTCATTAAAACTTAAATATTTAGACATACAGCACATGGCCCTCCATTTTTTCTTTTGTCCTGGGCCCCACAAATGTTAGGGTGGATATGGACTCAGGAGTCAGCTCTCATTTCACCAGCCAACCTGTCCTGCCATTCTGACTTCCTGTTTGGCTTCATGCTATTTGGAGAATATTTTTTATGACTCTTCTCTGAGGAGGTGGCAGTGGGGGCAGAATGAAGGGAAGTCTTTAGAATCAAGAGGGCTCTTGGAAACCATTTGCTTCACTTTCATATGCACTCTGACTCCAAGATTGCGTAGATGGAAAACACTAAAGTCGATTTTCTATAACTGCAGGCTACTACTGTAGCCAGGAGCCACATGTGGCTATTTAACTCTAAGTCTAAATTAATTAATAATTAAATACAATTTAAACATCACTTCCTCAGTTGTACTACCCACATTTCAAGTGTTCAATAGCCACAGGCAGCTAGTGGCTACCATATTGGAGATAGAGAGCACTTCCATCATCACAGAAAGTTCTGCTGGACAGTGCTGGGTTAGAAATCAGGCCTAAGTCATCCTGAGAGTGCTACAGATATATGTTATCTCTCAATTCTTTCTGAAAAACCATTACCAGAAATGAATAACATGTCTTTTCTTCAATTTGAGCATAAACTGCTGTTTATTTTTCCTAAACAATCACATATCACATAAGAAAAATTAAGCTAGTGAAAAATGGGCAGTGTATCTTGGAACTTTAGACACAAAAATAAAAGACTGGTGGAAAAAACTAGTTTCTTTCCCCTCACCATCAACATTTCACAGTGGTTTGATTTTGGATCCTATACAAGATACTAAATTATAAAAGGATATATCCCATAATTGCTACAGAGTACTGAAGATACACGATTCATTTGCTGGGAATTAATTTTTCCAGATGGCCTTCTTAATATATCTCTGTGTCAAATAGGATATCACACTGTGATCTAAAGAAGGAACCAGTGCTGTGATTCTTTTGCTAATCCTCTTTTTGACATAGCCCCAGGTAAGGTTACTAAATACTTCTGCTTAAACCCACAGTCCCACACAAGATGGAGGTCTAGGACAAAGCATTTGGTCACACATCACACACAGCTAAATAAAAGCTGCTGAGCCCCAAAGGGCATTTGCTTCTCTAAGGGAGTCTCTTTCTCCAGAATAGAGCATTAAGTATTGTTGTTTGGAACTGGTGTGGTCCTACTAAGCTTTCATAGAAATTATTTACTATCATTTCCATTCCTGAAAAGATCTTCAAAAATATGAAATTCTAAAAACTTAGAGCTGGAAATGCTTCTAGAAGTCATATACTGAAGTCTGCAGAGTCAAGGCCATTTGTTCAAATTGAATAGCGTGAAAAATAGAGATCACATCCTTTAAACTTGAGTTCAGTTGCCCATTGACATGTTGGTGAGAGGAAAAGAAGCAGCTGGAAAATAAATGGCCAGAGGGGTAAGCAGAGATTCAAGAGAGTATGTTGTCATGTAAGCAAACAAAGAGAAGAGAGTGTTTCAAGAAGGGAATGGTTAATCTTATCATATACTGTGGAGATGTCAAAGAAGATGACTAATGGAAAATATTCATTGAATTTAGCAACATAGAGGTGGTTTTTGAGTGACCTTGCCAAAGTCAGTTTCAAAAGAGTGGTGGAGATGAAATCCAGGTTATAGTGGCCTGAAGAGTGAAGAGGGCTACCATGTAAAGATGATAGACTGAGTGCTTAGGTTTATCTTTAAGCCCTATTGAGATGCCACTAAGAATAATAAAAGGGAAAAAGTGTAAATCAAGGATCACAAAGAGAACATGAGATATTCTCATAGAGAGATTTCAGTGACTGTTTGCAGGGCATAATGCAGATGAAAGAGTGGCAACTGACAAATAGAAATGAAAGGAGCTGTCTGCTGGAGTATATGAAGAACGGGCTGTTAAGGAGGGAACCAGTTTTATGGAAGAGCCCTAAAGACAATCAGGATTTGGAGATCCAGAGGACAGGAGAGAGATGGGAGGCTGAAAAAAATCAGGGAAAGGAATGGTTTGGAAGTCTGTACATAGTGCAGTTGGACCATGCACTCCAGAATATAAGTCCGTTTTCTGGTGGTGAGAACTCTCTTCATAGAAAATGAAATGGATTGAGGACTTCCAATTCTAGGAATATGGCAGGCTAGGTTAATTGGGCCAATTCATCTGCTGAAAACAACCAGAGAAGTTAGACAGAATACATATTTTAAAAATCTTAGAAGCACACAATATCTGAAACAGAGAATGAAACTACAAGTCTGAAATCTAAGGAAACATGATAGCTCACAAAGTTTCATGGAATAAAACATTTGCTTTGAGGGTATCCTGGCAAACTTGAACTTAGGATTTGACAGCCTCATGGGGCAAGGGGTTCAGAAGCCAAAGGCTGGAGGGAAGCGTCTGTTAGGAGATTTTCCCTCATAATACACTGGGACCCCAATATAAAGCTATAACCTCAGGGTAGAGGTAAAACAAAAGTCAACCTGCCCCCTCCTAGGTGACTGCAAGATCCAGAGGACCTGTTGATTAACTCAGCAGCCAAAAATATTCCAACAAAGAAAAGTCCAGGACCAAAAGCCTTCAATGGGGAATGCCATCAAACATTTAAAGAAGAATTAACACCAATGCTCCTCAAACTCTTCAAAAACATTGAAGAGGATAGAACCCTTCCAAACTCATCCCATGAGGCCAGCATTACCCTGATAACCAAACCAGGGAAAAGCACTACAAGAAAATAAAACTATAAGCCAACATCCCTTATGAATATTGACGCCAAAATATAAACAAAATACTAGCAAACCAAATTCAATGGCACATTAAAATGATTATACACCATGACCAGGTGGGATTTATTCTTAGAATGCAAGGATGGGTCAACACACAAAAATCAATCAGTGGAATATTCATTCATTAACAGAATGAAGCAGAAAACCCACATGGTCATCTCAATTGATGCGGAAAGAAACATTTGACAAAATTCACAACAATGCCATGATAAAAAAAAAACTATGAATAAAACAGAAGGAAAATACCTCAACATAATAAAAGCCATAAGTAAAAATCCCACAGCTAATAACATACTCAATGTGAAAGACTGAAAGTTTTTCCTGTAAGATCAAGAATGAGGCAAGGATGCCAACTCTAACTGCTTCTGTTCAACATAGTACTGAAAGTACTAGCTGAAGCAATTTGGCAAGAAAAAGAAATAAAAGGCATCCAAATTAAAAAAAGAAGTAAAATTATCTATGCTTACAGACAACATGATCTTATGTGTAGAAAACCCTTAAAGGTTACACAACAAAAAGTTAAAGTAGTAAACAAATTCAGCAAGGTTGCAGGATATAAAATCAACACATAAATTTCAATTTAGTTTTTATACACTAACAATGAACAATCCAAAAAGGAAATTAAGAAAACAATTGCATTTACAATGGCATCAAAAAGAATAAAATTGGCCAGGCATGGTGGCTCATGCCTGTAACACCAGCAATTTGGGAGGCTGAGGCGGGTGGATCACCTGAGGTCAGGAGTTCGAGACGAGCCTGGTCAATTTGGTGAAACCCTGTCTCTACTAAAAATACAAAAATTAGCTGGGTGTGGTGGTGCGTGCCTGTAGTCCCAGCTACTTGGGAGGCCGAGGTGGAAGAATCACTTGAACCCAGGAGGCAGAGGTTGCAGTGAGCCGAGATAATGCCACTGCGCTCCAGCCTGGGCGACAGAGTGAGACTCTGTCTCAAAAAACAAAACAAAACAAAGAAACAAAAAACCCATAGAAATAAAATTAATCAAGGAAGTGAAAGACTTGTATCCTAAAAACTACAAAATATTGCTTAAGAAGACACAAATACATGTATAAAAATTAGAGTCCTACTTCACACAGTACATAAAAAAATCAAGCCCAGATAGACTAGAGACCTAATGTGAAAGAAAAAACTAGAAAGCTTTTACAAGATAGTATAGGAGAGTATCTTCATGACCTGAAGGTAGGAAAGAATATCTTAAGAGCAGTAACAAAAAGCACTACCCAAAGCAGCCCAAGAATAGCTGTTGGTAGCCAGCCTGAAAAGAGAGGCTTGGTTGTCTTGGCAACAAGAAAAACAGCCCAAATATTCCCAGATATTTGACCAACTGACTCCTACTCAAAGGCAAGGTCAAAGGGATGCTTAAGGGTATGTTCCAAGTTCCCTCACCCGTCTCCACGTGGGAGTTGGTGGAGCAGTGCTTGCAGTAGAGGAAGGCATGCGTGCCCAGCCAGCCTTTTGGCTCAGCTTTTGAGGCACAGCAGCACTACCAGGACCTCAGCGTTTCACACCAGGGCAGCTGGTGCAAAGAAAACTGGGTGGAGCTAAGACTACCTTCCGGGACCTGGATAAGACCTGAGATCCTGGGGCTTTCTCTGCCAGCTTAAGCCCAGGGAAAGCATTCAGCTAGTCAGTTACATCCCAGAGTAAACCATCCCCCTATCATGCTGACCACAAGCCCAGCTCCTGGGTCTATCCTCACTGGGAGTGGACACGAGAGGGAGGAAGTTTGAGGAAAGAGAAGACGTGCCTGATAGGAAAGATGGCTTCTTCTCTCAGAGCCTCTGTTCCCTCATAACAATGCCAATGATCTTACTGGGTTTCTGTGAGGAATAAATGACATGAGGCACTGTGTGTAACACACAGATGCTATTGAAAAAGAGCAGCTGGCCAGGCGCGGTGGCTCAAGCCTGTAATCCCAGCACTTGGGGAGGCTGAGGTGGGCAGATCTCGAGGTCAGGAGTTCGAGACCAGCCTAACCAACATGGTGAAACACCGTCTCTACTAAAAAAACAAAAATTAACTGGGTGTGGTGGCACACGCCTGTAATCCCAGCTGCTCTGGAGGCTGAGGCAGGAGAATCACTTGAACCCGGGAGGTGGAGGTTGCAGTGAACCAAGATGTCGCCACTGCCCTCCAGCCTGGGCGACAGAGAGAGACTCCATCTAAAAAAAAAAAAGAAAAAGAAAGAAGAAAGAAAGAAAAAGAAAGAAAGAAAGAAAAAGAAAGAGAGAAAGAAAGAGAAAGAAAGAAAGAAAGAAGCTAAGGTCATTACTACCCCTCACACATGGAGGGCAGCTGAATTCTGCCTCTCTGGAGATCCAGAAGCCTTCCTTCTCCAATGCAGTAGAATGTGACAGCAAGGAAGGAGTGAAGGAAAGGGTTTGGTGATCACCTCAAAATCCTTTCCAATCAAACTACTTGAGTTTTCTGTGAAAGCCAAAGGACATCTCCAAGTGGAAGGAAAGTCATAAGAATGTGTTTTTTTATTTTTTTGTTTGTTTTTTCATTTTAGAAAATGTAATGTGTCACAGTGATATGGTTTGACTCTGTGTCCCCACCCAAATCTCATCTTGAATTGTACTCCCATAATTCCCATGTGTTGTGGGAGGGACCTGGTGGGAGATAATTGGAATCATGGGGGCGATTTCCCCCATACTGTTCTCATGGTAGTGAATAAGTCTCACGAGATCTGATGGTTTTATCAGGGGTTTCCGCCTTTACATCTTCCTCATTTTTCTCTTCCCATTTTTCTCTTGCTGTCATCATGTGAGAAGTGGATTTCACCACCCACCATGATTCTGAGGCCTCCCCAGCCATGTGGAACTGTAAGTCCAATTAAACCTCTTTATCCTCCCAGTCTCGGGTATGTCTTCATCACACAGTGAGAACAGAAAGCAGACAGTGAGAAGCATACTGGCGACGTAAGGCAATTTTGACTAGAAAGTGGAACTTAACTATGAACTATCTGTTTCAGAGAGGATAGAAGCACCAGAACTACTAGCTAATTGTCAGCAGGCAATTATCTGAGGATGCAGGAGAGGAAGGGGGCTTCTTTTTGACGCCTACTTCATCAGCTGCTCCTCAGATCAGAGCCTTGCAGGTCAGGCCAGAGGGGAGACTCAGGAAGTGTTTTTGGTGTTTGTTCCAAATGGGGGCTCATTGTGGGCCCTGTGTCACTGGAATTACAATATCTGTTCAATCTAATTCCCTGGGGCTTTAAGTCTTACAAATTGGCGCTGGCCTCAGCAATGAAAAAAATAGGTGAAGTCTTGGAGTCTTTTCGACCCAGGCTAGTGTGGGATTGTTTCCTCATTTGCATCCACTTACAGAAAGTTCCAGTGATTTCCTTTGGTGACTCTACAGCCAAATGAATGGTCCTGCTAGCGTGTTTTATTGCAGTTTGTCCTTTTGCTTCTTTAATATTCCAGACAGACACATCTCCCCCCTGGGCCCTCCACACACTTTCCTCTCCATTCCAGTAATACTTAGCTTGAGGAGGTGGTTCCTGTACACACAATTCCCCACCTTTCACTCATGGGCCTCCCTCTGACTAGAATGGATACAGATGTAATAAGGGAGTCCCAACCCTCTGGCTTAGGTGACAAAGCTATTTCAATAAAAGTATACTTTTTTTTTCTGACTGCTCGTGTGTTATAACATCATGTGAAAATGGCTAGATAGATGTTGTCTGCATTTGGAGGTAGCTTTATAATGGTCAGACTCAGAAGATATGTTACATGGAATATACAAAATTGATTTGGGGGAGTCCTGGGAAGGACCCCCAAAAGCTAAGTCTTCCAGGGCAGCTGCAATTGAGGTTCGGAGAGAGACTCACCATACCTACAAGATGGCATGGATACAAAACACACAGTCGTTTCAAATATAAGCCCAATTCAAAACAGTATGTACATTCCTCAAATGCCAGGGGTCAATTTGCAAACTGCTACGTACAGGGGCGATTCTACAGTAGCGTACTACTCAGGCAAACAGGAGACAGGCATGTTTCTAAGAATGGGTTATGAATCTCCTGAGCAAACAGAGGAGGCTGGCTAAAGCGAGTAGGAAATATATCAAATCAGTATCCGCCAGAGGCAGATGGCAAGTTGACAGCCAGAACTGGGCCCCTCCAATCCTGAATCAATAGTTCCTGCTCCCCAGGGTTGACTGAGCCCCTTGCTCGGGGGAAGGGGAGAAAGAAAATCCCATTACCAACCAATGCCAAGTCCTCATATTTGGCTCATTTAGGGTCAGCTACAGGTGGTCCGCAGCCATAGAGCTGCCAGATAAAATACACGGCCCCTGGCTAAATTTAAATTTCTGATAAACAGTGGACAATTTTGAGTATAAGTATGTCCGAATATTGCATGGAATATACTTATACTAAGAATGTACTTGGGATTCAAATTTAACTGAGCATCCTGTATTTTTGATAAATAGGCAACCCTACTCAGGCAAGCCATCAGGATGAGTTTGGCAGCAGGAAGGTGGCCATAGTCAGGCCTCTGGTTGCCCTGTTTTCAGGGAGCTGGTCAGGTTATTATCAGGCATTGGGCTGGGAACCCCATCACCAGAACTGTGATAGAGGGTAGGGTTTAGTCTGAGGGTCAAAGCAAGATCTTATACACTAGAACAAGTTTATAAAGTCCCAGCAGGGACTAGTATATAAACCCTCAAGAGCAAACTCAGCAGGAGTCACTGGATGACAGACCTAGACATCCTTAAATTGCCAAGGGCTAGGGGCAGGGCTGAGTTAACAGCAGGATTTCTCTAGAAGGGATTCCTGGGCTGCTTGCATTAGAATCACCTGAGACACTTGGGAAACATGCAGATTCCAGGGCCCCGTACAGACCTGCCAAGTCACACTCTCTAGGGGAAGGCCTAGAAAGCTGCAATTTCTTAATACTCCTGGCTGCTCTGTCATGCACTAAATTTGAGACCCAGTGCTCTAGAGCCAGGAACCAGGTGTGGCCTGCAAATAAGCCATGAGGCACAGTGGTTAAAGCACAGATTCTGGAGCCAGACTGCCCAAGTTAGACTTCTGGCTCTACCACTTATTACCTGTGTGACCTGGGGCAAGTGACTTAACCTCTCTGGGCCTCACTTTCTTCATCTGTAAAGCAGGCATAGTAATAGTGCCTATTTCATAGGCCTATTGTGAGGATTAAATGAGAATATATGAGCAAAGCACTCAGAACAGTCTGGCATCTAGGAAGCACACATTCATATGTGTTAGCTATTATTAGGAGCTGAGTGGACCTGCAGGGTTCGCAGAAAGAGGACTGGTTTGGGGCTTAATGGGTACCCATGGCCTATGTCCTGCAGTGGGGTGGCTGAAGCAGAACTCACAGAGCAAGTGGAGGAGGGCTTTTTGCATGAGAAGTCATGAGGATGATTAATAAAAGGGACAGTCGTTAAATGCACGGGTGATCATGCTTGGCTAGAATGAGAAGCTAAGAAAATGGATATTGTTCATTAAGCTCTAATTAGCAGATAAATTGTACAAGGGGAAGGGAGTCCAAGTGTTACTACAAGTAATTAATGTGCGTCTTCTCTCCCTGGTCACCCTTTGATTTGAACCACCTAACCTGTAGTCTTTATCAGACACTAAGATCCTGGAAATACTGGCTGCTAATTATTTTGGTGAGCCCCTGATTGCACTAAAGGAAATGCATGTGTCCTGCTCTCTCTAATGACTCAAGCACAAGGAGAAGATAAAGTGGTTCTAACCATGATGAATTAAGCCTGGGGGATTTGGAGAGGACAATCATTCTCTCTGTTCATTTCACAAATGTGAACGGTGTCTCCAAGTTGGTAAAGTAAATGTGACCAGACGCAGTCTGATTAGGAAAAAAATCAGTACCTGTCCCAAACTGCTCTTGAGTTGGCTAATGTTGTGACTTGGCTTGTTCTCGGTTCCAATGACTTCATTCCTGCCTAAATCCCTACTCAGTTCCTTTGAAGATTCAACCTTACCATTGGAGTCTTGGCCCCACTTTCGACCTGGAACCAGAGCTCCCTTAGCCTGGACTGGCCCCACGCTCCGTTGAAACCCAGTTTCTCCTGCCTGAGCTCTCCCAGCCACCTATGCACTTGGGATCTCACCTATTTCTAGGCCAACCATACTTCCTACTTTCATACTGAAACGATGTAAAGGAATTTGATTGTTCTTTCTTGTGGAAAAAGATACAAACTGTGTCAGTGAAGCATCTCGGGGGTTGTGGGGGGCAGTGAAAAGGCAAGTCACTCTGTATGTCCCTTTCCATCTGACACACTCACAGGGGCCTGGGATGCTAGTGTGTGCCCATTGGTTGGCTTCTGCCAGGAATTGGAGCCTGGGTGTGCTAGGTGCAGAGTCTCCTGATATCGCAGAGAGCCCCTGTTCTCAATGGAAGTGCAACAGAGTAGAGTCTAGACAGAGTATTAGAAACTTTCAGGATAATAATCATGATAATAGCCAGTGGTTTTTGAATGCTTTTTCTGTTCTGGGTAGTGTTCTCAGTGCTTATATGCATTATCTCATTTAACTTTCCTATCAACCCTATGATGAGGCACTGTGATTATCTGCATTTTATAGTGAGGTGGCTGAGACACAGAGACGCTAAGTAACTTGCCCAAGGTCACATATCTGACTAGTAGTAAAGCTGGGTTCTGGGCTTGTTTTTACTTTCAAGAATTGAGTCAAATGTAGTCCCACTTCATTAAGCTGCTGGGATGGGAGGAGCAGGAGGGGCAGGGCCTGGATGGGTGAAGCAGCCAAGAGGCTCCTATGTAACTTCCTATGAAGAGGTAGTTGTCTCCAAACATGTGGAAACAAATTGAGAATGTTCTGCTTGTATTCAAGCTGAAAGACATTTTCATTCTTATTGGGTTTGCATCAAATTCTCATTTTGCTAGTCTTATACATTAGAGTATCAACCAATGGTCCCATGTAGCTTTAACAAATGATCTAATAAATTGAGAGAAGCATTGGCCAGAGAAAGTTGGAGTGCTTGGAACAGGCCTTGGCTGGCTGTCCAGCTCCACCTGGGGGAGACGGGAGGTGTGAGCTGGCACTAAGAGGCCCTCTGCCTGTCTAACTTGGACCAGGGTTGCTTGGGGCTAAAAGAGAGCCCAAAATGTTCATAGCAGCATTATTCACAATAGTCAAAAGTGGAAAGAACTCAAGCATCCACCAATGAATGAGTAAATGAAATGTGGTGTATCTATACAATGGAATATTATTCAGCCATAAAAAGGAATGAAGTGTTGACCTATGCTACTACATTGATGAACCTGAAAACATTATGCTAAGGGAAAAAAGCCAGATGCAAAGGCCACATATTGTGAGATTCTGTTTTGGTGAAATGTCCAGAATAGGCAAGTCCATAGAAAGTGAAAGCAGATTTATGGTTTCTAGGAGCTGGAAGGTGGCGGGGAGTCTGGAGTGACTACTAATTGGTATGAGGGTTCTTTTTGGGGTGTTGAAAATGTTCTGAAATTAGATAGTGATGATGATTGCACAACTTTGTGTATATACAAAAAACTACTGAATTCTACACTTTAAAGGGTGAATATTATGGTATATGAGGTATATGAATTACATCTCAATAAAAACAGGCAAACAAACAAAAACCAGAACAACAGCAACAAAAAAGAGAACACAAAGTCCACACTATTAAGACCCAGAGCAAAACACCGTCTTGGCCGGACGCGGTGGCTCACACCTGTAATCCCAGCACTTTGAGGGGCGGAGACGGGCGGATCACAAGATCAGGAGATCGAGACCATCCTGGCTAACATTGTGAAACCCCGCCTCTACTAAAAATACAAAAAATTAGCTGGGCGTGTTGGCAGGTGCCTGTAGTCCCAGAGCTACTCGGGAGGCTGAGGCAGGAGAATGGCGTGAACCCAGGAGGCAGAGCTTGCAGTGAGCCGAGATCGCGCCACTGCACTCCAGCCTGGGCGACAGAGCAAGACTCCATCTCAAAAAAACAAAAACAAAAACAACAACAAAAAAACAAAAACAAGCGAACAAACAAAACAAACAAACAAACAAAAACCACTGTCTGATGAAGCTGGGTTGTGGGAGAAAGACCTTGAGCTGAGAGGGAATCCAGCCTGGATTTAAGCCTTGGCATGACCTTGGACAAGTTCTTTCACCTCTCTGGGGCCTCAGTTTTCTTATCTATTTAATGACATTGTGAGAAAACATTTTCCCAATGAACTTTTGAAAACTATAATATGCTTATTTAAAACTGTACTCACTAGTTACAAGCAAGGCATTATTATAGTGCTGGAGGGTTAAACAGAGAGCTTAGAACGTTTGATAAAAGGTAACCTTCCATCATTGCCGATGTAAATCAGGGAACTGAAGATGCAGGCAGTACCCTCATGTGCTCAGAAGGATTACCCATTCCTGAGCAGAAACTGCTCACTTGCCCTCTCATTCCTCTGGGAATATTCCAGGTTTCCTCTATTTGGATTGGATATCTTAATAGCTTTAAAATCTCAAATAAAGGGTTTATGTCCACTCCAGTTATTTAGGGCTTCCTAACAAGCCTTTTAGAAAGAGACTTAATTAAAAATCCAGTGGAATCTTAAACCATGCACATTACACTCTATCCAATAAAGGACTCCCCCTTAACTCTTCCAAAGCAATTGAACTTACTGCACGAGACTTGTTTTGCCTTTGCAAACAGGGACCGATTTTCTCCCTCATATGTATCCTTATAACTGATTCAATATCTGATTTTCTTTTTTCTTTTTTTTTTTGAGACGGGGTCTTGCTTTGTCGCCCAGGCTGGAGTGCAGTGGCGGGATCTCGGCTCACTATAAGCTCCACCTCCCGGGTTCACGCCATTCTCCTGCTTCAGCCTCCCTAGTAGCTGGGACTACAGGCGCCCGCCACCACGCCCGGCTAATTTTTTTGTCAATATCTGATTTTCTTAGTACTGGGGCCATGTTCAGAATCTTTATTAAGACGAGTTCATAAAAATAAGAAAATTATTTTAACCGGATACATAATTCTGTCCCCCTAGATCATTAAAATATTCACCTTTTCCACTTGTCTAGTATTGAAAAACCAAGTCCCACCAGGTCACAGTCAAGTAGTGTCCAAGCAGGGGTAGGGGCCAGGGAGTCAGCTCACCCTTGCTCTCCTGCCTGCTCCTCAATCCCAGGGATGTTCAGGCCACATCCGCGGGGAATTCCCGGGGGCTCTAGCCACCTCATCTCAGAAGTGCAGTACACTGGAGTGTAGCAATGCCTGCAAGGTTTGCAAGCTCTCCTTACAGGTTTGTTTGGGGCAGGGGGAGTCTAGTGTCTTAAGTCACTAGAAGGTGTGTTTCGTTTTTTCCTTCAAATGTATTTTGTTTACTTATTTGAATTCAAAATCGCCCCTTCCCACAAGTGAAGGGATCCAAACTCTCGGGGAACCAGCAAGAACAGCCTGATGTGCATCCTACAAAATACTCCACTGCGCGGACGGGCTTTTGACTGACAGCCTCTTTACAGGGCGCACAGCTGTGTGGGGAGGACAGCGGAGCCCCTTCACTGTCTGCACTTACGGAAAAAAATGCGAGCGCGCGCGGCCGGGAGTTCCAGCCAGCGAGGGGCAGTGAGATAATGAATGTGAAAAGCCTCCAGGCGGGAGATTGTAATTCGCGCCGGATTCAGTTCACAGACGCGAAAGCCGCAGGATTGGGGTGGGGGCTTCATTTTCAAACAAGGAGACACATTTCCAGTTTAGGCTTTATAGCTAGAGACAGTGTGTGCAATCTTGGTTTTCAACAGTGTCTGTTTTTTTCGTTAAAGGTATCTGAATGTTGAAGTTCGTCGCGTAACAGGCCCCTACTACCTACCCCGCCTTGTCCGTCCCCCCACCCACCCCGGGGCAAGAGGGCTGCTGTGTCCAGACGATGGCGCTCCCGGCCAGTGCAACCCCTCTCCCCTACTGTGGCAAGAAGACTAGTCTGGAACAAGTTTCAAGGTGTTTACTGAGATTTTGAAAGGCTTCTCGACAGGAGCCGTAACTTTTAGTAGCCGGCAGAAATCCATTCCCGTGACCAAGGTTATTGAGGGAACGAGTGTCCGAATCACGCCCCTTTAGTTTTGCCCGAATATTCGAATTTTCCGTGGTCCCCGCGGAGCGAGATCCTGGGCGCACCGCAGGGGAACTGTGACGCACGGGGACAGAGATCCGCGGTGTGGAGGGCGAGGGGGGAGGCCTGAGAGGGATGGGGTCGAAACGAGAACCCCAGAAGGGCATGGGAAAGGAGAAAGACCGAGAGGAATCCTGACTGAGGCAGGGATCGCCGGTCAGCCAGAGGCTTCTTGGTTTAGCCGCGTGACACCTCCGCACCTTTCCCGCGGCTGCGGCGCAGCTCCTTCAGCCTTCCTGACTGCCCCGTGCCGCTCAGTAGAGAATGCCGAGCATCCCGAGAGGGAGAGGCGTCAGAGCCTCTCGTCCTGAGTTTCCTTGAGAAGCGGGGACCCAAGAGAAGAGCTTTATTGCCTGTTTTACTTTTTCCCAAAGCGTCCCTTGGCTTCCGCCGCCTGGCTGCCGGCAGCTGGAAAGGAGACGAGCTCCCGCTCCCGTTCGCCCCCAAACTGAGGACCGAGTGGCCACCAATGCCTTCCCTAGGTCCCAGGGTGCAGACCCGCTCCCCACTTCCAGAGTCGGGCGCAGGGTACATCTCTTTATGGAGAGTGCAAGACCTGGACCGGACTGAGCGGCTACTCGCAGCTGCCGCTAAGGGAGCCAAGAGGCTCCTGGCGAGAAAGGGAGCGGGGTTAAGTTCCCTAGGGATTAGGGACCCAGATTGGGGGTGGGAGCTCCCAGCAGTAGTCCCCTGTTCCCCGCGGGACACAGAAGGCTCTAGACAGGCAAGGGCATGGGGCGTGGGATGGACCTCACAAGGATACTTGCAGAGGCAAGCATCTAGCGTTCAAGGGGCCACCGGCTATCCCCTATACCCTGCTGGGGGCTGTGGACTGGCTTGGTCTAGCACTGGATCCTATGAAAGACTCTGTGCTCCGGCTCTGCAATCTACATCTCTTTGCCAGGTGTTTGCACTGGAGGAGAGAGGGAGAAGAACTTGCTAGAAACGAATGCACAGGGGCTGGTGGAGGGGGTGTGGGGTGGACTCCGAGCTAGTCATGATGCTTGCAAGGTACCTGGGAGATTGAGAGGCAGGGCAGGCTGGCTAGAGAGGAAGTACATACAAGGCAGTCGGAAGCAAGATGACACCTCAATGTGGATTTGTCCAATAAGAGGGGGTAGCCAAGGGGGGGGTATTCAGGGAGGTCTGATTGGTCGGGGGGAGGGATTTGGGGTGGGGCTAGCCGCCTCTTGAGGCTTTAAAAGCTCATCGGAGAGGGGCGGGATGCTGTCATTTGCTCTCTGACTCTCAGAGAGGGAGGCACGCTTTCCTGGAGCTCCTGGTGACAGAACAGGTGTTTGCTGTCTGGACCTGGCTGCTGATCCTGAGCCTGCTGGGAGATCTTAACGATCCCCAGGAGCAACATGGGGCCCACCCTAGCGGTTCCCACCCCCTATGGCTGTATTGGCTGTAAGCTACCCCAGCCAGAATACCCACCGGCTCTAATCATCTTTATGTTCTGCGCGATGGTTATCACCATCGTTGTAGACCTAATCGGCAACTCCATGGTCATTTTGGCTGTGACGAAGAACAAGAAGCTCCGGAATTCTGGTAAGCCACCCCTTCTTCTCCCTACCCAGTGTGCAGAGACTTGCAACCCCTAGGGCGTTAGTTTTTGAGCTCCCCGAATAGAGAATCTATGGACAGTGCCCTCATATTGAACATCCCTGCTCCCAAATTCCCCGCAAGCCTGGGGGTGGTAGTATTCTGTCCCGGCCCTCTAAACGTGGAGGTTCTCAAGGCCGAGAGAGCACAGAGAATTAGCTTTGGGCATCCAAGTACAAAGCGTTCCCGTGGTGCGCGGCAGCCCGAGGATCCCTGTCCCGTCGGGGCCTGATGCGGAGGGAGCCGGCACCCGAGCGGGAGAGTCAGGCGATTCGCCCGGGGACAGCAAGCCGAGCCGGACGCCGCAAGGGCGGCCGCGCTGAGGCAGCGCGGACCGAACTGACGCGGAGGGAGCAGCGGGGCTGCGACCTGCTCTGTGAAAGTTAAGTTCGCGGCGGCCGCGGCGGCCCTTACCAGAGCGCAACGCAGTGGCCTCTCCCTAGCCGGGCCAAGAGCCCGCTCGCCGCGGCCCTGGGGCTCCAGGACGGCTCCCGGGCAGATCCCGGGCGGCGGAGCACAGACCCCCGCGCCCGAGAATCGAGCAGGGAGGTCTGAGCCCGCCGGAGCCGAGCTCCGTCCGCCCGTCCCAGGGCGAACGGCAGAGAGAGGCAAGCGGCGGGTCGGGCACAGCAGGCGGTGGCAGCGACGGCGGCGGCAGCGGAGATCCCAAGGTCCGTAAGCGGGGAACTGGGGGGTCGCAGGGCGGGCCGGCCAAGAGGCTTGGGAGCTGGGCGTTGCTGGGGGTGGAGGGATAGAAGGCAGCAAAACCGAGTAGGGATTGGCGGGAGGGCGACGGGAGAGCTCAGAGGCGGCGATGGGGGACTCAGAGAGGCTGCAAAGGGCTGGGGTCTGGGAGCCGCAGGCGGGACTTCCCCCGCTGCTAGCCACTGCCGAGCGGGAGGAGGCCGGGGGCCGGGGGCCGGCGGCGAGCAGGGCAGGAGGGAAGCGTGGGAGGATGCCGGGCGCTGCGACCTGTGCTGGGGGTGGGGGCGGCAGACACTGCAGAGCAGCTAGTCCGGCTTACAGGTTGGGCGGGAGAGGGCTCTGGAAGGGAGGGGAAGGGGCAAAGGCGCCCAAACTCCGAGTTCAGGCCGGGGGAGGGAGGGGCGGCGCCTGGAATTTCCACCGCCAGATTCTCGATCGGCTGGGGCTAGGAGTGGGGACCGAAGGGGGTCTGAGAGGGTGGGGAGACCAGCTGGATTCTCCCGGGCAGGGCGTGGGGGAGAGGTGGCGGCCGGGGTCTGGGGGATTACTTTGCTTGGGCAAGGAGTCACGAACACTGAACAAGTTTAAAAACGCACTGACTGGCACACAGTCATTAAAAGTTTTCTTACAAAGTCTGGTGGGTGTCTCCGATTTCTCCTTCGTCTCCTGGAATCGTGGGGCCATACACTAGGTCTTCACCTTCACCCCCGCGGTGCGGTCCCGAGGTGCAAACCCACGGAATCCTGGGGGCGACCTGCGAAGCCCATTTTATTCCCTTTAGATTTCTTTTCTTTCTTTTTCTCCTTCTCCTTCCTTCCTTCTATAATTCAAATAAAGGCTTTTATGGTTGTTGTGGTTTTGTTTTTAAGGCTTTGCCCCTTCTCTTTTCGGCTGTATTTCCCTGAATTCATTACTCTGCCGGAAAACCATAGAAAGAACCTCTTCGGTAGAAAGTGCTGAGGCCGAGTGCTGACAGCGCTGGAGGAAGGAGGAAGAAGGAGCCATACCTTTGCCCTTTTCAAAAGCGCTCATTTTCTCCTAGTCCAAGATGAAGTGCAATATTTTGCCAAACCAATGCTAATTAGCAACGAGGTGTCTCCAAAGAAAGAGGGCTCTGCGCCTGCACCTGGCCTCTTCCTTCTCTTTTTTGTGAAAGGTTTTACAAAAAAGTTCCCACCTCAGCCCTACAAGACCGGAGTGGGGGTGACCCTTCTTCTCTATCCTGTTTAACCTGAAGGCTCCAGTAAAGTTCAGTGCCCGGCGCTGGGAGCTCTGTGCAGGGCGCTGAATGTGCCAGTGCGCGGCTCTGCGCGTGGACGTGGACGCGGCATGTAACTGAAACAGGCACTTCTGCTAATCCTTGCAGGATTTTTTCTCCTCCCCCCCACCCCCGCCCACCTCGCGCCACCCTTCCCGCCCGCCCTCTCACTACTTCTTTGGTCTCAGACTAAATTTTACAGGGCTTCCCTGCTTCCCCTCAGTTTTCACTCTTAGGTTACCTCGGAACGGTAAGTATTTGACTTGGCAAGGTTTTAGGTTACTGCTTGATCCCATCGGAAAAGACTGTTTAAGAAGATGGCCTCTAATGCCTTTTCTCAGAATCTTCTCTCTAGTAATGTGTTTATTATAAATGCAATGCTAGGCTATAGGAGGGAGATGGCTAATTTATCTTTTTCTAATTATTTAATTATTTTTAATTTTTTTAGTTTGAGGCTTCCTGACATCCCTCCAGTGTCTCTCCTTGCCCCCCACTCTCCAGCCTCCTTCCTAAAAACAAGTCCCTCTAGCTCACCTCTACTCCCCTCCTCCTTCTCCCTCCCCCTCACCTCCAGTGAAGGAAACGTTTGCATTTTGTTTTTCTCTAAGATGGTGGCAGCATGACCCTGTCTCATTGTGAAGGCTCCTGGCAGGGATTTTGTGCTCACTGCTGTCTGTCTTATGTTCGCTTCTTTCTCAGAGCATTTCTTTAAAAGAATTCTGGAATTATAAAAGGTCATAATCCAGCTGGCCTTCCCCTGCACCTTAAATGTGTAGATTTCTGTACTTAAACCACTTATTCTTCTCTGTCTTTCCCCTTTCTCCCTCCCTCGATATGTTTTTCAGGCAACATCTTCGTGGTCAGTCTCTCTGTGGCCGATATGCTGGTGGCCATCTACCCATACCCTTTGATGCTGCATGCCATGTCCATTGGGGGCTGGGATCTGAGCCAGTTACAGTGCCAGATGGTCGGGTTCATCACAGGGCTGAGTGTGGTCGGCTCCATCTTCAACATCGTGGCAATCGCTATCAACCGTTACTGCTACATCTGCCACAGCCTCCAGTACGAACGGATCTTCAGTGTGCGCAATACCTGCATCTACCTGGTCATCACCTGGATCATGACCGTCCTGGCTGTCCTGCCCAACATGTACATTGGCACCATCGAGTACGATCCTCGCACCTACACCTGCATCTTCAACTATCTGAACAACCCTGTCTTCACTGTTACCATCGTCTGCATCCACTTCGTCCTCCCTCTCCTCATCGTGGGTTTCTGCTACGTGAGGATCTGGACCAAAGTGCTGGCGGCCCGTGACCCTGCAGGGCAGAATCCTGACAACCAACTTGCTGAGGTTCGCAATTTTCTAACCATGTTTGTGATCTTCCTCCTCTTTGCAGTGTGCTGGTGCCCTATCAACGTGCTCACTGTCTTGGTGGCTGTCAGTCCGAAGGAGATGGCAGGCAAGATCCCCAACTGGCTTTATCTTGCAGCCTACTTCATAGCCTACTTCAACAGCTGCCTCAACGCTGTGATCTACGGGCTCCTCAATGAGAATTTCCGAAGAGAATACTGGACCATCTTCCATGCTATGCGGCACCCTATCATATTCTTCTCTGGCCTCATCAGTGATATTCGTGAGATGCAGGAGGCCCGTACCCTGGCCCGCGCCCGTGCCCATGCTCGCGACCAAGCTCGTGAACAAGACCGTGCCCATGCCTGTCCTGCTGTGGAGGAAACCCCGATGAATGTCCGGAATGTTCCATTACCTGGTGATGCTGCAGCTGGCCACCCCGACCGTGCCTCTGGCCACCCTAAGCCCCATTCCAGATCCTCCTCTGCCTATCGCAAATCTGCCTCTACCCACCACAAGTCTGTCTTTAGCCACTCCAAGGCTGCCTCTGGTCACCTCAAGCCTGTCTCTGGCCACTCCAAGCCTGCCTCTGGTCACCCCAAGTCTGCCACTGTCTACCCTAAGCCTGCCTCTGTCCATTTCAAGGCTGACTCTGTCCATTTCAAGGGTGACTCTGTCCATTTCAAGCCTGACTCTGTTCATTTCAAGCCTGCTTCCAGCAACCCCAAGCCCATCACTGGCCACCATGTCTCTGCTGGCAGCCACTCCAAGTCTGCCTTCAGTGCTGCCACCAGCCACCCTAAACCCACCACTGGCCACATCAAGCCAGCTACCAGCCATGCTGAGCCCACCACTGCTGACTATCCCAAGCCTGCCACTACCAGCCACCCTAAGCCCACTGCTGCTGACAACCCTGAGCTCTCTGCCTCCCATTGCCCCGAGATCCCTGCCATTGCCCACCCTGTGTCTGACGACAGTGACCTCCCTGAGTCGGCCTCTAGCCCTGCCGCTGGGCCCACCAAGCCTGCTGCCAGCCAGCTGGAGTCTGACACCATCGCTGACCTTCCTGACCCTACTGTAGTCACTACCAGTACCAATGATTACCATGATGTCGTGGTTATTGATGTTGAAGATGATCCTGATGAAATGGCTGTGTGAAAAATGCTCTCGTAGGTGGCCAGGCAGTGGTCCCCTTTCTAGTTTGTTTTGCATATGTAATCCAAAGTGAGATGCCTTACTGCATCTAGACACAGACACTGACACATAGAGATGGTGTAAGCTACATCCACCTTTCAGGCGTACTCATCCTTTACTTAATGTACTGTATTAAAGTGTGTGCGTGGGTGTGTGTGTGCTTGCTATTTTAGAGACCTTAATTTCCCTCAAGTTTGACATCTGTTGTTCCAAACCTCCCTTTCCAACTATGGTCGACCTTCAGTCCTCAGTGATCCTTGAAATTTTAGACTTTGATTTTTTTCCCACTCCTCTGTCCCTCCTCCCCTTTCCTCATTTCCTCTGCCTTGTTCCTGCTTTCTTCTCCCATTCCCCGAGGGGGTTGGGAGAGGGGTATGTGCGCAATGCTAAAGGTGTGTTGTGGTGAACGCTTCCGTTAATGTGACTGCACAGCTTTATGTTCTTCAATGTGTAACTCTATATTGTACTTTTAATAGCAGTCAGAAAAGCAGTTGTGATCAAGTACAAGTACTGGAAAGTTTCTTTCCTAAATTTCAGCAACAACATATGACCCATATTTGAAGAATACAATTTGATAAGCTCTTATTAAAAATACATTTTTTATGCCTATGAGATCAAATGGCAAAAGGAAAGATATGGGCACACCAAATTATTTCTATTTTTTGAAAATTTGAACATTGGTGCTTTTTATAGTCAAACATGGTTGCAAATGATAAGACGTTTTTACCTTATTTGTAATTATTTACCTTTTTTAGCATTTGCCGGGATTTTTTTTCATTTAGTTCCAGAGAAATAAATCCATTCATAAACTAGTTTCTTCTCCTAAAATCCAATCTTACGGTTGCTAGGATCAATTATGGTAATATTTTTAATATTATAAGTCATAACTACTCTTTACTGAAGATTTTGTTTTTTAAACAGCCTGGTGTTTTTACAGTTTTTGCATTATTGCTTTCATTCAAAAGGGAATTTGAAGTAATAAATGGCAGCAAGAAGCGAATTGAATACTGCTGGGAGGTTGTAAATGAGCATTCCTCCCGGATGGGGAGGGGGGCAAGGAGAAGAAAGAGATGCCTACACCAATCAATCCTACCACACATCCGACATCAGCCAATCCCACCACACTTGGCTAAGGTTCAGTGATACACGATGTTAAGTCGTAGATGTCTTTTATTAGCACACTTGACAGACCAGGAAATGATTTTTCTCTACAATTCAAGAAAACTGCTGTTTAATAAAAATTTCAATTGCTGATTCAAATAGACACTTTAAGCAAAGTTTACTGTATGAAAGCTTGTGAGGATAAGTGGAAATGTATTATACTGCCTTAATTCTATTCTGTATTTGTGGTAGCAATTAAATAGAAGTGTTTTTGTGGCTTTAGTTTGTGGTTTGTGGATAATTTCATTTCTCCACTGGAGTTACTTATGGGGAGGGTGTACAGGGTGAGGGGTGGCAAAACATTGACCTTGGGGGAATCAGAAGACTTGGGTGCAAGTTCCATCCCTGCTACCAGCTTGCTGTATGCCAGGGCAAGTCCCTTGACCCGTCTCACCTCAGTCCCTTTACTTAGCAAACTGTGGAGAGGTGGTGGGGAGAGGGGAGCATGCTGGGATTGCTACGTTCTTCACACTAGTGCAGCAACGTTGGATGACCTGACCTGCCTGCTCTTGGATTTCTGAACTGTACCAGATATGGCTCTGAAAAGAGACCCCTCTTTACTCCCCTGAAAGGAGTGAAGCCAGGCCCCAAAATGTCGTGACCCAAAGCCTTCTGGAACGAAGAAATAGAGCTCATGAGGGAATGGGGGAGGCACAGGAGTGAGAGGCAGGAGGGCCGGTGGTTTGCTCTCCAGCTCGGAGGTGGGTAGCAAGACCCCAGCCACTGGGCAAAGCTCCTGATCTTAGGAACACAGTTTTAAAAGAATCTCTGACAATAAGGAAATGCTAAAAATACACTGCTCAGCAAAAATCAAACTGAATTCAAAGCAATATACAGTAGGACATAATTTTACAAAAATATGCATACTTAATACATGCACATATAGACAAACAGTTACGCATATGCAGCTGTTCTATCCAGGCTTTCCCAGGCTGTGAGTATAGATAGACTGAGGTCATCTTAATTTTTAATGCCCGAGTTAAAGTGTTTTGAGCCATCAAGGGCTGCCTGCCTGAGGGCTGCCTGCACCCCTGTGCCAAATTTCTGTGCAGAAAACATAACTAAAAGGGATGTTTATTCATGTACTTACAAACTGGTTACGGTCAGCTCCCCTATCCATCTTTTCCATGTTCTTACTCTCCACTCACACCCAAGAAGTTGCTTTGCGTGAGACTGCAAGTGTCCAAACCAAGGGTACTGTGTCCCAATGCTCCAAACTGCCACTCCGCAGGGGTTTACGGGGTGCAAGGTTTTGAAAGAAGATAAGAGAGGTGACGAAAATTATCTGCCATTATTACAACTTTGTCCCGCAATTTTCCCCCGGTGCCTGAAGCAACACCGCTCACACCAAGTCTCCTGAAAGTCATACCAAGTCTCCTGAAAGCCATACCAAGTCTCTTGAAAGCAGTCACTTCGGCCATCTCTGCTTATCTCCTGCAGCTGCACTCATCAAACTTGCCTGCGCCACTGCGCCCCGCCTCCGCCTCCGCGCCCATAATCACCTGGACAGGAACAAGCAGCACTTCCAGCCCAATTCCTTCTCAGTTCCTTCACAGCCCAGAAACATTTTTTATTCTGCCCCTCTCTCCCTTATCCTGTTCCCCTTCACTCTCAAAAGGCATTAAGCTTCCTAAACGCATCTCTGATTTACCCCGCCCACTTTGAGTGACCAAGGCAAGAAGCTGAATCTCTGCTCCAGGTTTAAGGTTCCCCCTGGAAAAAATGCAGAGCTTCTGGCTTTACAGCAGTGAGAATGAAAGGGCCAACTTTGCTGACTTCCTCAAAGAGAGAATCTGCCTCCAGGTGAGCCTAAATCTCCATAATCAAAGGATTTAAAAAATGCAAGCAACTTTTAAATGACAGTTTTTCCGAGTTTCTCCTCGTTTCTTTTTAAATGGAAATATAATTTATATACTGTAAAGTGACAGCCTGACTTTTTTTTTTTTTTTCCTAACATATGTATACATCCATGTAACTACCACCCTGGCCAAGATATAGGTAGCCCTCCAGGAAGTTCCCTGTTGCCCCTTTCTAATCAAATGGAAGCATACGGTATGTATTCTTTTGTGTCCAGCTTCTTTTTAAAAAAATTGTGATAAAATATACATAACATAAAATTTACCATTGTAAACTTTTTGAATGTACAATTCAGTGGTATTAAATATATTCACATTGTTGGGCAACCGTTACCACTGTTCATTTCCAGAACTACTTCATTATCTCAAACTGAAACTCTGTACTGATTAAATAATAACTTCCCTTCCCCTTAACCTCTGGTAACCACCATTCTATTTTCTGTCTCTATGAATTCACCTATTCTAGCCACCTCATATGAGTGGAATCATACAATGTTGGTCCTTTTGTGTCTCGCTTCTTTCACTTAGCATAATGTGTTCAAGGTTCACCCATATCATAGCAGGTATCCATACATTATTTTTTAATGACTGAATAACATCCCATTCTAGAGATATACCAAATTTTGTTTACCCGTTCATGCATTGATGGACATTTTGGTGGTTTCCATTTTTGGCTGTTGTGAATATTGCTGCTATGAAGATTGATGTACAAGTTTCTGCTTGCGTCCCTGCTTTTCACCTTTTTGAATATATACCTAGGAGTGGAATTGCTGGGTCATGTAGTCTAGCTTCTTTTGCTCAATATTATGTCTTTGAGATTCATCTATGTTTCTGTGTATGTAAGTGGTTGGTTATTTTTCATTTTCATAAAGCATTCTACAATATGAATATATTACAATTTATTTATTCTACTACTAATGGATATTTGGGTTGTTTCCAATTTGAAACTATGATAAAAATGCTTCTATAATCATTTTTGTACATGTCTTTTAATTTAACTTTGCACTGAGGTATAATTTTACATACAGCGAAGAACACTACTTCAGTGTCAAGCTCTACTTCAGTAGAGAGCTCAACAAATTTTAACATATGTGTACACCCATGTAACCACCACACATATCAAAATGTAAAACATTTCCAGCACCCCAGAAAGCTCTTTTATGCCAGAGTAATTTTGCTGGTTTACTGAATTTTATTTAAATTGAAGCATACAGAATGCATTCTTTTGTGTTTGTGTTGTTTTCTTCATCATTTTGTTTGTGAGATTTATCCATGTTACTTTAGGTATAAGGAATTCATTTTCTTTTATTGTTATGTAGAACTTCTTTGTATGACTATACCACCACTTTTGAGCTATTCTACTGTGGCTGAACATTTGGGCTGTTTTCCAGTTTGGGGCTTTTAAGAAACCTGTTATGAACATTCTTGTACATGCCTTTTGATGCACATATGGACTTATTGCTCTTGGAAATATACCTAAGCTTGGAATTGCCGAGTCGTGAGTATATATGTACTTAGTTTTAGTAGACACTGCTAAATATTTTTCCAAAGTTGTTTGTATTCGTCCATTTTCATACTGCTATGAAGAAATACCTGAGGCTGGGTAATTTATACAGAAAAAGAGGTTTAATGGACTCTCAGTTCCACATGGCTGGGGAGGCCTCACAACCATGGTGGAAGGTGAAGGAGGAGCAAAGGCACGTCTTACATGGCAGCAGGCAAGAGAGTATGTGCAGGGGAACTGCCCTTTATAAAACCATCAGATCTTGTGAGACTTATTTAATATCAGAGAACAGCACAGGAAAAAACCGCCCTCATGATTCAATTACCTCCCACCGGGTACCTCCCAAGACACCTGGGGATTATGAGAGCTGTAATTCAAGATGAGATTTGGGTGGTGACACAGCCAAACCATATCATTGTTGAACTACTTTATAGTCTCACTAGCAAGGTATGAGAATTTGAGGTGCTCTGCATTCTTGCCAACATTTGATATTTTCAGCCCTTTTTAATGTGAGCTATTCTAGTGGGTTTCTAGTGCTATTTCATTGTGGTTTCAGTTTGCATTTCTCTAATGAGCAATGATGTTAATCGTCTTTTTACATGATTATTGACCATTTAAATATTTTCTTTATTGAAGGCCCTGAACAAATATTTTGACTATTTTAAAATGGAAGTTTCTGTCTTTTTCTTATAGACTTGTAACAGGATATGCATGTGTATATATGCCAATTTCATGAATATCTTCTCTCAGTTGGTGGTTTGCCTTTTTGCTCTCTTAATTGTATCTTTTGATGAACAAAAATCTTTAATATTATAAAGTTCAATTTATCAGTTTTTCTGACTGTGCTTTGTGTTTAAGAAATTTCTGATTATTCTAATATAATTAATGTATTCTCCTAATTTTTATTTTAGAAACCTTATAGTTTTGCCTTTCACGTTTAAGTCTATGTTCCATCTCAAGTTAATTTGTTTGTGTATGGTGTGGGTTAGGAATCAAAGTCCATGTTTTTGTATAGCCAGGGTTCATATTTTCATTTTATCACCATTTATTGAAAAGACCATACTTTACCCCACTGAACTGCAGTAAAGACTTTGTTGCCATTTAGGTAATCATATATAAACATGTCTCTCTTTTTATCTCTTTGTTTCTGGACTGTTTATTCTGTTACATTAGTCTATCCTTGCACCAATACCACATCGTTTTTAAATTTAATTAACGATAACTTATATACAGTTATGTGTACACATATCATGTACAGTTAAATGGATTTTATACATATATGCATATTTTTGTAACCACCATTCAGATGAAGATATAGAACATTTCTAAGACCCCAGAAGGCTCTTTCATACCCCAACTCAGTCAATACCTCCTTTACAGTTAATTAGTGGTTGAATCTCTATTATCACAAATTAGTTTTGCCTGTCCTTCATATAAAAGGAATAATACGTGTGTAGGTTTTTAAGTGTAGCTTCTTTTGTTAGATGTTATAGGTTTTAATTTACTTCTTTTTTTTGTTTCAGATAGGGATCTCACTATATTTCCCAGGCTGGTCTCAAACTCCTGGGTTCAATTGACCCTTCCATCTCAGCCTTCCTAGTAGCTGGGATTAGAGATGTGAGCCACTGTGACTGGCTCTCTTCTTAAACATTACGTTTTTGAGATGCATCTGTGTCGTTGTATGTTTCAGCAGTTCTTTTTAAAAATTTTCATAGAAAGGTTTACTGATGTGGAATAGTTTCAATTTATATTAAGTTGAAAAAGGCACGTAATAAAATGGTATGTAATTTTGTTTGTTAATAAAACCAAAATTAGTATATGAAAAGATGGTATGTTTTTAACACTTTCTATAGTAAATAGCTCTATCTATCTATCTGTCTATCTATCTATATTTACTATCTTTTTGAGACATATATTTTTATTGGGGCATAATTCATATAGTATAAATTTGGTCATTTTGAAATGTTCAGTTCTGTGTTTATAGTATTTTCACAAAGTTGTGTCACCACTAGAACTATTATCTAATTCTGAAATACTTTCATCACTGCGAAAGAAACCCTGAAACCATTAATGTTCACTCCCCATCCCCTTCTTCCCCATGGCAACTACTAATCTTTCTGTGACTATGGATTTATCCATTCTGGATATTTCATATAAATGAAATTACATAATATGTAGCATTTTGTGTCTGGTTTCTCTCATTTAGTATACAGTTTTCAAAATGCATCTATGTTGTAGCATGTATCAGAATTTCATTCATTTTAAAGGTTGAATAATATTCCATTTATATATACATCACATTTTGTTTATCCATTCATCTGCCAATGAACATTTAGACTTTTTCCACCTTTTGGCTCTTATAAATAATACTGCTGTAAACATTGGCATACAAATCTGTTTGAGTCCCTGCTTTCAATTCCTTTGGGTATATACTCAGAAGTAGAATTGCTGGATCATATAGTAATTCTATGTTTAAATTTTTTGAGAAAATGTCATACTGTTTTCCACAGTGGCTGCATCATTTTACAATTCTAACCAACCTGGTAGAAGGGAAATACCCGACTCCTGTCCCCTTTAGCCTTCCTGTCTCACTTAAGGGGTAGGGAGTGAAATAGCACTTGTGAAGCTCACAGCCTAGGGACACAGGTTCACTAAAAGACTGAGACTTAATCATAGGACTATAGAATTTTCCTTCCTTCACAATTTACCACCACACCAATAGGGTTCCATAAAACAGGGTATTGCAGCTGAAAAAAAAAAAAACCTGCAAGTTTCAAATCTTATTTAAAGAAAAAATTCTAGGAAAAGCTAAAGACAACAGGGGAGGCAAAAATAAGGACACTAGAGGAAATTTTAGCCTCTGACACAACTATAGCAAACAGTGAAGACAGCCTAATTTCTAGCCAGATGAACCTAAAACTTCACACTAAATGTATATTTACCTCAGCTTTTTGGTACGTCATGTTCAGATTCCATGAAAAAGTTAGAAGTCATGCTAAAAGGAAAAAACACTGTCTGAAGAGACAAAACAAATGTCAGAACCACACTCAATTGTGGCAGACATTTTAGAATTACCAGACTAGGAATTGAAATCACCATGATGAATATGCTAAGGGCTACAATGGAAAAAAGTAAGATAACATGGAAGAACGGATGAGTAACATGAGAGAAGGAAACTCTAAGAAAAATCAAAGGAAATGCTAGAAATAAAAAACACTGTCACAGAAATGGAGATTAGCTTTAATGGGCTCATTAGTTGGCTGGACTCTTCTGAACAAGGAATCAGTGAACTTGAAGATATGACAATAGAAATTTTCCAAACTGAAAAGCAAAGAGAAAAAGGAATGAAAAAAAATATAACAGAGCATCCATGAAATGTGGAACAATTACAAACAGTGTAACCTATGTATAACGAGAATATTAGAAAGAAAAGGGAGAAAGGAACTAAAAACATCTTTGAAGTGATAATGGCTGAGAGTTTTCCAAAATTAGTTTCATGCATCAAACTACAGATCCAGGAAGCTTAGAGAACACTAAGCAGGATAAATGCCAAAACTTTATACCTAGGCATGTCATATTCAAACTGCAGAAAATCAAAGGGAAAGAAAAAAATCTTGAAAGAATTGAGAGGAAAAGAAATCTTATCTATAGAGGCAAACAGTAAGAATTACATTGGACTTCTCTTCAGAAAGCACCCAAGTGAAAAGAGGGTGGAGTGAACTATTTAAAATGTTGAAAGAAAAAAACCCAACAGCCTGGATATATATATTGAACGTAATTATCCTTTAGAAGTGAAGGAGAAATAAAGGCTTTCTCAGACAAATACAAATTGAGGGACGTTGTCACTAATAGACCTACCTTGGAAGAAATGTTAAAAAATGGTTCCTCAGAGAAAAGGTCAGAAGCTTATTTCTGCATAAGTAAAAGAAGAACATTAGAAATGCAATAAATGAAGGCAAATTAAATCCATTTTTCTTATGCTTAATTGATCCAGTAGGTAACAGTTTGTTAAAATCATAGTAGCAACAATGTATCGGTTGATTATAGTTTATGGATAAGTGAATGAATGACGGCAATATTATTAGGGAGGGTAAGGAAGAATTGGGAATACTCTGTAATAAGGTACCTGCACTATCTGGGAGGTAGTATAGTGTTATTTGAAAGTTGGTTTAGATTAGTTGTAAATGTATATGTCAAACTCCAGGGAAACCACTAAAAAATAAACAAAGAAGTGCAATCAGTATATAAGAGAGGAGAGAAAATGGAATCACAAAATGTTCACTTCAACCCAGAAAAGGCAGAAAAAGAGTGGAAGACAGAAAAACCAAAGAAACAATGATATGCTTTGGTTCTGTATCCCCACCCAAATCTCATCTCGAATTGTAAACCACACGTGTTGATGGAGGGACCTGGTGGGGGGTGATTAGATCATGGGAGTTCTTGTGAGAGCTGATGCTTTTAAAAGTGGCATTTTCCCCTGCACTCTCTGTCTCTCCTGCTGCCCTATGAAGAAGGTGCCTGCTTCTCCTTCACCTTCTGCCATAATTGTAAGTTTCCTGAGGCCTCCCTAGCCATGCAGAACTGTAAGTCAATTAAACCTTTTTCCTTTATAACCCAGCCACAGGTAGTATCTTTATAGCAGCGTGAGAATGGACTAATACAAACAAAAAAACAAAAAACTGGCAAAAAAAAACCCCTGAGAAACAAAGAACAAAGCAATGAATAGAAAACGATTACAAATATGGTGGATATTAATCCAATTATATCAATAATCACTTAAATGTGAATGGTTTAAGACATCAATTAACAAGGGAGGTGGAGAAAAACAGCTGAATAAAAGCCTCCAGTGATTATTCCCCCCCCAGAACACCAAATTGAACAACTATCCACACAAGAAAGCATGTTCATAAGAATTAAACATCAGGTGAGCAATCATAGTATCCAATTTTAACATCATATTACTGAAAGAGGCACTGAAGAGGGTAGGAAAGACAGTCTTGAATTGCCACCCTTCCCTCAACCCCAGGCAGTACTGCATGGCTCAGAGACAGAATCTGTGTGCTTAAAAGAGGGAGAGCAAAGTGATTGCGGGACTTTGCATTGGAACTCAGTGCTGTCCTATCACAGTGGAAAGCAACACAGGACAGAATTCAGCTGGCTCCCATGGAGAGGGCATTAGATCAGCCCTAGCCAGAGGGAAATTGTCCATCTCAGTGGTTGAAAGGTGAGTTCCGGCAAGCCCCACCACCATAGGCTAAAACACTCTGGGGTCCTAAATAAACTTGAAAGGCAGTCTAGCCATAAGGACTGCAATTCCTGGGCAAGTCCTGGTGCCGTGCTAGGCTAGGGGACAGTAGACCAGGGGGTCATGCAACCCAGTAAGACACCAGCTAGGGCAGCCAAGGGAGTGCTTGTGCCACCCTTCCCCTAATCCCAGTCAGCATCATTCACAGCTCCTCAAGAAAGTCCTTCCATCTGTTTGAGGAGAGAAGGAAGAATAAAGAGGACTTCGTCTTGCAACTTGGATACCAGCTCAGCCACAGCTGACAGGGCACCAGGCAGAGTCCTGAAATTCACATTCCAGGCTATATCTCCTGGATGACATTTCTAGACCCACCCCAGGCTAGAAGGGAATCTACTGCCTTGAATGGAACGACCCAGTCCTGGCAGAATTCATCACTTCCTGACTAAATAGCCTGTGGGCCTTGAATAAACATCAGTAGTAGCCAGGCAGCAGTCATCACGGGCCTTGGGCAAGACCCAGTACCATGCTGGCTTTAGGTGTGACCCAGCACATTCCCAGCTCTAGTGGCCATGGGGAGAGAGTTCTTCTGCTTGAGGAAAGGAGAGGGAAGAGTAAAATGGACTTTGCCTTGCAACTTGGGTACCAACTGAGCCACAGTAAAATAAAATACCAAACAGACCCCTAAAGACCCTGATTCCAGGCCTCAGCTCCTGAAGGATATTTCTAGACCTGCCCTGGGCCAGAAGGGAGCCCACTACCCAAAAGAAAGATCCAGTCCTGGCACTATTCTTCACCTGCTGACTAAAGAGCCCTTGAGCCTTGAATAAACATCAATGATAGGCAGGAAATAGCCGCCACCCAGGCCTAGGACAAGACCCCGTCCTGTGCTGGCTTCAGGTGTGACCCAGTACAGTCCCAGCAGTGGTAGCCACGGGAGTACTTGCATCACCTCTCTCCCAAATCCATGCAACATAGCACACAGAGAGAGACTCTATTTATTTGGGAAAATGGAAGAGAACAAGAGACTACCTGGTAATCCATGGAATTCTCTCAGGTCTTACCCAACACTGTCCAGGTGGCACCTCTACAAGTCTGCAAAAATCACAGAATTACTGGGTTTAGAGTGCCCTCTAATGCACATATGGCTGCAATGACCAAACACTTAGATTATAACACTCAATCATCTTTGAATACTTGGAAAGCCTTCTCAAGAAGAATGGGTGCAAACATGCCCAGACTGCAAAAATTAGAAGAAATACTTAACTCTTCAATGCCCAGACATTGATGAATACCCACAGACATGAAGACCTTTCAGGAAAACAGGACTTCACCAAACAAGCTAAATAAGGCACCAGTGACCAATTCCAGAGTGACACAGATATGGGACCTTTCAGACAGAGAATTCAAAATAGCTGTTTGGAGGAAGCTCAACACAATTCAAGATAACATAGAGAAGAAATTCAAAATCCTATCAGATAAATTTAACAAAGAGATGCAAGTAACTAAACAAAATTAAGCAGAAATTCTGGAGCTGAAAAATTCAATTGACAACTTGAAGAATACATCAGAGTTTCTCAACAGCAGAACTGATCAAGCAGAAGAAACAATTAGCGAGCTTGAAGACAGTCTATTTAAAAACACAAAGTCAGAGGAATAAAAAAAAAACAGAATACAAAATAATAAAGTATGACTATAGGATCTAGAAAGTAGCCACAAAAGAGCAAATCTAAGAGTATTGGCCTTAAAGAGGCGGTAGAGAGAGAGAGAGTGGAATAGAAAGATTATTTGAAGAGATAATAATGAGAACTTTTTAAACCTAGAGAAAAATGTCAATATTCAAATGCAAGAAGGTTATAGAATACCAAACAAATTTAACCCCCAGAAGACTATGTCAAGACATGTAATATTCAAACTGCCAAAGGTCAAGAATATATTGTGGGCTTTTTTTGTTTGTTTTTGTAGAGATGTGGTTTCGCTGTGTTGCCCAGGCTGGTCTCAAACTCCTGGGCTCAAGGAATCCACCTGACTTGGCCTCCCAAAATGTTGGCATTACAGGCATGAGCCATTGTGCCTGGCCCCAAAGGTCAAGGATAAAGAAAGCATCCTAAAAGCAGCAAGAGAAAAGTAAAAATGAACAAACATACAAACACAAAAGGAGTTTCAATATGTCTGGCAGTAGATTTCTCAGTGGAAACCTTATAGGCCAGGAGAGAGGGGCATGATATATTTAAACTGCTAAAGGAAAAAATCTTTTATCCTAGAATAGTATATTCAGTAAAAATATCCTTGAAACATGAAGGAGAAATACTTTCCCAGACACACAAAGGCTGAGGGATTTTATCAATACCAGACCAGTCCTATAAGAAATGCTAAAGTATCCAAAACTCAGGCAATAACAAGTGCTGGCAAGAATATGGAGAAAAGGGAACCCTTGTACACTGTTGGTGAAAAGGTAAATTAGTACAACTACTGTGGAGACCAGTTTTGAGGTCCCTCAAGAAACTAAAAATAGAATTACCTTGCAATCCAGCAATCTCACTCCTAGGTATATAACCAAAAGACAGGAAATCAGTATATCAAACATGTATCTGTACTCTCATGTTTATTGCAGCACTATTCACAATAGTCAAGATTTGGAAGCAATGTGTCCATCAACAGATGAATAGATAAAGAAAATGTGGCACATATATACAGTAGAGTACTATTCAGCCATAAAAAAGAATGAGATCCTGTCATTTGCAACAACATGGATGGAACTGGAGGTCATAATATGAAGTGAAATAAGCCAGGCACAGAGAGACAAACATTTCATGTTCTCAATAATCTGGGGACCTAAAATTTGAAACAATTGAACTCATGGAGATAGAGAGTAAATGGATGGTTACCAGAGGCTGGGAAGGGTAGTGGTGGGTGGTGAGGGAAAGTGGGGAGAGTTAATGGGCACAAAAAAAATAGAAAGAATGAATAAGACTTAGTATTTGCTAGCACAAGAGGAGGGCTATAGTGAAAAATAATTTAGTGGTACATTTAAAAATAACTAAAAGAGTATAACTGGATTGTTTGTAACACAAAGAATGGATAAATGCTTGAGGTGATGGATACCTCATTTACTCTGATGTGATTATTACATATTGTATTCCTGTATCAAAACATCTCACATACCCCATACATGGATATACCTATCAGGTGCCCACAAAAATTAAAAATTAAAGTAAAAAAAAAAAAAAAAAGAAATGCTACAGGGAGTTCTTCAATCTGAAAGAAAAGGACATTGATGAGCAATACGCAATCATCTGAGGGTACAACACTCTCTGATAGCAGTAAGTACACAGACAAATACAGAATATTATGCCACTATAATTGTAGTGTGTAAACTACTCACATCTTGAGTCAGAGAATAAAAGATGAACCTATCAAAAGTTTTGAACAAGTTTTGAAGACGTAGAAAGTATAATAATATATAAATAGAAAAAACAAAAAGTTAAAAAGCAGGAGAGATGAAGTTAAAATGTAGAATTTTATGAGTTTTATCATTGCATGTTTGTTTGTTTTTGCAATCAGACTTAAGTTGTCATCACTTTCAAATAATGGGTTATCAGTGGAACAGAATAGAGAACCCCCAAATAAGGCGACACACCTACAACTATCTGATCTTTGACAAGCCCGACAGAAATAAGCAATGGGGAAAGAACTCCCTATTCAATAAATAGTGCTGGGACAACTGGCTAGCCATATCTAGAAGACTGAAACTAGACCCCTTCCTTACAACCTAAACAAAAATTATAATAGCTCAAGATTAATTAAAGACTTCAGTGTAACACCAAAAACTATAAAAACCCTAGAATAAAACCTAGGCAATACCATTCTGGACATAGGAATGGGCAAAGATTTTTTTTTTTTTTTTAGAGCCACAAGTAGTTCTGATTTTATTTAATTTCAAAAATTTTACTTATACAGAATAGTTGTACATATTTTCAGAGTACATGTGATAATTAAATAATTCATATAATTTGTAAAGATCAAAACAGTACATTGGGATATCCATCACCTTAAATATTTGTCTTTTTTATCTTAGAAACATTTGAATTATTCTTTTTTAGCTATTTTGAAATATACAATAGGTCATTGTAAACTATAGTCACTCTACTGATCTTTCAAACACTAGGTCTTGTTTCTTCTTTCAAATTGTACATTTGTACCCATTAATCAACCTCTTTTTATCCTCCCTCCCTTCTATCCTTCCTGGCTTCTGGTAACCACAATTCTACCCTCTATCTTTATGAGATCCATGTTTATTAGCTCCCGCATATGAATGAGAACATGCAATATTTGTCTTTTTGTGTTTGGCTTATTTCACTTAACATAATGACCTCCAATTCCATCCATGTTGCTGCAAATGACAGGATTTCATTCTTTTTATGGCTGAATAATATTTCATTGTGTATCTATACCACATTTTCTTATCCATTCATCCTTTGATGGGCACTTAGGTTGATTCCATATTTTGGCTATCGTAAATACTGCTGCAGTAAACATGGGAGTGTAAATATCTCTTCAATATATTGATTTCTTTTCTTTTGGATGTGTACCCAGTAGTGGAATTGCTGGATCATATGGTAGCTCTAGTTTTATTTTTTTTGAAGGACCTCCATATAGTTTTTCATAGTGACTGTACTAATTTACATTCACCAACAGTATATGAGGGTATCCCTTTCTCCACATCCTCACCAGCATCTGTTGTTGTCTCTCTTTTTGATAAAGCCATTTTAGCTGGGGTAAGATATATCTCGTGTGGTTTTGGTTTGAATTTCCATAAGGATTTGTGATGTTGGGCATTTTTTTCACATGCCCGTTGGCCATTTATATAGCTCCTTTTGAGAAACATTTATTTAGGTTTTTTGCCTGATTTTAAATCAGATTATTATCGTTATTTTACTATTGAGGTTTTTCAGTTCTTTATATTTTGTTTTTTAATCATTTGCCAGATGAATAGTTTGCAAATATTTTCTTTCATTCTGTGGGTTATCTTTTCACTAGTTGATTGTTTCCTTTGCAGTGCAAAAGTTTTTTAGTTTGATGTAGTCCCATTTGTCTATTTTTGCTTTGGTTGCCTGTGATTTTGAGGTTTACAAAATAATCTTTGCCTAAACTGGGCAAATGTCCTAAAGCATTTCCCCAACGTTTTCTTCTAGTAGTTTCATAGTCTTAGGTCTTAGGTTTAAGTCTTTCATCCACTTAAAAAATTTTTATTTTTAATTTTTGTGGGTACATAGTAGGTGTATATATTTATGAGGTACATGAGATATTTTGATTCAGGCATACAATGCATAATAATCACATCAGGGTTAATGGAGTATCCATCACCTCAAGCATTTATCCTTTCTATGCATTACAAACAAACTAGTTATACTCTTTTAGTTATTTTTAAATGTATACATTATTCTTGACAATAATCACCCAGTTGTGCTATAAAATACTAGATCTTATTGATTTTATCTAACTATATTTTTGTACACATGAACCATCCCCCCACCTGACCCCCACTATCCTTCCCAGACTCTGGTAATCATCGTTTTACTCTCTATTACCGTGAGTTCAATTGTTTTAATTTTTAGCTACCACAAATAAGTGAGAACATATGAAGTTTGTCTTTCTGTGCCTAGCTTATTTCACTTAACATAATGACCTCTGGTTCCATCCATGTTGTTGCAAATGACAGGATCTCATGCTTTTTATGGCTGAATAGTACTCCATTGTGTCTATGTATCACATTTTCTTCATCCATCTATCTGTTGATGTACACTTAGGTTGCTTCCAAATCTTGGCTATTGTGAATAGTGCTGTGATAAACATGGGAGTGATACCTGAATAGACATTTATCAAAAGAGGACATACAAATGGCAAACAGGTATGTGAAAAGGTGCTCAACATCACTGATCATCAGATAAATGCAAATCAATACTACAAGGAGATTATTTCACCCTAGTTAAAATGGCTTTTATCCAGAAGTGAGGCAATAAAAAATACTGGCAAAGGTATGGAGAAAAGGGAACTGTTATATACTGTTGGTAAGAATATAAATTAGTACAATCACTATCAAGAACAGTTTAGAGTCCCCTCAAAAAACTAATAATAGAGCTATCATATGATCCAGCAATCTCACTGCTAGGTATATATTCAACAGAAAAGAAATCAGTATATCAAAGGAATGGGCAAAGATTTCATGACAAAAACACCAAAAGCAATTGCAACAAAAACAAAAATGGACAAATGAGACCTCATTAAACTAAAGAGCTTCTACACAGCAAAAGAAACTATCGAGGGACTAAACAGACAACCTACAGAACAGGAGAAACTTTTTGCAAACTATGCATCTGACAAAGGTCTAATATCCAGCATTTATAAGGAACTTAAATTTACAAGGAAAAAACAAACAAACAACCCTATTAAAAAGTGGGCAAAGGACACGCAGCCAACAAGCATATGAAAACAAGTTCAACATCACTGATCGTTAGAGAAATGCAAATCAAAACCCCAATGAGATACTATCTCACACCAGTCAGAATGGCTTTTATTAAAAAGTCAAAAAATAGCAGATGCTGGCAAGGTTGTGGAGAAAAAGGAATATTTAGACATTGTTGGTGGGAGTATAAATTAGTTCAACCATTCTGGAAAACAGCGTATCAATTCCTCAAAGACCTAGAAACAGAAATACAATTTGACCCAGCAATCCCATTACTGGGTATATACTCAAAGGAATAGAAACCATTCTATCATAAAAACACATGCATGCGTATGTTCACTGAAGGACTATTCACAATAGCAAAGATATGGAATTAACCTAAATGCCCATCAAAGGTAGACTGGATAAAGAAAATATGGTACATATATACCATGGAATACTATACAGCCATAAAAAGAATGAGATCATGTCCTTTGAGGGAACATGGATGAAGATGGAGGCCATTATCTTTAGCAAACTAACATAGGAACAGAAAACCACATACCACATGTTCTCACTTATAAGTGGGAGCTAAATGATGAGAAAACATGGACACATAGAGGGGAACAACACACACTGAGGCCTATGAGAGGGTGGAAGATGAGAGGAGAGAGAGGATCAGAAAAAATAACTAATGGGTACTATGCTTAATTCCTGAGTGATAAAATAATCTATACAACAATGTCCTATGACACAAGTTTACCTCTATAACAAACCTGCACATGTTTGTTGAACTTAAAATAAAAGTTTAACTTGGTAGGTAATTGAACCCCTGAACTTGAAATAAAAGTTAAATTAAAAAATAAAATAAAATAATGAGTTATAAGATGTTATTCTCAAGCTTCATGGTAACTTCAAATAAACACCAACCACAGATACACAAAAATATATAAAGCAAGAAATTAAAACATACCGTCAGAGAGAATCACTTTCATACAAGGGAAGACAAAGGAAAGAAGAACGGGAAGGAAGGAAGGAAAGAAGGAAGGAAGGAAGGCAGGCAGGCAGGCCAGCCAGCCACACAACAACAAGAAAACAAAACAAAATGGCAGTAGTAAATCCTTACTTATAAATCATAAGATTGAATGTAAACAGACTAAACTCTGCAATCAAAAGACACACAGTGGCTGAATGGATTTAAAAAAGACTCAATGATCTATTACCCATGAGAAACACACTACACCTATAAAGTAATGGAGAAAGATATTCCATGAAAATGGAAACCACAAAAAAAAAGCAGTAGTAGCTATACTTATATCAACCAAAATAGATTTCAAGACAAAAACTATGAAAAGAGACAAAGAAGGTCATTATAATGATAAAAGGATAAATTCAGCAAGAGAAAATAACAATTGTAGATATCTATGAACCCAACACTGGAGCACCCAGATATACAAAGCAAATATTATTAGAGCTAAGGAGAGAGATAGACCACAATACAATAAGAGTTTGAGATTTCAGTACCCCACTTTCAGCATTGGTCAGATCATCCAGACAGAAAATCAATGAAGAAACATCAGACTTAATCTGCACTATAGGTCAAATGGATCTAATAGATATTTACAGAATATTTTATCCAATGTCTGCAGAATACACATTCTTCTCCTCAGCATATGGATCATTCTCAAGGATGGACCATATATTAGGTGACAAAACAAGTCTTAAAACATTCAAAAAATGAAACAATATCAAGCATCTTCTCTGACCACATGGAACAACACTAGAAATTAATAAAGAAATGAATATTGGAAACATACGAATACATGGAAATTAAACAATATGCTCCAGAATGACCACTGGGTCAATGAAGAAATTAAGAAGGAAACTGAAAAATTTGAAATAAATGACAATGGAAACGCAACATACCAAAACCTATGGGATGCAGTGAGAGCAGTACTAAGAAGAAGGTTTATAGCAATAAGCACCTATATCAAAAAGTAGAAAAACTTCAAATAAACCACCTAATTATACATCTTATAGAATTAGAAAAGCAAGAGCAAACCAAAACCAAAATTAGTAGAAGAAAAGAAATAATACAGATCAGAGCAGAAATAAAGGAAATTGAAATTTAAAAAACCAATATGATCCGTTCCAAGATGGCAGAATAGGAAAAGCTCCGGTCTGCAGCTCCCAGCGTGATCAACACAGAAGACAGGTGATTTCTGCATTTCCAACTGAGGTTCCTGGTTCATCTCATTGGGACTGGTTGGACAGTGGGTGCAGCCCACAGAGGGTGAGCTGAAGTGGGGCAGGGTGTTGCCTCACCCGGGAAGCACAAGGGGTTGAGGGATTTCCCTTTCCTAGCCAAGGGAAGCCATGATAGCCTGCACCTGGAAAAACGGGACACTCTCGCCCAAATACTGCACATTTCCCATGGTCTTAGCAATCAGCACACCAGGAGATTCTCTCCCGTGCCTGGCTCGGAGGGTACCATGCCCACATAGCCTTGCTTGCTGCTAGCGCAGCAGTCTGAGATCGACCTGCGAGGCAGCAGCCTGGTGGGGGGAGGGGCGTCTGCCATTGCTGAGGCTTGAGTAGGTAAACAAAATGGCTGGGAAGCTGGAACTGGGCAGAGCACACTGCAGCACAGCAAGGCCTACTGGCTCTATAGACTCCACCTCTGTGGGCAGGGCATAGCTGAAAAAAAGGCAGCAGAAACTTCTGCAGAATTAAATGTCCCTGTCTGACAGCTCTGAAGAGAGCAGTGGTTCTCTCAGCACGGCGTTTGAGCTCTCAGAATGGACAGACTGCCTCCTCAAGTGGGTCCTTGACCCCTCATGTAGCCTAATTGGGAGACACCTCCCAGTAGGAGCCAACAGACACCTCATACAGGTGGGTGCCCCTCTGGAACAAAGCTTCCAGAGAAAGGATCAGGCAGCAATATTTGCTGTTCTGCAATATTTGCTATTCTGCAGCCTCTGCTGGTGATACCCAGGTGAACAGGGTCTGGAGTGGACCTCCAGCAAACTCCAACAGACCTACAGCTGAGGGACCTGACTGTTAGAAGGAAAACTAACAAACAGAAAGGAATAGCATCAACATCAACAGAAAGGACATCCACACCAAAACCCCATCTGTAGGTCACCAACATCAAAGACCAAAGGTAGATAAAACCATAAAGATGGGGAGAAACCAGAGCAGAATAGCTGAAAATTCTAAAAACAAGAGTGCCTCTTCTCTTCCAAAGGATCACAGCTCCTCGCCAGCAAAGCTGGACGGAAAATGACTTTGACAAGTTGACAGAAGCAGGCTTCAGAAGGTCGGTAATAACAAACTTCTCCAAGCTAAAAGAGCATGTTCTACCCATCACAAGGAAGCTAAAAACCTTGAAAAAAGGTTAGACGAATGGCTAACTAGAATAAACAGTGTAGAGAAGACCTTAAATGACCTGATGGAGCTGAAAACCATGGCACGGGAACTACGTGACACACGCACAACCTTCAATAGCCGATTCGATTAAATGGAAGAAAGGATATCAGTGAATGAAGATCAAATTAATGAAATAAAGCGAGAAGACGAGTTTAGAGAAAAAAGAGGAAAAAGAAACAAACAAAGCCTCCAAGAAATATAGGACTATGTGAAAAGACCAAATCTACATTTGATTGGTGTACCTGAAAGTGACAGGGAGAATGGAATCAAGTTGGAAAACACTATTCAGAATATTATCCAGGAGAACTTCCCCAACCTAGCAAGACAGGCCAACATTCAAATTCAGGAAATGCAGAGAACACCACAAAGATACTCCTCAAGAAGGGCAACCCCAAGACACATAATTGTCAGATTCACCAAGGTTTAAATGTAGGAAAAAATGTAAAGGGCAGCCAGAGAGAAAGGTTGGGTTACCCACAAAGGGAAGCCCATCAGACTAACAGCGGACGTCTCGGCAGAAACCTTACAAGCCAGAAGAGAGTAGGGGCCAATATTCAACATTCTTAAAGAAAAGAATTTTCAACCCAGAATTTCATATCCAGCCAAAGTAAGCAACATAAGTGAAGGTGAAATAAAATCCTTTATGGACAAGCAAATGCTGAGAGATTTTGTCATCACCAGGCCTGCCTTACAAGAGCTCCTGAAGGAAACACTAAACATGGAAAGGAACAACTGGTACCAGCCACTGCAAAAACATGCCAAATTGTAAAGACCATTGATGCTATGAAGAAACTGCATCAATTAACAGGCAAAATAACCAGGTAACATCATAATCACAGGATCAAATTCACACATGACAATATTAACCTTTAATGTAAATGGGCTAAAAGCCCCAATTAAAAGACACAGACTGGCAAATTGGATGAACAATCAAGACCCATCAGTGTGCTGTATTCAGGAGATCCATCTCATGTGTAGAGACACACATAGACTCAAAATAAAGGGATGGAGGAAGATCTACCAAGCAACTGGAAAGCTAAAAAAAAAAGAAAAAAAAGCAGGGTTTGCAATCCTAGTCTCTGATAAAACAGACTTTAAACCAACAAAGATCAAAAGAGACAAAGAAGGCCATTGCATAATGGTAAAGGGGTCACTTCAACAAGAAGAGCTAACTATCCTAAATATATATGCACCCAATACAGGAGCACCCAGATTTATAAAACAAGTCCTTAGAGACCTACAAAGAGATTTAGACTCCCACACAATAATAATGGGAGACTTTAACACCCCACCGTCAATATTAGACAGATCAATGAGACGAAAGGTGAACAAGGATATCCAGGACTTGAACTCAGCTCTGCACCAAGCAGACCTAATAAACATCTACAGAACTCTCCACCCCAAATCAACAGAATATACATTCTTCTCAGCACCACATCACACTTATTCTAAAATTGACCACATAAATGGAAGTAAAACACTCCTCAGCAAACGTAAAAGAACAGAAATCACAACAAACTGTCTCTCAGACCACAGTGCAATCAAACTAGAACTCAGGATTAAGAAACTCACTCAAAACTGCACAACTACATGGAAACTGAACAATCTGCTCCTGAATGACTACTGGTTAAATAACGAAATGAAGGCAGAAATAAAGATGTTCTTTGAAACCAATGAGAACAAAGACACAACATACCAGAATCTCTGGGACACATTTAAAGCAGTGTGTAGAGGGAAATTTATAGCACTAAATACCCACAAGAGAAAGCAGGAAAGATCTAAAATTGACACCCTAACATTCACAATTAAAAGAACTAGAGAAGCAAGAGCAACCACATTCAAAAGGTAGCAGAAGGCAAGAAATAACTAAGATCAGAGCAGAACTGAAGGAAATAGAGACACAAAAAACCCTTCCAAAAAATCAATGAATCCAGGAGCTGGTTTTTTGAAAAGATCAACAAAATTGATAGACCACCAGCAAGACTAATAAAGAAGAAAAGAGAGAAGAATCAAATAGATGCAATAAAAAATGATAAAGGGGATATCACCACCAATCCCACAGAAATACAAACTACTATCAGAGAATACTATAAACACCTCTATGCAAATAAACTAGAAAATCTAGAAGAAATGGATAAATTCCTGGACACATACATCCTCCCAAGACTAAACTAGGAAGAAGTTGAATCTCTTAATAGACCAATCACAGGCTTTGAAATTGAGGCAATAATTAATAGCCTACCAACCAAAAAAAGTCCAGGACCAGACGGATTCACAGCCGAATTCTACCAGAGGTACAAGGGGGAGCTGGTACCATTCCTTCTGAAACTATTCCAATCAATAGAAAAAGAGATAATCCTCCCTAACTCATTGTATGAGGTCAGCATCTTCCTGATACCAAAGCCTGGCAGAGACATAACAAAAAAAGAGAATTTTAGACCAATATCCCTGATGAACATTGATGAAAAAATCCTCAATAAAATACTGGCAAACTGAATCCAGCAGCACATCAAAAAGCTTATCCACCACGATCAAGTCGGCTTCATCCCCGGGATGAAAGGCTGGTTGAACATACGCAAATCAATAAACATAATCCATCACATAAACAGAACCAATGACAAAAACCAGATGACTATCTCAATAGATGCAGGAAAGGCCTTCGACAAAATTCAACTGCACTTCATACTAAAACTCTCAATAAACTAGATATTGATGGAAAGTATCTCAAAATAATAAGAGCTATTTATGACAAACCCACCGCCAATATCATATGGAATGGGCAAAAGCTGGAAGCATTCCCTTTGAAAACCGGCACAAGACAAGGATGCCCTCTCTCACCACTCCTACTCAACATAGTGTTAGAAGTTCTGGCCAGGGCAATCAGGCAAGAGAAAGAAATAAAGGGTATTCAATTAGGAAAAGAGGAAGTCAAATTGTCCCTGTTTGCAGATGACATAATTGTGTATTTAGAATACCCCATCGTCTCAGCCCAAAATCTCTTTAAGCTGATAGGCAACTTCAGCAAAGTCTCAGGATACAAAATCAATGTGCAAAAATCACAAGCATTCCTAAACACTATTAACAAACAAACAGAGAGCCCAATCATGAGTGAACTCCCATTCACAATTGCTACAAAGAGAATAAAATACCTAGGAATCCAACTTACAAGGGATGTGAAGGATCTCTTCAAGGAGAACTACAAACCACTGCTCAATGAAATAAAAGAGGACACAAACAAATGGAAGAAAATTCCATGCTCATGGATAGGAAGAATCAATATTGTGAAAATGGCCATACTGCCCAAGGTAATTTATAGATTCAATGCCATCCCCATCAAGCTACCAATGACTTTCTTCACAGAATTGGAAAAACTATGTTAAAGTTCATATGGAACCAAAAAAGAGCCCACATAGCCAAGACAATCTAAGCAAAAAGAACAAAGCTGGAGGCATCACGCTACCTCACTTCAAACTACACGACAAGGCTACAGTAACCAAAACAGCATGGTACTGGTACCAAAACAGAGATATAGACAAATGGAACAGAACAGAGCTCTCAGATATAACACCACACATCTACAACCATCTGATCTTTGACAAACCTGTCAAAAACAAGAAATGGGGAAATGATTCCCTATTTAATAAATGGTGCTGGGAAAACTGGCTAGCCATATGTAGACAGCTGAAACTGGATCCCTTCCTTACACCTTATACAAAAATTAATTCAAGATGGATTAAAGACTTAAATGTTAGACCTAAAAACCATAAAAACCCTAGAAGAAAACCTAGGCAACACCATTCAGGACATAGGCATGTGAAAGGACTTCATGACTAATACACCAAAAGCAATGGCAACAAAAGCCAAAATTGACAAATGGGATCTAATTAAACTAAAGAGCTTCTGCACATCAAAAGAAAGTACCATCAGAGTGAACAGGCAACCTACAGAATGGGAGAAAATTTTTGCAATCTACTCATCTGACAAAGGGCTAATATCCAGAATCTACAAAGAACTTGAATAAATTTACAAGAAAAAAACAACCCCATCAAAAAGTGGGCAAAGGATATGAACAGACACTTCTCAAAAGAAGACATTTATGCAGCCAAGAGACAGATGAAAAAATGCTCATCATCACTGGTCATCAGAGAAATACAAATCAAAACCACAATGAGATACCATCTCACACCAGTTAGAATGGTGATCATTAAAAAGTCAGGAAACAACAGGTGCTGGAGAGGATGTGGAGAAATAGGAACACTTTTACACTGTTGGTGGGACTGTAAACTAGTTCAACGATTGTGGAAGACAGTGTGGCAATTCCTCAAGAATCTAGGACAAGAAATACCATTTGTCCCAGCCATCCCATTACTGGGTGTATACCTAAAGGATTATAAATCTTGCTGCTATAAAGACACATGCACACATATGTTTATTGTGGCACTATTCACAATAGCAAAGACTTGGAACCAACCCAGATGTCCACCAGTGATAGACTGGATTAAGAAAATGTGGCACATATACACCATGGAATACTATGCAACCATAAAAAAGGATGAATTCATGTCCTTTATAGGGACATGGTTGAAGCTGGAAACCATCATTCTGAGCAAACTATCACAAGGACAGAAAACCAGACACCGCATGTTCTCATTCATAGGTGGGAATTGAACAATGAGAACACTTGGACACAGGGTGGGGAATATCACACTTCGGGGCCTGTTGTGGGGTGGGGGGAGGGAGGAGGGATAGCTTTAGGAGATATGCCTAATGTAAATGACGAGTTAACAGGTGCAGCACACCAACATGGCACATGTATACATATGTAACAAACCTACACGTTGTGCACATGTACCCTAGAACTTAAAGTATAAAAAAAAATAAAAAAATAAAAAAATGAAAGATCAATGAAATGAAAAGTCATTTTTTTGAAAAGATAAGCAAAATTGACCAACCTTTGACTAGACTAAGAAAAAAAGAGAGAAGGCCCAAATGAATAAAATCAGAGATGAAAATGGAGACGTTAGGCTGATACCTCAGAAATTCACAGTATCATTAGAGACTACTATGAGCAACTATATGCCAATAATTTGGAAAACCTAGAAGAAATGGATAAATTCCTAGACACATACAATCTACCAAGATGGAAACATAATGAAATCCAAAACCTGAATAGACCAACAGCAAGTAATGAGATCAAAGCCCTAATAAAGGTCCTCCAGCAAAAAACAACTGACACTTGATGGTTTCATTGCTGGATTCTACCAGTTTTGTTTACAACTTTTATTTCAGAATCAGGGGATACATGTGCAGGTTTGCTACATAGGTATATTGTGTGGTGCTGAGGTTTGGAATATGAATGAATCCATCCCCCACGTGGTAAGCATAGTACCCAACATGTAGGTTTTTCTCAACCCTTATCCACCTCCCTTCCTCCCCTTCTTGCATTCTCCGGTATCTATTGTTCTCATGTTTATGACCTTGTGTACCTAATATTCAGCTCCCACTTATAACTGAAAACGTGTTATTTGGTTTTATTTCTATGTTAGTTCGCTTAGGGTAATGGTTTCCAGCTATACACATATTGCTGCAGAGGATATCATTTCATTCTTTTTAATGGCTGTGTAGCATACCACATTTTATTTATGCAGTCCACTGTTGACAGGCAGCTGGGTTGATTCCATGTTTTTGCAACTGTGAATACTGCTGCAATGAACATACAGATGCATATGTCTTTTTGGTAGAACAATTTATTTTCCTTTGGGTATATACCCAGTAGTTGTATTGCTGAGTCAAATGGTAGTTCAACTCTGAGTTCTTTGAGAAGTCTTTAAACTCCTTTCCACAGTGGCTGAACTAATTTGCATTCCCAACAGCAGTGTATAAGTGTTCCCTTTTCTCCACAGCCTCACTAGCATCTGTTGTTTTTTGGCTTATTTATAATAGCCATTATGACTGGTGTGAAATAGTATGTCTTGTTGTGGTTTTGATTTGCATTTCTCTGATGATTGGTGATGACAAGCATTTTTTCATGTTTCTTGGCCACTTGTACGTCTTCTTTTGAGAAGTGTGTCTGTTCATGTCCTATGACCACTTTTTTTTTTTTTTTTTGAGACAGAGTCTCGCTTTGTCACCCAGGCTGGACTACAGTGGCTCCATCTTGGCTCACTGCAACCTCTGCCTCCTGGGTTCAAGTGATTCTCCTGCCTCAGCCTCCTGAGTAGCTGGGACTACAGGCGCTCGCCACCACATCCAGCTAATTTTTGTATTTTTAGTAGAGACAGGGTTTTGCCAAGTTGGCCAGGCTAGTCTCGAACTTCTGACCTCAGGTGATCCGCCCATCTCGGCCTCCCAAAGTGCTGGGATTACAAGTGTGAGCCACCGCACCCAGCCCTTTGTCTACTTTTTAATGGGGTTGTTTGCTTTTGCTTTTTTGTTTGTTGATTTAAGTTCCTTATAAATGTTGTATATTAGACATTTATTAGATGCATAGTTTGTGAATATTTTCTCTTATTTTATAGGTGGTCTGTTACTTGGTAGTTTCTTTTGCTGTGCAGAAGCTCTTTAGTTTAATTAGGTTTCATTTGTCAATTTTTGTTTTGTTGCAATTGCTTTTGAGGACTTAGCCATAAATTCTTTTCCAAGGCTGATATTAGGAAGGGAGTTTTCTAGGTTTTCTTTTAGGATTTTTGTAGTTTGAGGTCTTACATTAATTCAAGATGGAGTAAAGACTTAATCCATCTTGAGTTAATATTTATATATGGTGATAGGTAGGGGTCAAGTTTCATAGGACCATTTATTGCATAGGGAATCTTTTCCCAATTTCTTATGTCTGTTGGCTTTGTCGAAGATCAGGAGGTTGTAGGTGTGCAGCTTTATTGCTGGTTTCTCTATTTTTTTTTCTATTTTCTTCCGTTGGTCTACATGTCTGTTTCTGTACCAGTACCATGCTGTTTCTGTTACTCTGTAGCCTTGTAGTATAGTTTAAAGTTAGGAGAAGTGATGCCTCTGGCTTTGTTGTTTTTTTTTGCTTAGGATTGCTTTGGCTATTTGGGTTGTTTTATGTTCCACAGGAATTTTAGAATAATTTGTTCTTATTCTTAGAAAAATGACATTGGTAGTTTGATAGGAATAGCATTGAATCTGTAAATTGCTTTAGCAGTATGGCCATTTTAATGATGTTGATTCTTCCAATCCATGAGCGTGAGATGTTTTTCCATTTATTTGTGTTATGTCTGATTTCTTTAGGCAATGTTTTATAATTCTCCTTTTGGATCTCTTTCACCTCCTTGGTTAGCTACATTCTTAGGTATGTTATTCTTTCTGTGGCTATTATAAATGGGATTGCCTTCTTGATTGTCTCTCAGCTTGGACATTATTGATTTATAGAAATGCTAATGATTTTTCTATACTGAAGTCATTTATCAGCTCTAGGAGCCTTGTGGCAGAGTCTTTAGGGTTTTCTAGGTATATCATATACCTAGATTGATGAATCATTGACGATCATTGATAAATCATATCATCAATGAAGAGAGATAGCTTGACTTCTTCATTTCCTATTTGTATGTTTTTTATTTCCTTCTCTTGCCTGGTTGCCCTGGCTAGGACTTCCAGTACTATGTTGAATAGGAGTGGTGAGTATGAGCATTCTTGTCTTGTTCCAGTTCTCAAGGGGAAAGCTTCCAGTTTTTGCCCATTCAGTATGATGTTGGCTGTGGGTTTCTCATAGATGGGTCTTATTATTTTGATATATGTTCCTTCAGTGCCTCATTTGTTGAGGGTTTTTACCATGAAGGGATGTTAAATTCTATCAAAAGTTTTTTTCTGATCTATTGAGATGATCATATGGTTTTCATTTTTAGTTATGTTTATGTGGTGAATCACATTTATTGGTTTGCATATGTTGAATCAACCTTGCATCCCAGGAATAATGCCTGCTTGATCATGGTGAATTACCTTTTTGATGTGCTCCTGGATTTGGTTTGCTAGTATTTAGTTGAGGATTTTTGCATCTGTGTTCATCAGTGATATTGCTCTGAAGTTTTCTTTTTTTTCATTGTGTCTCTGCCAGCTTTTTCCACCAAACATTAAAGGAGAACTAATACCAATCCTACTCAAACTATTCCAAAAATTAAAGTAAGAGGGAATACTTTCATACTCATTCTATGAGGCCAGTATTACCCTGATACCAAAACCAAACAAATATCAAAAAAAGAAAACTACAGGCCAATATATCTGATGAACATTAATGCAAAAACCTTTGACAAAATACTAGCAAACTGTATTTGTTAACTTACTAAAAAATATATTCATTATGACCAAGCAGGGTTCACCCCAGGGATGCAAGGATGATAAAACTTATGCAAATCAATCAATATGATATATCATATCAACAGAGTGAAGGACAAAATCCATATGATCATTTCAATTGATGCTGAAAAAGCATTCAATAAATTCAACATCTCTCCATAGTAAAACCCTTAAAAACCTGGGCATAGAAGGAAGAAACATACCTCAACACAATAAAAGTTATTCTTTGAACTTTACAAGTTGATTCTGAATTTCTTCTTAATGTAATTATAAATAAGATATATTTGAAAAAGAAGAATAATAAGAGAGGACATATGTACTAAAGTCTCATTAATGAAAACAATGTGGAACCAGCACAGAAAGAGTTTAGTCAATCAGTGGAACAGAATAAGCATTTTAGAAACAAACGCATAAGTCTGTCTATGAATGTACTATTTAATAAGGTTGGTATTTCAAGTCAGTGGGATAAGTAAGTATTATTCAACAAATAGAATGCAGGGACTATTAACTATCTATATAGAGGAAAACATATACAGATACCTAGTTCATTCATTATATTAAAAAAATCAGGTTACTTAAAGATCTAAATGTAAAACTATGGAGTTTAAGGAGAAGATACAAAAGAATTATTTCCCTGAGGTAAAATGCCTGAACTCAAAAGCTATAAAGTAAAATATTGACAATATGACTACATAAAAGATGTAAAGCTATATGGTAACCATCTGACAAGGGATTAATTACCAGAAATTCTAAGGAGCTCAAACCACTCATTAAGGAAAAAATAATCCAATTTGAAAATGGGCAAGAGATCTGAATAGACAGTTCTCAAAAGATGACATACAAATGGCAAACAAGTATGTGAAAAGGTGCTCAACATAACTGATCATAATAGAAATGCAAATGAAAACTACAATGAGATATCATTTCACCCCAGCTAAAATGGTTTTTATCTAAAAGACCTGCAATAACGAATGCTAGCGAAAATGTGGAGAAAGGAGACCCTTTGTAAACTGTTGGTGGGAATGTAAATTAGTACAGCTACCATAGAGTATCCTCCATGTACATAGGATCCTCCAGTATTGAGGGTCCTCAAAACACTAGAAATAGAACTACCACATGATTCAGCAATGCCACTGCCAGATATATACCCATAAGAAAAGAAATCAGTATATCAAACATTTATCTGCACTCCCATGTTTATTGCAGCACTATCCACAATAGCCAAAATTTGGAATCAACCTAAATGTACATCAGTAGACAAATGGATAAAAAATGTGGTGCATATGCACAATGGAGCACTATTCAGCCATAAAAAGAACAAGATTATGTCATTCGTAACAACATGGATGAAAATGAAGGACATAATGTTAAGTGAAATAAGCCAGACACAGAAAGACAAATTTCACATGTTCTTACTCATTTGTGGGATCTAAAAATTAAAAAAATTGAACTCATGGAGACAGTAGAATGATGGATCACAGAGGATTGGAAGGGTAGTGGGATAAGGGTGATGGGGATGGTTAATGGGTACAAAATATAGTAAGATACAGTGAATGAGATCTAGTATTTGATAGCACAACAGGGTGACTACAGTCAACAATAATTTGTTGTACATTTTAGAATAACTGAGGGAGTACAATTGGAATGTTTTCCATATTGAGTTGTTTGAGTTCTATATAAATTCTGGTTATTAATCCCTTATCAGATGGGTAATTTGCAAATGTTTTCTCCCTTTCTGTGGTTTGTCTCTTCACTTTGTTGATTGTATCCTCTTCCGTGCAGAAGCTTTTTAGCTTGATGTGATCCCATTTGTCCATTTTTGCTTTGGCTGCCTGTGCTTGTGGAGTATTGCTCAGAAAATTTTTGTCCAGACTAATGTCCTGAAGATTTTCCCCAATGTTTTCTTGTCGTAGTTTCAGAATTTAAGGTCTTAGATTTAAGTCTTTGATCCATTTTGATTTGATTTTTGTATATAGTAAGAGACAGGGTCTAGTTTCATTCTTCTGCATATGGATATCCAGTTTTCTCAGCTCAATTTATTGAAGAGACTATCCTTTCCCCAATGCATGTTCTTGGCAGCTTTATTGAATGTTCATAACACAAAGAAATGATGAATTTTTGAGCTGATGGCTACCCCATTTACCCTGACTATTACACATTATATACTTGTATCAAAACATCTCATGTACCCCGTAAACATGTGCACCTACTGTGTAGCCATAAAAATTAAAAAAATAAATTATCAGACATAGACTGTCAGAGTGGATTATAAAAATAAGACCAAACAGAGTTACCTATAAGAAATCCACACTAAATGTAAAGACACAGTTAGATTTAAAGTAAAGGGATGGAAAAAGGTAGTTCATGCTAACACTAATCAAAAGAAAGCTATAGTAGCTATATTAATTTCAGATAAAGCACACCTCAGAACAAGGGAAATAATCAGGGATATAGAGGGCATTACATGATGATAAAGGGGTCAATTCTCCAAGAATAAGTGACAATTCTTAAGAGCAATTCTTAAGGTGTTTTCCCCTATCAACCAAGTGTCAAAATATATGAGGCAAAAAACTGATAGAACTGCAAGGAGAAATAGACAATTCCACAAATAAAGTTGGAGGCTTCCATACCCCTCTATCAGCAATTGAACAGATCCAACAGGTGGCAGGTCAGTAAGAACACTGTTAAACTGAACAGTATTATCAATCAACTGTGTATAATTAGCATTTATGTAATACTTCATCCAATAAATGCAGAATATAGATTGTTCTGAAGCTCACATTCATCAGGATAGATTACATTCTGATAAAAAATAAATACACCTTAACAAATTTGAAGGAATAGAAATCACATGAAGTGTCTTCTCAGACTAACATGGAATTAAACTAGAGCTAGAAATCAATGACAGAGAAATAGCTACAACCGCCCCCCAGCCCCCAAATATTAGCAGGTTCTAAGGATTGAGGAAAAAAAGAGAAATTCTCCAAATAACTAGACATTAAATGACACACTTCTAAACAACTCATGGGCCAAGAAATCACAAGAGAAATTCAAAAAATATTTTGAATTAAATAAAAATGAAAATACAATTACCAAAATTTGTGAGGTTCAGCAAAAGTAGTGCTTAGGAGGAAATTTATAGCATTGAATGCATATATGAGGAAAGAAAATCTAAAATCAATAATCTAAGCTTCCATCTTGGAAAACTAGAGAAGGGGCTGGGTGTGGTGGCTCACGCCTCTGGTCCCAGCGCTTTGGGAGGCCGAAATGGGGGGATCACTTGAGGTCAGGAGTTCGACACCAGCCTGGCCAACATGGTGAGACCCCTTCTGTACTAAAAAAAATACAAAAAATAGCCAGGCATTGTGGTGCGTGCCTGTAATCCCAACTGCTTAGGAGGCTGAGGCAGGAGAATCACTTGAACCTGGGAGGCAGAGGTTGCAGTGAGCTGAGATAGTGCCACTGCACTCCAGCGTGGGCAGAGTGAGACTCCGCCTCAAAACAAACAAATAAAAACAACAGAAAAACAAACAAACAAACAAACCTAGCAGGAGCTTGCTTGAGCCCAGAAGTTTGAGGCTACAGTGAGCTATGATAAGCCAGTGCACTCCAGCCTGGGTGACAGGGCAAAATCTCATCTCTTAAAAAATGAAATGAAATAAAATAAAGTAAACATAGAAAAAGAAGATAAATAGGGCCGGGTGCGGTGGCTTACGCCTGTAATCCCAGCACTTTGGGAGACCAAGGCGGGCGGATCACGAGGTCAGGAGATTCAGACCATCCTGGCCAACATGGTGAAACCCCGTATCTACTAAAATACAAAAAATTAACAGGGCGTCGTGGCGCGCACCTGTACTCCCAGCTACTCGGGAGGCTGAGGCAGGGCAATTGCTTGAATCCGGGAGGTGGAGGTTGCAGTGAGCCGAGATCGCTCTACTGCACTCCAGCCTGGCGACAGAGCAAGGCTCCGTCTCAAAAAAAAAAAAAAAAAAAAAAAAAGAACAACAAAAAAAGAAGATAAATATAAGCCTAAAACAAGCAAAAAATAAATAAATAAAGGACTGAGCAGAAATCAATGACACTGAAGACAGGAAATTGATAGGGAAAATAAATGTTTAAAAACCCAGTCAAGAGAAACTGTTCTGAGAAAGTGTAGACATTGGAATTACTTGACAAAGACTTGAAGTTTGCTATTTTAAATACATTGAAACAACTAAAGGGAAACAATGTCTACAGAACTAAAGAAAGTATGAAAAGGATGCCTCGCCAAAATGAGAATATCAATAAAGAAATAAAATTATAAAAAAGAAACAAACAGAAATTCTGAGGTAAAAAATATGACTGAAATGAAAAATTCACTAGAGGGGGCTCCACAGATTTGAGTAGGCAGAAGATAAAAACAGCAAACTTGAAAGTAGATAAATTGACATTACCAAGTGTGGGGAACAGAGAACATTTTTTTAAAAAAATTAACTGAGCCTTAGGGACCTGTGGGATACCATCAAGAATATTAACATAATGGGAGTTATAGAAAGAGAGGGGAGAGAGAGAATGGGGCATGTCTTGGTTTATTTGTGCTACTGTAACAGAACGCTAGAGACTGGGTAACATATAAAGAACAGAAATATATTTCTTACAGTCTTGGAGGCTGGGAAATCCAAGATCAAGGTGCTGGGAGGTTTGGTTTTCTGGTGAGGGCTGCTCTCTGCCTCCAAGATGGTGAACTTATTGCCGCACCCTTCAGAGGGGAAGAATGCTGTGTCCTCACAAGGCAGATGGGAGAAGAGCAAAAGGAGCAAAAGGGCCAAAAGGTGTGTGAAGCTTCTTTTTATAAAGGCCCTAATCCCAGTTATGAAGGAGGAGCCCTCATGGCTAATCCCCTCTTAAAGGCCCCATCTCTTAACACTATGACATTGACAACACCTGAATTTTGGAGGGGACATATTCAAACCGTAGCAGGGCAGTAAGACTATTTGAAGAAACAATGGCCGAAACCTCCCAAATTAGATGAAAAGCATTGATCTGCCTATCTAAGAAGCTAAATGACCTCCAAGTAGGAGAAACCCAAAGAGATCTGCACCTTGACACACCATACTCAAACTGTCAGAAGACAAAGAAAGAATATTGCAAGCATCAAGAAGAAAACAATGCATCTCATACAAGTCATTCTCATAAGATCGACAGCTTATTTCATATAAGAAACCACAAAGCCAAGAAGCAGTGGGATAACATTCAGTAGTCCCCCCTTATCCATGGTTTTACTCTCCTCAGTTTCAGTTATCTATGGTCAACTTTAATTCAAAAACAGGTAATATAGTACAATAAGCTGTTTTGAGAGAGACAGAGAGAGAAAAAGACCACATTTGCATAACTTTTACACAGTATATTGTTATAATTGTTCATTTTATTATTGTTGTTAATCTCTTACTATGGCTAATTTATTTTTTAAAATTTTACTTTAAGTTCTGTGATACAGGTGCAGAATGTACAGGTTCATTATATAGGTATATGTGTGCCATGGTGGTTTGCTGCACCTATCAACCTATCATCTAGATTTTAAGCCCTGCATGCATTAGCTATTTGTCCTGATGCTCTCTCTCCCTCCCCATCCCCCTGACAGGCCCCAGTGTGTGTTGTTCCCCTCCCTGTGTCCAAGTGTTCTCATTGTTCAACTCCCAATTATGAGTGAGAGCATGTGGTGTTTGGTTTTCTGTTCCTGTGTTACTTTGCTGAGGATGATGGCTTCCAGCTTCATCCATGTCCTTGCAAAGGACATGATCTCATTCCTTTTTATGGCTGCATAGTATTCCATGGTGTATATGTACCACATTTTCTTTATCCAGTCTATCATTGATGGGCATTTGCGTAGTTTCCATGTCTTTGCTATTGTAAATAGTGCTGCAATGAACATATGTGTGCATGTATCATTATAGTAGAATGATTTATATTCCTTTGGGTATATACTCAGTCATGAGATTGCTGGGTTAAATGGTATTTCTGGTTCTAGGTCCTTGAGGAATCACCACACTGTCTTCCACAATGGTTGAACTAATTTACATTGCCACCAGCAGTGTAAAAGCATGCCTATTTCCCCACAGCCTCACCAGCATCTGTTGTTTCTTGACTTTTTAATAATTGTTATTCTGACTGTCACTATGCCTAATTTATAAATTAAACTTCACCATAGTCATGTATGTATAGAAGAAACTATATATAAGGTTTGTTACTATCCACAGTTTCAGGCTGGGGGTCTTGGAATGCATCCCTTGCAGATAAAGGAGAACTACTGTAGCTAAAAGAAAAAGGCTGTTCAAGCAAGAAACTTATATGCTGCAAAACTATTTTACAAATAAAAGTGAATTCCTAATGGCATATGATGTTGAGCATCTTTTAATATGTTTATTTTGCTATCTGTACCTCTTCTTTGATGAGGCATCTGTTCAAATCTATGGCCCATTTTTAAATTGGTTTGTATGTTTTCTTGTTGTTGAGTTTTGAGTTCTTTGTACATTTTGGATACAGTCCTTAATCAGATATATGTTTTGCAAATATTTTCTCCTACTCTGTTGTTTGTCTTTTCGTTCACTTAACAGAGTAGTTTTGAATTTAATGAAGTTTAATTTATCATTTTTTTCTTTTATAGATTGACCTTTTGTTAAAGTCATTACCAAAGTGAAGGTCACTCAGATTTTCTCCTTTGCTATCTTCTAGAAGTTTTATAGCCTTGCATTTTACATTTAACACTTATAGTCTATTTTAATTATATCTATTTAATTTGGGGAAAAGGTGTAAATTCTGTCTCTAGATTCTTGTGGGGCTCTTTGTTTATTTGTTTTTGGGCTTTAAAAAATCTTTTTACATGTGGTTGTACAGTTGTTCCGGCACCATTTGTTAAAAAGAATGCTTTTTTCCGTTGAATTACCTTTGCTCCTTTGTCAAAAATAAGTTGACTATATTTGTGTGGAACTCTTTCTGGGCTCTCCATTCTCTTTCATTCATTTATTTGTCTGTTCTTTCATCAATACCACACTACCTTGATCACTGTAGCTTTATGGTATGTCTTGAAGTGTGATAGTGTAAATCTTCTGACTTTGTTCTTCTTCTTGGATCTTTCCTAAGCATGTACACAATCATGGGCATATGCACAGCCTTAGGCGTATGTGAGGTCTTCCAGATTTCCAGGAACATTTTGGAGCTTTTTAAAGCCCTCTATGGTCATCTCATTCCCCAGTTTTTCCTCTCAAGTTTTTTGGTCAGCTTCTTATTAATCCCAACTGATAATGTAGCCTCAGGCAGTTCCGATATTAATTGCCAATGATTGTTTTCGACAAATGCCTTGGGGATAAGCCTATTAACACAGAGTAAGCTCTGAGTCAGCTCAAAGAATGACAACTCCTGAGCATGGAACTTTTCTGCAAGTTATCGGACAATCAGAATAGCTGACAATTGGAATTTCTCTGGGGATGGGACCTTTGGATGCTTGTAAACCTCTATGCCCTTTCTAGTGGCTACTAGGTTACTGATTTTCACAGCTACTATTATTGGGACACTGTTGGTTTTTAAGGTTACTATGGGACTAAGGGAGAGGAATGGAAGTAGGGCAAGTTAAAGCACCATGAAACTCACTGTTCTTACCAAGATGTAGTGATTTTTTTCTTGAGTAAACGCTCTGTGGATTATTGCTAGCCTTAGGTTAATTTCTGGAGTTCTAAAAAATTTGATTTTTCACAGTTTTTATGGTGAAAAAAACTTTTTTTTTCACCATAAAAAAAGACTTCATTGCTTTTATTAAGAAACACATTTTTGGAATTCCTTACTCTGCCATTCTAGAAGCGGTCTCCTGTACTTAGATTTTTTTCATTTGGGTAGTATGTCATGGACCCACTCCACATCAGTTCATAGAGATCTTCCTTATTCTTTTTTGTTTTTTTTTTTTTTACAGCTGTATGGAATGCCACTGAGCTGATGTTGCATAATTTATTTAACCACTTTTCTATGTTCAGGCATTTAAGTTGTTTCCAATATTTTGCAATTACAAACTATGCTGCAATGAATAACTTTGGCCATATGTATTTTTGAATTGTAAAAAAAGTTCATATTCGAGGATAGTTTCTTAGAACTGGGATTTCTGAGTTGAAAGGTTATGTTAGCTGTTGCCAAATTCCTCCTCAAAGAGTTGTACCGGTTTGCATTCTCAGTAGCAATGAGAATGCCTATTTCCCTAAGACTCATCAACAGAATTGGCAGTTACACTTTTGGGTGTCTGGTCCTTTGACACTTAGTCTTTTAAAATTTCCAATTACTCTTTATTTTTATAGAGTTGCTAATCACAAATTATGCCTGAGATTTGATATTCTTGTGAAAGTATTTCAGATCAAATTAAATGTCTTTTCAGTGGCTATGATTCACCATGATTAAATCCAACATGTTTGACCAAGTTGTTAATTGACTGTTCTTAATTCTGGTGGAAGTTCTGGAGATCAGCAACAATTTTGGAATAGGTTCAGCAGCCTGGGTAATTCTCATCACAGTCAAGCCAGATAGGGACTGAGATTCTATTACTGAATGAAACTCTTATAAGGGCTTGGGAGTGCAGATAGGGGGAGTTCTCAAGAAATTTTACAAGAAAGTGTTATGTATTATGAAGCATGGGTTATTGTTTGTTTGTAAGTAAAAAAAAATAAGAGAGAGAGAGAGATTAAGCAAAATAAACATTAAGCAAGGAGAAGCTGCTCTAACCATTTAAATGATACTTTTAAAATGAAGATTAACAGCCTTTGGCAGACTAGAAGAAAAAAAATAAAAGAAAAATGTCAAGCAGAAAACAGTTACCACAGATTTGATCAGTATTTACTATCAACTGTAAGACCGTTCTAGGCAGGTGGGGTCTATGGGAAATACAAAGATAAATGAGAGAGAATCCCCTAAAACCAATAATATTGCTTTATGTTTAATTTATCACTTATTAAGATCCTACTATGTGACAGACACCACTTCAGGCACTTGACTTCTCTTATTTCTTATCCAAAACATTGCTGGGTTGATATTATTACTCCCATTTAACAAGAAGGAGATTGAGGCCAAGAAAGGTTAAGAAACTTGTCTAGAGTCACAAAGCTGGAAAGTTGTGCAACTTGAAACCAGATCTGCTTAGAGAATGTTGAATATCAACTGTGCATAGTATTTCATAGTAAATTATATTAAGATTAATCAAACCAGTTTAGCCTAAGAGAACAGCAGCAATAGCTAAACTTATTAGATATTTTCTATATGCCTAGAACAGCATTGAACAAATATGGACCATTATATTTAGTCTTCAGATTGAATTTTTTTTTTTTTTTTTTTTTTGAGATAGGGTCTTGCTCTGTCACCCAGGCTGGAGTGTAGTGGCACAATCACAGTTCACTGCAACCTCTGCCTCCCAGGTTCAAGCGATTCTCCCACCTCAACCTCCAGACTAGCTGGGACTACAGGTACATGCCACCACACCTGGCTAATTTTGTATTTTTTTGTAGAGACGGGATCTCACTATGTTGCCCAAGCTAGTCTTGAACTCCTGGGCTCAAGTGATCTACCCCCTTCGGCCTCCCGAAGTGCTGGGATTACAGGCGTGAGCCATTGCATCCGGCCCAGACTGAATTTAAATCCCTGCATTCTCTACATTCTCTATAAGACTACCACCTATCTCACTGCCTATGTTAAAATCCTGGGTTTCATCCAGGACTCCTACCTTACCCACATAATTTGGTTTATAAATCCAGTAAATTCTGCCTCTTTAATAAGTCTTTATCTTTTTTCTTAATCCTTATAGTCACTACCTTATTTTGATGCACCATTATCTCTCAGATGGATTACTTTAAGTTTCTGAACCCCTCTCCCTGCTTTTCTAATTCACATTCACCAAGTCAACAGAGTGTTCTTTCTAAACTGCAGATCTAAACATATCTCTCCTCTTAAACCAGGGAAGCATACTCTAAACCTCCAGCTTGATAGTACACTACTTTGACCCACTCTGTACATTAGGCTTATTGAACTGCCTGCCTATCTCTGGTCCTGCCTGGTATGTCCCTTAATATTTTTTATTTGTACAAATTTAAGGGGTACGAGTGCGATTTTGTTATATGGATATATTGCATAGTGGCAAAGTCTGGGCTTTTGCCCCTCGATTTTTAAGAGTTCTTCATATATTAGATAGATCTGTCCTTTCTCTGTGTTATATGTCGTAAATATTTTCTACCAGTTTGTCACTCATGTTTTGATTTTGTTATGGTGCATTTGTTATGCACATTCTTAAAATGTAATCAAATTTAATAGACTTTTATTGCCTCTGGATTTTGAGTCATGGTTAGAGAGCCTTTCCCTACACCAAGGTTAAAAAGAAATTCACGGATGTTTTCTTCTAGTAATTGGCCTGGTCTTATTTTTTACATTTAGCTCTCTAATCCATTTGGAGTCTATCTTTTTGTACATGGTGTGAGATACGAATCTAACTTTGTCGTCTTCTTGTGAAACCATCTGGGCTTGTTGCTTTTTTTGTAAAGTATTCTCTTAATAACTTCCTGTATTACTTCTATAGAAACTGTTCTGTTTAAGCTTTCTAACACAAATGGGGCCAATTTTAGTAAGTTGAATTCCCTTATGAAATTATCTATTTCCTCTAGGTTTTCAAATTTGTTTGCATAGTCTTATCTTAGTCTGTTTGGGTTATTATAACAAAATACCATAGATTATTTTCTGATGGTTCTTTCCCCTTAGATAATTTCCTCATATGAATTTCTGATCAATATCAGCTAAATTGTTAAGAAGAATCCTTTGCAGATCTTCCAATTTCTGTCTATGTGTTGTACTCTCATCTCCAGTTCTCTGTTACATGAACTCTAGCTATCTTGGTCTCCCCATAGTGTTAGTGCTGATTCCTGAACTCAGGAAGTTGATGAAGGCTCTTCCTGGGTTCTTCCTTTCTTCCTTGCAGCCCGGAAACTCTTTTAAGGCAGTAAGCGGGGGACAATTGCACGGCTTACTTCCATTGTTTCCCATCTCTCAGGGTTCACTGTCCTTTTTACCTGCATGCCTTGCAAACCATTATTTTGTTCATTTTTTTTTCAGGTGGGATAGTAAATCTGTTCCCTGTTTTTCCATATTGGCTAAAAGTGAAAGTTGAGGGCTTTATATTTACTTTAAAATCTTATAGTTTTATTTACCTATATCTTACAGTTCATAGGTCTAGGTTGATTTTTGTAGGTACCTAGGAAGCTTGTTCAATTTGTAGATTCAGGTCTTTTTCTATTTCTGATTTTTTTCTCGGGTTATAATTTTAAATATTAGCTCTATTTCATTGACTTGTTTTTCTTCTTCCTTTTCTTTGCCTGTTTTTCACTTCCACTACTTTTCTCTGACCCTTTAAACTTTTTTTCTTTGGTCATTTTCATTCACTTGATTATTTTTGTCTCTTTCTTCAATGCCCCTTATTAAATTTTTATTTGAGTATATTCTCCTATGAGCAGTTTGTGATTTACTCTTCATTCCTGGGATAATTTTGCCTTTTCACAGTTTAGGCAATTATTGATATGTAGGTTGTCTGGCATTATCCCACAGGTCACTGAAGCTCTTTTAATTTTTTCAGAATTTGTCTTTGTTTCAGTTTGGGTAGTTTTTATTGCTATGTCTTCAAATTTACTAATCTTTCCTTCTGTAGTATCTAATCTGCTGGTACTTCTGTCTCTTCATCTGTCAAGTGACTTTTTCACTTCATATTTTTTTTTCAGCTCTAGAAGTTCTGATTCATTTTCATTTGTATCTTCAATATATTTTCTCATTGTGTTCATGTTTAGCTTTAATTCCTTGATAATATTTATAGTACATCATTTAAAGTCCTTGTCTGCTAATTCCATTTTACTTGTCATTTCTGAGCTTGTTTATATTGACTGATTTTTCTCCTGGTAATGGTTCATATTTTAATGAGGTGACACACATTGTGGAAATTATGATGTTAAATGTCTGGATTTTATTGTCTTTATTTAGAGACTGTTGTGTTTTTATTCCGCAAAATTTCCGAGATCTACTTGGGTTCTTCCTCCCTTTGTCGCAGTCTGGCAATTGCCTTGAAGCAAAGAGCCTGGGTAAATATAGGACTCGCCTCATTAGTTCCCCTACTCTGTTGGATCACTGTCCTGCTTTGCTTCTTGTGCAATGTCTGAAAGCAGTTGTTTCATTTATTTTGTCTAGTTTTATAGTTGTTTATTGTGAGATAGCTACTCTTACATCAATTATTTCCTATGAGTGAGACAGAAATCCCCATAGCTAAAAAATTTGGACTGTATGATGGACATTATTAGTGTTATGGGTTTTTGTTGTTGTTGTTTGTTTGTTTGTTTTGAGACAGAGTCTCGCACTGTCACCTGGGCTGGTGTGCAGTGGCGCGAACTCAGCTCACTGCAACCTCCGCCTCCTGGGTTCAAGCAATTCTCCTGCCTCAGTCTCCCGAGTAGCTGGGACTACAGGCACACACCACCATGCCCGGCTAATTTTTGTATTTTTAGTAGAGAAGGGGTTTCACTATGTTGGCCAGGCTGGAGTGGTATGTTTTTGAGTGTGAGTGTCTGCATTTTGTTGTATTATTTAATTGTATTAAATTTTATTTTAGCAGACAATTTACTGTGCATCAGCTTGATCCTTTTGAGGTTTATTTTTTTGTTGGAGTGGGCCTAGAATAACTTTTACCCTTGAGATAATTGTTCCCTACTCCTAAAGTGTGGTCTCTCTGGGATCCCTACTGGAATGTCCTGGATGTTCAATGATGTCTATACATTCTGATTGGTTGACACCTAAGTTTCTTACAGTCTTGTGTGAGTTCTAGTAGTTGTCCAGCTGTTTCTTTCTCAGTAATATTTATTTCCTCAGTAGCTATTCCTTGCCTAACCTCCTGGAGGCTTGCTCTGTATATAAATACTAACTATGGTAGGCAGAATTCTATGATGGGTCCCAAGATTCCCCTACCCTTGTGTTCATGCCCTCTATGATCTTTTCCCCTTGAGTGTGGGTGGAAACTCTGACTAGCTTCTAGTCAATAGAATATAACAAAGGTGAGGGATTTTTCAGGTGTAGTTAAGGTTGTAAATCAGTTGACTTTGGGTTACTTAAAAAGGAAATTACAATGGTGAGCCTGACTTAATTAGCTAAAAGCCTTTAAAAGAGGTACTGGGTCCTCTGTGAGGTAAGAAATGCCTCTTGCTGATTTGATGAAGTAAGCAGCCATGATGAGAAAGCCCACATGGGAAAAAACTGGAAACTGCAGGTGGCCCCTAAGACATGAAGATGACTGTCAGCTGACAGTCAGCAACAAAGCCGGTGCATTCAGTCATATAGTCACAAATGAAGACATAAATGAATTTTATGTTTGCTTTCATATGTTCCATTTCCAGTAATCTTCACTTTTTCATGAATCAAACTTTTTTTTTGTCTGAAAATACAGGAGAAGGCTTGTATCTTTCATGCAATGTTGAGTCTGCTTGCATTGTCTGCTTTTTTCTTGATTATAGGTTACATGTCATTCTACTTCTTCTTATGTCTAATGTATAAAAGAACCATATAATTGTCCTATTTCCTCTCTTAGTCTGATAGAGTGAAGTGTTGATCACCTTAGTGCTTTGGACTCAGCTGAAGTTTTAATAAAACTTAACCAAACTCTGGTGCATCCCTCTTACTTGGGGATGGTCCTCCTATGCTTGTTTTTTTTTGTGGGGGGAGGCACAGAAAATCTTTATTGCCAAAGGAACAGGAAGCAAGTGCACTCGTCCCACCTCACCAACAGCTTGAAGAGTCATAAAAACGTGGACATCGGCCAGGTGCGGTGGCTCACACCTGTAATCCCAGCACTTTGGGAGGCCAAGGTGGGTGGATCACGAGGTCAGGAGATCAAGACCAGCCTGGCTAACACGGTGAAACCCCGTCCCCGCTAAAAATACAAAAAATTAGCCGGGCGTGGTGGCGGGCGCCTGTAGTCCCAGCTCCTCGGGAGGCTGAGGCAGGAGAATGGCGTGAACCCGGGAGGCAGAGCTTGCAGTGAGCCGAGATCGTGCCACTGCACTCCAGCCTGGGTGACAGAGTGAGACTCCATCTCAAAACAAAACAAAACAAAAAACAACAGCAACAACAACAACAAAAAACATGGACATCGCACAATAAAGTGTAAGAGACTCAGGGAGAAATGGTCCCTTGGACTATATTGGCCCTAATACTTAGGTAACCAATTGACCTTGTTCAGCGAAAATACCTCTAACAAAATGAAAAAGTCAACTAGTTACAACATCCAACTCATATATACAATTCAAATAAAATATATATTATTTGCTTTAATGTATAACAAGTTTAATACATTAGTGTTTACAAAATAAAAACTGTATTCTACTGAAATTTCTCTTGTGCTTGCACCTCATCACTAAGCTTGAACAACCGGAAACATATGATACTTAAGGAAAGGTATCATGAATTTAAAGATGCAATTTGTGGATCCACGAGGAATGGATAAATATTGGAAGTTGGAAGATTACTGCATCTTTTAAAATTGTGGCTTATTAAAATTTACAAACTTGACCCTAAGACACACACACACACAAATAAATGTTTCAAAATAGATTCTAATACGGGAAATGTTTCATGAAACTACTGAGATACTAACCAGTGCTATGGCTAATGTTAAAAACTGAACAGTCTATTGAAATCATACTCATACTATTTCTACACACAGTGAACAATACAACCACAATAATCACCCTCAAGCTAGCAACAAAGTTGCAAGGTCCATAAGAAGCTTCTTCAGTGAGCAAAACACTATGGTACAATTAAAGCATTTAGGAAGGGAAAAAAAGCCTTTTAACAGTATAAAAGTTGTTTACTGGTGTTTCCTACTGTAAAGTTCTTCTACAAATTAAAATGAAGAAGCAATTTATATACGTGACAGTGATCTGAGATTACAGTGCAGACATCTCATCCAACATTTGGCTGACGAATTTTAGTGTAACAGATTATGACTTAATATTTTTTACACACTTATGATCTACAGCAGAACTAAAAACAAAAAATACATATTCTAAGTCAATACACTCTTCTCAGCAATATCTGGGTTTAGATGAATCTGTAGGAAGTAGGTGAAGCTGTCAGATTTTTTTTTTTTTTTTTTTTTTGAGACGGAGTTTCCCTCTTGTTGCCCAGGCTGGAGTGCAATGGCGCAATCTCGGCTCACCACAACCTCTGCCTCCCGGATTCAAGCAATTCTCCTGCCTCTGCCTCCCAGGTAGCTGGGACCATAGGCATGTGCCACCACACCTGGCTAACTTTGTGTTTTTAGTAGAGACGGGGTCTCCCCACGCTGGTCAGGCTGGTTTCGAACTCCCGATCTCAGGTGATCCACCGGCCTCGGCCTCCCAGAGTGCTGGGATTACAGGCGCGAGCCACTGAGCCCGGCCATCTTCTCTTAAACCAACAGAAAAAACGTATATTGGCAGGTGTATTTGATTTTTTACCATTATGAATTCCAATGTGAAATTCTCATAAGTATGCGAGTACATTATAAACATGTAAGCACACTCCCATATATATGCACGCAGTCCATTAATTAAATTGGGGGAATTAAAAATGTACTGTCAAGTTAAAAATGAATTTTAAGAAAAAACTGCATTCACAAATCTCAAAGGTGTAGAAAAATGAAATCATAAAATAAATAATGAATATAGGTGTCAACTAAACTTCCATAAAAATATGCCTACAAATGTGGATGCAGTGATTGTCCACACTTGTGATGGCTGGGTGGGAAGACATTCCCTAGTGAAAGCATCTAGTCTCTCTGACTTCTCTACATAGAGAAGACTTTCTAGATATAAACAGTACTTAATCTGTTATAGCCTTTGTTAACAGTCACCATCTTTATAACATGTAGGGTTAACTTACTATGTCTTAATCTATTTAACACGTTCTGAAATATCAATGTTTAAGTCAAAGCTTTTATACATGGGTCCACTTATTTCAATTTATCTGTCTACGTAATAGCTGCCTATCTTTGATACATTTTAAGTAGCTGTTAATACAAACTAGGTCAACTAGTTTAAGAGATATTTTCTACTCTATTGCTCATCTTTTTAACTTTCCTCCACTCAGGTATTTATTGTGTAAACGTGCGCTGATAACCAGATATTATATGAGTGAATGCTACACATTTCCTGTTAAACAAAATCAGTTTTATCAAATATTAAATCCATGATATTTTCCTTGGCTTAAACTGAGTATTTGCTTTCTATTTTTCCATAATCATTGCAATCTTGCCAACAACTACATCATTTAAGCTTTCTTTTTCACGACTGCAGGCAAAGATTCTAAACTCTGACATATATTTACGTTAAACACACACAGTAGACAACAAAATTTCAAGTAAAATAAGCTGTATCCACATCTATTGAACCAAACAGGTCTGAACATCTAGATTTTACTTCTATAAATTACACAAATGCATTGTACATTCTTAAATAATGAATGCTTACAATATTGATTTGTAAGCCTTTCCATATAGAATGACTCAACACAGGAATGTGAATGAATCAATGTTACTGTTATAGATTGCAACACTCTTTTGATTTTCTCTTTTGTGGCTGTTGTTTTATCTTCCTGGTTTCTGCAGGCTACTGTAACAGTCCTTTTGCTTTGGCTATGAAATCTGTTTGAGCTGAATGAGGCAACACTGGTTATTAAGGCTTATTTATATGATGGAGTATTATCCTTAAATCTGATGCCATTTCCAGAGAACGGTGAGAGAATCACAGCTATCTTGAATCTTCAGGGTCTGTTTTGATGACTTTCTTTTCTAAGGTAAAAGCTGAGTGAGGCTGGTCTTTTAAAATCCCAAGGCTCTCTGATGAGTGGGACTTTGCCTCACTGGGATAAAGTCTGCTCAGCTCCCCATCCACCACAATATGATGGGGTTGTCTGTTCTGTAAATTAGGCATTCGGAGATTCAAAGGTGTTTCTCCTTGTCCATCTGAGTTATCGGAAGTCAAGCCTTTAGGACTGTGCTCTTCTGAGCTCTCCCTGTAAAGCCCTGCAGACAGCCTCCTCTCGGCATGCTGCAGTCTCTCACAGCCAGCTTGGTTGCAGAGGAACTCCATCTGCTTTGCCATCACCTTTTCGGGCTGCTGTGAACTAAGGGCTGCGAGTTCTTCACTCTTAGCTCTAGCCAGCTGGAAGAGCGTTTGCACAGAATCCTGGAAATCTGGAAACCCATCCTCCACTTTAATCCTCTACAAGGATAATTCATCTCTTTCTTCACATTTTGACTTGGTGGTTCTGTAAGTATATTTATAGGTGACTTCTCGAGAAACCTGCCTAGCCAAGGCAAAGAGCATTATCCTTCACACAGAGTTGAGCAGCCGCTTCATTAACAGTGAGCTCATGAAGCATGAGATGTTTTCCATCCTTCCTCTTTGAGTCAAATCTGCCATATATTCACTGTATTTCCAAATTTCCTCCTCTTTGCGTGGATCATTATCGTTCATCTCAAAGATGTGACCAAGCATTTTGGCCAACGTCTTGTTGGTTTTTAGCAGCTTTTTCACTTCGTTCAAGTCACTTTTCGGCAGTGTGGGGGCCATCCGCTCCACACACTCTGCCACAGAGAGCACAGCAGCAGCATCCAGTGCCTCGCTGCTCTCCTTTGGGGACGTGTGGGAGCCCAGGTCTGCTGGGGAGAGGCTGTGCTCGCTCTTGGTGGCATGGTGGCCTTGCCAGAGTCTGGACTCACCAGCACTCTGCAGTGCTAGGCTCCCGACCACATCTGACTTCCCCTGTCCCAAGCTCTGCACACAGGTGGTGGCAAAATTGGGGAAATTGGGTGGTAAATTGGGTGGTAAAAAAGTTGGGTGGTAAAATTGGGGATTTTAAAATGAGGTTCCCAGGCATTGCTACTCCTTTCATAACTACTGCAGGATATTTCCAGCTATGTCAGTGATCCCTCTGGTAATTTATAGATCGGTATGTTACTGACAGGAAGGGAAGTCAGCGGCCGATTGAAAAGCCCAGGGTTTGTGACCCAGTCTCTTAAAGCCTTCTGTAGCCTTCTAACATGAAGCGGCTTGCTAGCCATGCCCACGAGTGCCATGATTTCCAAAAACTCCTCTTTTCCTGCTTCACAGAGTTGCTGGACATCATCACCACCTTGTTGGATAAAGGCATCAAAATAAGAAAGCAGATTGGCTTTTTGTAATATTGTATACAGCTGCAACTCCCCCAGGGTCCTGGGTAAGGCCTCGGCCATGACTGTGGGTGGGTTTAACTCAGCTAGCAGCTGCGGCGGTCTTGGCGCGCTCTCGCCGAGGGCTGCTCAGCCCCAACTCGGAAGCGACGGCCCCGGCTCTCCCTCCTCTGGCAGCTGCGGAGTCCGGGACGCCCCCGCTCACATCGAGGAGGGAAGGGAAGGTGGTGGGTGGGCTCTCCCTGCTGCCTCCCAGCTCGGGCCCGCCGCTTCTTCCCGCCGCCCGCCCCGACTGCGCTCGCTTGGCCGCCGTGGCGGCAGCGCCTCTCCCCACTCCTATGTTTTTAATTGAGAGCCCCGTAGGTCTCTGTTTCGTCGGCCCTAAATGACCTAGGGATGGTAATGTCAAACAAGTGAAGTAGTCATGTAAACCCTCCCACAGATAGCAATAATAGAACCTGGATGATACACCCAAAGACAATTACTTAAAGACACTGAAATGTCTCTAAGAGCAGCCAGAATACAGATGATAATTTACTCTAAAACTTCCAGCCGTAAGACTGTGATTTTGTTGCTTTATAGTAAGAGGATGACCTGCAAACCCCACAGCTATGACTACTGAAAATAATGTTAGAAAATGATAGCCTTACCAGCTCAAGGTGCCAGAGTTCAGAATTCAGGGATGTAAAATCAACTTGTAATTTTAATTCTAGAAATATGATTAAAAATTTTAAAGGGCAATTCCACTGTGAAGGTAACTGCAGCATGAATATGACCCAAATTCTGAATATAAATTCTATCCAAATCTCTGAATAACATCAGAAAAGCAGTCTGACACCAAAGATAAATCTATTCTTGAAAGATACGAGATAAAAACTTAAGCTACAGCAGTTTTCCAGAGATGGGCACCAAAGCTCTAGAGGGCACTTGTAATTCTTTCATAGATTACAGATTTTTTAATCCATGAAAGATTTTGTGTGGTGGTGGAGGTGATGAGAAAGACCTGAGTGTCGGAAAGACTTGAGAATGAGGTTACAGGTTAAAGAGTGGAGGATTCTCTCCGTTTCTGCCCTCTTACCCTTCAGGTAGGCCCAGATTCGAGTAGTGATATCTCAACATCAAAGACAAATAAGTCCTTGGTTAGAAAAATGAATAGCAGCCATTGTCCTATTACTGGGTGATCTTTTATGGCCATAGTGTTATTCAAACAAATTTAAATGGGGTAACTTACTTTTTAAAAATTTTTCCCCCACTTTTAATTCTGATAGCATTTCTTTCACCAGACCTCTTACTTGGCACTCAGCGTATGTAGACTTATACAATTTAAGGGTTGGAAAGAACTTTAAAGTTCATTTAATTGAAGTTAACACCTGGTGTAGGAATTTCTTCTATGATGTCTCTGTATAGATACTTATGTAGCCTCTGACTCAACTCTCCTAGTGACGGGGAACTCTACCGCTCAAGGCTGCTTCACAGCTGGATAGCTACATATTTTGTTGGAGTAGACAGAGGACAAGTCTGAGCAAGAGACTAAAAAGAAACCACAAGAGAAGAAGATGGAAAATGAGGCAAGAGTTGAGTTCAGGAAGCAAAGGCCAAAGAGAGACTTTCAAGATTGAAGGTTAACCTGACTAAACATTTCTGTCAGGGCCGATAAGATGATAATTGACATGTGCTCATTGAATTTGGCCTTAAGAACAGTTTCAGAGATAAGTGTGGAGGTTGTACCCAAAATTGCAATGGACTAAACCATGAACGGAAAGTGAGGGAAAGGAGGCAATGACCAGTAATGATTTTTCTCAATAAACTTTGTTGAGAAAAGAAAGAGATATGACAGTACCTAGAGTGAGATACAGGATTCAGAAAAGGGTTTTTTTTGTGTGTTTTTTTTTGTGGAACATGTGGGCTGGTTAGCAGGTTTTGTTGCTAAGGAGACAAAGCCAGACAAGAGAATGAGACCATAATTGATAGATGGGGGTCTTGAGAAGGTGCCTGGGAGCAAATGGGTCAAATCTTTAGTGGGAGGACCTGCATGGCCAGGTGAGTTTTTCTAGGAGCACTCCATGATGCTGCTGTAAGGAGTGAGAAAGGCAACAGTGAAGTCAGTCCAGGTGTGGCCGTTTTGGGGATGAGATGAAGTAGAGTGTGGACAGTGAAGCAAGGGAATAAAGGATATTGGCCGAAATCATTGAAAAGAGGGTACTGGCTCCATCATTTCTTAGTTGTGTGACTTTGAGCAAGTCACTGTCCTTTTTTGGGCCTCAGGCTGCTCATCTCTGAAATGAAGATAATAATGCCTACTGACTGTTGCAACTCACAATGTGATGGCATATGCAAATGACATCATAAGCTGTAGAGCCCAGCACTAGTGTGCGGTGTTATTCGGATTTCCTTCTCACTTCTGAAGGTGAGTGGGAAAATGCCATGTGTAAGAACACTGGACACTTCAGCTGGTAATGGTTCAAACCATACACTATCTCTAGTCAGGGCCTCCCTTCTCATAAGTTGTGCTTCCCCTGTTTTCAAAACATAGGTGTACATTGGGGGCTGAGGTTAGACAAAGATCAGCTCATGGAAGGCCCTGAAATACAGGCTAAAGAGTCAGGAATTCATCCAGAGGACAAAGGCAAGCACTGGACAGTTTTGAGCAGAGAAGGGATTTGGGGAATGTAGTATTTTAAGAAGGTTCATTTAAAATGGGTATATGGGCTGAATTGAAAAGAAAGGAGAACTGGAGGCAGGATGAGTAGTTGGGAGGTCGATCGCAATGATCAGTTTAAATGATAAAGAGCTATCAAATAGAAAGGAAGAAACAAATTCAAAAGAGATTTTAAAGGAAGCAACTGACAAATGACTGGACACGGAGAGTGAGAGACAGAGAAAGGGGACATGATGACTAAGTTCCTAACTTAGGAGCTTGGGGGAATTGGGGCAATTGGGATATCACTAAGATAAACAGAGAAAACAGGACAGGACTTAGCTGTGGGGCATGTATGTGGGGAGGGTAGAGGATGGATAGATATGGGGCAGTTAATAACAAGTCGTGTTGGGCTACAGTCCATCCCACAAGCCACACTGGCCCTCACCTACCATTTTGTATTTTTTTAGTGACATGGTCAGTCAAATGCAGCCAGGAGAGGCTCAGGAAGAAACAAAGTTGATTATCTTCCCAGGTCCCAGAGGCAGGAGGCACACCACACCACACAGGACCATGTGGGAAGTGCTTTCCCACATGACACCAGGGTCATCTGGAGGCAAACACAGGAATGAGGTGAGTGTTTAGGCCATGGCTATCATTGGGGTTTCCTTGGGAAAGGGAAAGCAGAACAGGTGATTGGCTTAGGATTTTCTAATTTGTATAATTCTGACAGGCTCTAAGCTATAGGGATGGGGCCTAGTTGCCTGGTACCTGGCCCTGAGATGATTAAGGCCGAGGGATATTGCGTCCTGTGACGTATGGGCCAGATAGAAGAGGCAGGGCTCCTGGCTCTGGTTTGGTTAGCTTGCATATCAAAGGCAGTTTCCTGGTTGAGCCATTTGTTATCTCTAAGAATTGGCTAGCTCCAGGAGGGGCTGTCTCTCCACAGCCAGAAAGATTTTCTAGAATGTGAAATCATAATATATAGAAAATGAAGAAAGTACCTAACTGGAGCTCTGTGCTTCAGGCAGGTCAGGGTCAGTCTGTCCCATCCACCCTACTCCACCATCCCAGTGGCGTACCATAGGTTATATAGTAATCTCCCCATTAATAGACCTCTGGATAGGTTTCAATTTTTCACTATTTTAAATGATGTAACTGAGCTTTAAATAATCTGATATGGATCAACTCATATAATCTTCTTGGGGCCATGACTATTCCAAGCTCCGTCTTCCACAACCTATTTTATTGCATGGATACTAAGCAAGTTTAACTGATTTTGCTACTTGGAGTCTCCAAGGAGCAGAAATGACTTGCTTGTGCAGATGGACATGATGATGTAAGCGTCTTCTCCTCAGCACTCTGGCTCTTTGAACCCAGTCCCACAATAGCAACTTGATTATTGTGGTTTCACTTAGTGCCCTCCTAATTCTCTATCCAGGGATCCGGGAGCTCAGCTGATGTTCTCTGACAGTACCAGTGCTGACAGACCTTATCTTTTGATTGAACCACATTTAACGTTTTTCTTTTGAGAATCCATTTATTTTAGTTTAATTAAATGGACTTCTGTGTTTTCAGTCTATTCTTTCTCCCAAGAAAGAGAAAAAAAAAATAAAACATGCTCTTCCTGTGCTTTCTTGCCCCGTATTTTTCACCCTCCTCTTTTTCCCCTCTGTTTTCAGTGCCTTCCACTCTAGGAGTGGACAGTTAGAAGTCATGTGTTCATTTCCACTTGCTGAGTCATGGAATCCCAGTGTTGAGTGGGTCTTAGAGAGACTTTAGTTCCACGATACCATTTTACAGATGAGGAAACTGGGATTGAGAGAGGTGAAGTCACTTGCCTAGACAAAACAGCTAATACCTTATTTGAGGAACCAAGAATAAATTTTTTAGGCCCTTTCCTCATTCCTAAATGTGTTAGTGTCTCCCAATCCCATGCTCATGTACACTGATAGGTTATACTTCCTATATTCTAATACTATTTTCCCATTTTACAGATGAAGAAACTGTATCCCAGTGTGTGAAGCAACATGGCTACCCAGCTAGAAGGAGGCAGCAAGAAGCCATGGATGCCCAGGTCACCACGGACACAGGTAGAACTCACAAGGAGTGAAGAGATCAGGGGAATACAATAGAGTGGAATACAATGTCAAGCATCCAGGATGCATTGAAAAAGCACTACCTCTGGAACAGGAAATAGCACTGCCATACCACTTGTGGTCCAGTCTCGCCAGTATTTTGACACTGACCTGCATGGGCAAAAAACCAAAACAGCATGCAAGTTTAAAGCGCACAAAGTCAATGTGGGAACTTCTCCCAACATGGTTGCCTGTGCTGACATCTTCATTAGGTTTTCTTGGAGTTTATACTGAAGTGAAAGGAACTTTTTCCTTTGTAAAAATTAGAGACTGAATTATCCACCTGAATTGTCCTTCTAAATGGAATGTTTTCCAGGAGATATATTTCCAGGAAACTCCTTTGCCCGGCCACCAAACGTTTGATGGCAGCCAGGGCCTAGAGATATGAAGACAACTGGGGAAAAGAGCATTTGACTCTTGAGTCAACATAACCCAATAATGTAGGTTCTGGTTTTGCCACTCGCTAACCAGCACCTGAGTCACTTAATTTCTAATAAGGCTTCAGTTTCCTCATCTATAAAAAGAAGTTCATGAAATCTTCCCCACCTACCTCACAGGGCTCCTGAGAGCATCAAAGTGAGATGGTGGATGTGAAAGTGCTTTGAAAGCTCTAAAGTACTGGATGCCAGGATGGGTTAGCTGGGATCCTGCACAAGAGAATGTTTGATTCACTTTCAATTCCCATCCCCAAGTATGTTAGTACACCACAGGCTCCTTGAGAACAGAAGAGTATCTCATATTGATCTTTTATTCCCTGAGTACCTAGAGAAGTACCTGGCATATAGTATGTGCTTATTAGCTCTCTGTTGAGTAAGTTAATTGGCCAGATATTGACAGTAATTTATCTGGTTTGCCTCCATGATGGTACAATCAGATGTAGGAGAAGATATTCATTTCTATTGACTTAAAAAGCTGTGGACAAAACATCATAAGCTAATAGATTTTTGGTAGAGGGTTAGAAGAAATAATTTGTCTAGTTTTACCATTAAGATTTATCTCCACCCACCACATATACACTCATGCATGCACACTCACAGGCTCACATGCTTATCCCCATTGCTATTAGCTAATTGACAACTTTCCCAGTTTTCTATTTCACCTTGTAGAAAGCACTTTTCACTTGCAAATTAACCATACTGTCAAGTCAGAAGGAGGGTTTCTGTCAAAATGACTTCTGGACAATGTGTTGAAAGAATACCAATACCAGAGATTTAAAAAAACTCAATTTAAGTAAAGTCAGAGAAGGTGAGAGCTAGAGGGAACCTCTGAGATAATCTAGTTCAAAACCATCATTTTCCACATGTGGAAACTGAAGCCTAGAGAGGAAAAGAACTTGCTCAGCGTCACATTTGTAGATTATAATGGTTTGAGAGTGGAGAGAATGACTGGGACGGGCATGTCTTACTTCAGAGTGACTCTGGAGTAAGACAGAATTAGTTTTATGTTTTGATTTTGCAACTGTATGAATTTGGCAGGGACTTATTTCACTAAGTCCCTTTTCTTTACCTGTAAATTGAGTATAGTGATACACACAATAATTCCTACTTCATAGGAATATTATGCTGGTTAATATTATGTGTCACCTTGACTTGGCCATGGAGTAGGGTGGGGGTGCCCAGACATTTGGTCTGGGCAAATATTATTTCTGGGTATGTCTATGAGAGTGTTTTTAATCTGTATGTATTTTTTAAACAGGTGGGAGTCTTGCTATGTTGCCCAGATTGGACCAGAACTCCTGACTCAAGCAATCCTCCTGACTCAGCCTCCTGAGTAGCTGGGACTACAGGTCCATGTCACTACACCCAACAAATGGAGGCTGGGAAGGGGAAGGGGAAGGGAGAGATATACAGAGATTTGTTAAAGGATACAAAATTACCCTGATCTGATCACTATACATTATATGTATTGAGATATCACTGTACCCCATGAATATGTACAATTATTATTTGTCAATTTTTAAAAACCATATGACTTGACAGACTGAGTAAAGCAAGTTGTCCTCCCTAATATGGGTGGACCTCATCTAATCAGTTGGAGGCCTGAATAGAACAAAAAGGCTGAGCGAGAGGGAGCTCTTTCTGCCTGACTGCCGAAATGGGACATTGGTCTTTTCTGGCCTTCAGACTCGGACTGAAACACTGACTCTTCTTGGGTGTGAAGTCTGTTGGCCTTGGGACTGGTACTATACAACAGCTCTCCTGGGTTTCCAGCTTGCTGACTGCAGATTTTGGGAATTCTCAGCTAGGAATCATGTGAATCAATTCCTTATAATCTCTCTCTCTCTCTCTCTATATATATATATATACACATACACACACACACACACACACACACACACACACACAAACACTCTCTCTCTCTTTCTCTCTCTCTCTCTCTCTCTCTCTCGATCCTATTGGTTCTGTTTCTCTGGAGAAGCCTGACAAATATAATAGGATATTGTGAAGAGAAAATGGGTACCATAGCCCCTCTCCCGGCATCTGGGACAGACTAGGGGCTCAATATGAATTCCCTCTTATTCCCTTTCCTTCTATTTCCCTTTACATCTTCACTGATTAGCCTTGTGGGTAGTACATAATAGAGATATCATAATATTTGTTAATTAGAATTGGTTGTCACCTTGATCCCATGCAGTGCTTTAGGATCAGTTATCCTTTCAGGAAGCAGTCTCCTATTTTAGACAGATATTTGTAGGTACAAGTGACTTTTCATGGCCTTCTCGTAAGTTCCTGTTTGATGTGACATCTCAACCGCAAGAACATTGGCATATCTGCTCCTCGGCACACTCATCTACCACCAGACCACTGCAGAATGGAGAAAGCCAGAAGGGGGTGGGAGTGAAATCAAAGCTAGAGAAGAACTTCACCTTCCGCCAAGCCTGCAGTCCCCACAAGGGTAATTTCTCTCATCTTGGCACTTTCCCACTTCATCTCATAATGGCAGAAACCTATTTTCAAGTCTCTTATGAGCCCCCACAGTACTTTATACAGCTCTGTTTTACAAATAAAGAAATAGAGTCTCAGAAAGTTTAAATAACTTGCCCAAAGTCATGGACCTAGTAAGCAGCATAGCTCAGAGGCAAGAGAGCAGCCACCACTTACTGAACACTCACCCTGTAACATAGCTGTGATTATTGTCTCCCTCACCTTTCAGATGTGAAAAATTGGGCTTAGAGAGTTGCCCAGTATACTCTGTTAGTCAGTAACAAACTGGGATTCACAGTAAGTTGCTTACACTAAATACTTGCTGAATAAATGATTGTCTCTCTGGGACAGGGTTTCTTGACCTTGGCACTATTGATGTTTTGGGCCAGATACATTTTTTATGTGGTGGCAGCTGCCCCATGAATTGAAGGATGTTTAATAGTGTCCCTGGCCTCTACCTACTTCGAGGCCAGTAGCACATCTCCCAAGTTGTAACAACCAAGTATGTCTCCAGACATTGCCAGATATCCCCTTGGGGACAAAATCATCCCCCACCTCCATTTGAGAAACCTTGCTCTGGACCTTTGGTCAGCAGACTTTACAAGGAACTCTTGCTGGCTTCCAAACTTTGATGCCCTTGGAATAAAAGAGATCTGCTTTCCCTCCTGGAAGTTCTCTGAAGGGTGTTCTCAAACTCATGTGTGACTGAGTTTCCTAATTTGTAATTGATTTTTCCAGCTTTGTTTTATGAAACTTGTCACTCTTTCAGTGGTCACAGAATTACAAAGGATGTAAAAAAAGTTTTACCATTTACCTAAATTTTCTTTTCTTTTCTTTTCTTTTCTTTTTTTTTTTTTAGACGGAGTCTCACTCTGTCGCCCAGGCTGGAGTGCAGTGGCGCGATCTCGGCTCACTGCAAGCTCCACTTCCCGGGTTCACGCCATTCTCCTGCCTCAGCCTCCCGAGTAGCTGCGACTACAGGCACCCGCCACCACACCTGGCTAACATTTTTGTATTTTTAGTAGAGACGGGGTTTCACCGTGTTAGCCGGGATGATCTTGATCTCCTGGCCTCGTGATCCACCCGCCTCGGACTCCCAAAGTGCTGGCATTACAGGCGTGAGCCACCGCGCCCGGCCCTACATTTACCTAAATTTTCTCTGAACGTGGAGTGGGCATCTGTTGAGATGAACTAGCAAAAGCCTAACTAGTTAGCAACAAAACAAAACACATAATTGAGCAAAAAAGTGAAATGTCAAATAAATTAAAGATAGAATTACAGGTATTTTCATCTTGACTTCCATTTCTCTTTGTTCTTAATTCAAACCCAAGATGAACAATATTCTTTAGATTTAGTATTCAAATTCCATTTACCATAGGCTTCTGAGCCTGTCATGATTCTGATCTGGCTATTGTGTTCATGTAATCATGAATCTGAGATAATGAATGTAGCTATTGCAATGACTGAAAATATCTTGGGATGGGATTGGTGGGAAGGAACATTATCTTGACCTTTGAAAACTTTAATCTCCTACCACCCAGACTGTGTAGTAAGCCCTCCCTGGCCTAAGTCCTCTCTTAACCCATTTGGGGCAAGACTGTAATAGAAGGGAGTCTTCTAGGGTGGCAGATGCCTTCCCTTTCCATTGGAGCCATAGAGAAGTCCTTTCCTCCTTATAGCCTCAGTTTTCCTCCTGAGCAATATGAGAGGTGTGCAACAACTAACTAAAAGTTACCATGTCTCTTTGGTTAATAAAACCAGGACCATTATTAGCTCCTAATAATAGTTGCTCGCATTTGCAAAGCATTTTATAGATATAAAAGGAGGCATACAATTTCATAGATTTGAAGATACTCTTTTTTTCCTGTTGTAACATCCTCAAAACTGGGATGCATCTCAAAATCAATGGCATTTTAGATTAGATGAAATGTGTCATATTTTTCAAAATATTGGGGAAACAGTACACGGTTGTCAATATTTCAGTGTTGCCTTGGGAAATGGGTATGGGCAGATGGACTGAAATGGAACATGAGGGAACACTTGAGAGTTATGAAAATGTATGTATTAATTGTGGCAGTGGTCATGAGCGTACACTTTTGTAAAACTTTGTCAAACTATACAGTCAAAAAGGGGTGGTCCATTTTATTGCATGTAAATTATAACTCAATAATGTTGATGCAAGAAGAAAAAAAACAGAAAGTTTAAGTGAAAAAAAAAATTCCCTTCTTGTAACTCTCTTTGCTTTGGTTTTCAAGACATCAGTGAAATGCTCTTTCAGGTTCGTGTACAAAATGTGGATAATAGGTTTGTTCATAAAGTTAAATGAGATAATGCTAGGAAAGTACTTGGCTTAGGTCCTGCTCTGGCATTAACAAAGCACAGTTGACAGGGGCTACTGCCTTTCTTTCTTCTGTGCCTAAGATGAACCATTGTATAAAAGCATAATGATCAGCATTACCATAGCTGATCACTGTTTCATTAAACAAATTTATTTTTTCATAAATCTCAAGTCAACCAGGCTGTTAATAAATTATTAGGGAAAAACCCAAATCAAATATAATAAATATTATATGTGGACAATTTGTCAGTAAAATTGTATATGATATGAAGAGAACAACTCGGCTATCAGTAAGCCAAAGGGTCAGATCTGACCCTTTAATGATCTTGTGATGCTCAAAAGGTATTGTTTATTATACTTGAAATATTTGCCCCTAGGCAGCCCCACAGTTTTCAAGCCTTTTCTACTACCACCATGCATCTAACCTGAAATTTCCTAACAAGAACCTCCAGGCTACATGTTTCCAAGTTTCTAGTAATATGATATTGAAAAATGCATTTCATTTCCTCTGGACCTCAGCTATCTCATCCCTAAAGTGAGGATATTAACTACTTCCTTTGTTTTCCTCAATGTTCATTTTATCTGATAGTAATATCATCTGTCCAACTTTATTATGATTAATATTTGCATAGTATAGCTTTTTTCTTCTGATTACTTTTAGCCTAAGTGTGTCATTGAATTTAAAATTCATTTATTGAAGACAACATACTGAGTGATCTTGCCTTTTTACCTAGTCTTATTATCTCTGAATTTTGATTTCAGTGTTTAGATGATTATATTTAATATAATTTTTAACATGGCTGCATTTAAGTGTAACCTCTTGTTATCCATTTTTTTTCTATTTGTCCCGTCTGTTCTTTGTTCCCTTTTCCCTCTTGTCCTGACTTATTTTGTATTAAGTTGGATTAATTTTATTGTTTCATTTTACTTCCACTTTTGGCTTATTTGGCACACTTCTTTGTTCCATGTTTGCAATGAGGTTTAACTTATGAGTCTCTAGCTTATCACAACATGCAATAAATCATTTTCTTACAACTCACATTGGTGGTTAAAATCTTATAACAGTGTACTTCCATTCCCTTGTCCTTTGTACTATCATCGTATGTTTTAGTTATTTATGTCTTACAAACTCCATAATACATCATTGCTATTTTGCTTTAGACAGCCAGTCATCTTTTTATAATACTTTTAAAGGTATAACTTATGTATAATAATCTGTACATATTCAAATTGTGCTATTCCAATGAGTCTGAGATATATATGTGGATAAACATGTGTATCCATCCATGAAACCACTGCCACAATCAAGATACTGAACATGTCTGTGAATCCCCAGAGTTTTATCTTGCCCATATGCACGTCTCCTGATGACAAATTCTTTTAGTTCTTCTTCTTTTTTTTAGTCAGAAAATGTATTTATTTCACCTTAATGTACGAAAAATACTTTTGCTGGCTATATAGGCTTCTAAATAGATATTTTTCTTTCAGCACATTAAGGATGTTGTTCCAATCTCTTCTAATTTGCAATGTTTCAAGGAGAGACCAGCAGCAACATGTTCAGCGGAGAGCTGATGCTAGTGTAGAGGGCTAGCAGAGCTCTGTCAAATGTGGAAGAGCTGCAGTTTAGCCTGGGAATGGAGCCATTAGGGGAGACATAATAAATTGACTTGGAGATCAGAAAGGCTGCCTTGGGAGGATTCTAGTGGCAGAACTTCTGAAAGTATCTAGGGTTTGGCTCAGTGGCTTAAGGACTCAGCTAACTCTATAGTCTATCAATTTGCCATCATTAAACGTTGCTATTTGTACCTTACCAAAGTCCTTCCTCACATTCTTTGCACAGGACCTTAGCATGGTAGTGATTCATTAAATGTTTTTTGAATTGAGTTGGATCCTTGCTATCTAATGAAATCATTAGAAAAAATGGAACCTCGCTATATTGAAGTTTAACTTGACAATAGAATTAGTTCCCAATTTTTCAACTCCTTGAACAAAAATCATTTCTTAGGTGATACAATATTTATGTGAATTAGTACTAACCTTTGGGAGAGCATTAAACATTCCCCATTAATAATTGCTTCTAAGTGATAGTGCATACTTGGCAGGGAATGGGAGCATTTATAGGTTCTCTCTCCCAGTATTCACAGACTTTTAATGAGAGCTGTAGCTCACTTGAGTTGAGGGAATAAAAGACAAGGGAGCGCTAGGATTCCTCCCTTTGCTCTTCACATTGTGACTGGTGAACAAGGCCGACTTCATTCCACAGCTGGATTGATATGTAAATTTACTCCGACTAATTGGCTTCCCCAGCTGTCTCCAGAGGGCGGATGTATTCTTTATAAAGTGCTGTCTAGGGCTGCATTGAGAACATTAGAACTACTTAATTGAATATCAATGAATCTTTATAAACTAATAATGATGGGGAGCCTGGGAAGCCTGATGTAGATTTGGCATATTGAGAAGAGGAGTGCCCTGATTTGAATTTGTGGGAAGTGAAATTTTCTCTGAGTTTTACAAAACCCAATTTAGGCTTCTTTAATCTAAAATCCTTGAAAGCCCCACTGGTGCCTTCTTGAACATGTCATTTGGTGAATGTTGGACGTGAGCAAGTGTGTCAGTCTGTGTCAAGAGATTACCTCCCTCCTTTTCCTAATACAGTAAAACTCAATGATTGTTGTGGTTAATTCTTGCTCATGCAGGAAGAGTCACTACTCCTTTCCACAAGTCACTCCTCCTTTCCCTTAGGGACTGGGGGAGTGCATCCAAACTGAGTATACCTTGTTGCTCCTTGCACAGGGCTCCTTGCAGAGCTGATATTCAGAAACTGAGTGAGCATAGATCTTTGCCTTTAAGTCCTACCAGGAAGTTCACTGAATCAAACCAAACCCAACCAAAGCAAAGCACCAAACCAAACAAGAATAACAAACAACAAACATAACTCTGTGTAGTTCAAAGTAGTGGGGTTGATATTGCTGGATCACTGGGCCATTCTGAGGTCCACTGAGATGTGCCTAGGATGAGGATTTCCTTTTTCTTGTCTTCTCTCCCTCCCTCTACTACCTTGTGCTATCAGACATTCAAAGGCCTAGGGGGGCAGGTCACCTGAGGTTGGGAGTTCGAGACCAGCCTGACCAACATGGAGAAACCCTGTTTCTACTAAAAAAATACAAAATTTAAGGCTGGGCGTGGTGGCTCAAGCCTGTAATCCCAGCACTTTGGGAGGCCAAGGCGAGTGAATCACGAGGTCAGGAGGTCAAGACCATCCTGGCTAACACGGTGAAACCCCGTCTCTACTAAAAATACAAAAAAATTAGTCAAGCGTGGTGGCGGGCGCCTGTAGTCCCAGATACTCGGGAGGCTGAGGCAGGAGAATGGCGTGAATCTGGGAGACGGAGCTTGCAGTGAGCTGAGATTGCGCCACTGCACTCCAGCCTGGGGAACAGAGACTCCATCTCCAAAAAAAAAAAAAAAAAAAAAAAATTAGCCAGGTGTGGTGGCGCATGCCTGTAATCCCAGCTACTCAGGAGGCCGAGGCAGGAGAATTGCTTGAACCTGGGAGGCGGAGGTTGCGGTGAGCCGAGATGGTGCCATTGCACTCCAGCCTGGGCAACAAGAGTGAAACTCCATCTCAAGTAAATAAATAAATAAAAATAAAAAATAAAACTGTACGGTATCACTGTCAAAAATAGATGTAGATTAATGGAACAAAATAAAAAATCTAGAAACAGGCCCCAGTATATAAAAATTTATCATGCATGAAAGGTGTTGTTTCTGACCTGGAAAAATAATTATTTATCCCATAAAAGGTACTGAGATAATTGGATAGCTATTTGGTGTAAAAAGTTATTAATAAAAGTAGACCTCACAGGATGCCCCTAAACAAATTGATTAGAATTTGATTACAAAAAGAACTGCAAGTCAAGAAAGTCATCATAACTAAAATTAAAAGGCAAATGACAGACTCCGAACAATATTTACAATACATATATAGCAAGGATTCTGACAAGTCGATAAGAAAAAGATGAAATCACTCAATAGAAATGTGGACAAAGGACATGAGCAGATAATTCATGATGAAGAAATGCAAATGGCCAATGAGCATGAAATCCTTATTAATGCTAAAAACCACTAACTTAACAGTACCCTAATTACTGTTTATTAAATGGACAGTTTTTCTTTAAGCACTAATGCCCAATTGTGGCAGAGGTGTGCAGAGGAGGACATTCACCTACCCGCTAGAAGGCAATTGGTAATTTGCATCAAGAGCCTTAAAATGGTTCTTAGACTTTGGCCCAGAAATTCTACTTATTGGCACACACCTTGAACTGCTTCAGAGATATGTTCAAAGATTTATGTATATAGGTGTTACTCATAATTAGCTCAAATTGGAAATAACCTAAATGCCCACCAAGAACTATTTAGTTAAATATATTAGTTAATCATATTATTAGTTACATACTTGTGCTATCATTATATGAATGCTACACATTTTAAAATAATATTTAAAAGACTGTTGGTGATATTGCTGCTTGTGTTACACTATATAAAGTGAAAACAAACAAGATATGAAGTAGAAATCAAGGTTACTCTCTCTTCTGGGTAGTTGAATCTAAAAAAAAAAAAAACACCTCTCCCTTGACACTTCATCTTCTTCTAACTACCTGTCTGAGATACCTTTCCTTCAATTCCCTTCCAAGCTTTTCACAAAGGTAGTGCACAAACACAGTCTCCACTCACTCAGCTCTTTTCCACTCCTAATGGATCACAATTTGGATTCTGCCCCTGGACCAGCTCTCAAGTCACTAACAATAGCTCTGTTATGAAGTTTGGAGAATATGCTGCAGCTCTCCATGTTGGGCAGGTCTGGTCCCTTTTTCTCCACCTGCACTTTCAAGATTGGGTTCCCAGGTGGGGCTCTTCTCACTGTTCACACTCTTCCTAAGTGATCTTGCCAACTCACATGAGTTTCATATTACATCTGGCAAGGTTCTCTAAGATTCCTACCTGTAGCCCAAATCTCTCCCTTCAAACTCCAGAGGCATCTATCAGTCTGTTGGATAGTTCCACCTGGAGGTCCCACAGGCAACTCTCAAGTCCAGATATCCAAAACCAGACTCGTCATCACCTCCAGTCTTCCAAATCTGTCTCTGTCTTTTCTGTTTTGGTTACTGGTGTCAACATACTCCCAGTAGGGTTGTCACTGTCTGCTTATTTCTTTCTCATACAGGTGTGTGGATTTAATTTTCTTAATAGTAGGCACCCTGGCTTAGTCCCTTAGTCACTTACCGTCAGCATCTTGCATAGTGCCAGATGCCCAAGTAGGTGCTTAATTGTTGGTTCAATAAACGAATGAAATTATTGGACTTATAGTGATAACCATTCTTTTGACCACTTTATGATTTTGTTTGCATTTTTAAAACTCGCACGGAAAAAGTATAAATATTATCTTTATTCTATCATCTTTTGGGAAAATAATATAAAGTAAAAAATGAAAGTACCCCCTTTAGTTTCTCCAATCACCCCCAGAGGAGTAGGGGTTACTTCTGAAGCATTTTGGTGCATAGATCTCTTGACATTGTCCTATGCTTATAAATCCATGTTTATATATAAATAGACATAAATATGTTCTTTTTAAAAAATAAAGTTGCAATGTTAGACATATGAGACAATAATTTATTCTTTCACTTAACAAGTTATCTGGGTGTCTTTACAGGATATATAAATCTACTCCTGGCTTTTTAATGGCTGCCTAGTATTCCACTGTGTGGGTATAGTATAGTAAATTGATAGACCCTTAGGTTGTCCACCTCTCCTTTTCTACCATTAAAAACAAAACTGAGTCCCCTCAAGCTTTGGCTGTCTGGAGCTCCACTGCTCCTAGCAGCCAGCATGGAGGAGTAGAGTAGCCCTTGTCATCCTGGGAGGCAGGCTATGCCCATCTCTGGGCCACTCGAATCACAGGAGAAATAAAAAGGCTAAAACAAACATCCTCATATATATCACACATATACCTTTATAAATATTTGTGATAATACTTTTATAAAATGGATTATAGATTCCTGGAAATGAAAGTTCATTGTCACAGGGGCATATAGATATACACACATATTAGACACTACCTAGCTTCATATGTATATATATACATGCGTGTGTGTCTGTGTGTGTGTGGACATATGTATATATTCTGTTTAACAGTCCATGAATATCCATTCCCTTTCACACCTACCAGTACTTGATATTATCTAGATTTTAAATTCTTCTTAATCTGGGAAAGTGGTGCATTATTTTAAGTTTTATGTTATTTTCTAGTGGAAGTGAACATATTTTCATATTTTTTGCCGATTTTTATTATTTTTTAAAGAATCTCGGTATAGTATGCTTCATCCATTTTTTGATTGGTTATTTGCAGAAATTTTTGTGTAGAAAAATTATTAATCCTTTTTTAGACATGTTACAGATATTTTTCCCAGTTCTTTGCTTGTCCTTTAACTTTGTTTATATGTAGCTTACCATATAGTTTCAGTTTTAAAAATTTAACATTTAAAAAAATTTTTAATTATGGATACGTAGTAGTTGTATATATTTATGTGGTACATGTGATGTTTTGATACAAGCTTACAATGTATAATGATCTAATCAGGGTAATTGGGGTATCCATCACCTCAAGCATTTATTATTTCTTTGTTTTAGGAACATTCCAATTCCACTTTTCTAGTTACTTTAAAATATAAAATATATTATTTTTAACCATAGTCATCCTATTGTGCTACCAAATACTAGATGTTATTCCTTCTATCTAACTGTATTTTTATACCCACTAACCATCTCCATTTATCTCCTCCTCCCCACACCCTTCACAACCTTTGACAATCATTATTCCACTCTCCATCTCCATGAGTTCAATTCTTTTTATGTTTTTTAGCTCCCAGGTATGAGTGAAAACATGCAAAGTTTGTCTTTCTGTGACTGTCTTGTTTCACTTAGCACAATATCCTCCAGTTCCACCCATGTTCCTGCAAATGACAGAATTTCATCCATTTTTATGGCTGAATAATATTCCATTGTGTATATGTACCACATTTTCTTTATTCATTCACCTGTTGATGGATACTTAGGTTGATTCCATATCTTGGCTATTATGAAAGTGCTGCAATAAACACGGGATGTTGATATCTGTTTGATCTACTGATTTCCTTTCTTTTGGATATATACCCAGCAGTGGGATTAATGGATTATACAGCAGTTGTATTTCTAATCCTTTGAGGAACCTCCATACTGTTCTCCATAGGAGTTTTACTAATTTACTTACCCATCAGCAGTGTATGAGGGTTCCTCTTTCTCCACATCCTCGCCAGCATTTTTTTGTCTTTTTGATAATAGCCATTCTAACTGTCTTTTGGATAAAAGCCGTTTTAACTGGGGTGAGATGATATCTCGTTGTGGTTTTGATTTGCGTTTTCCTGATGATTAATGATGTTGAGCATTTTTCACATGCCTGTTGGCCATTTGTATGTCTTCTTTTGAGAAATGTATATTCAGATCTTTTGCCCATTTTTAGTCAGATTATTTTTTCCTTAATGAGTGGTTTGAGCTCCTTATGTATTCTAGTAACTAATCCCTTAATTAATGTGAGATGGTTACCATATAGCTTTAAATCTTTTATGTAGTCATACTGTCAATATTTCACTTTATGGCTTCTGAGTTCAGGCATTTTATCTCAGGGTAATAATTCTTTTGTATCTTTTCCGAAAACTCCAGAGTTTTTACATTTAGATCTTTGAGTCACCTGATTTATTTATTTATTTTTGCATAATGAGTGAAGTAGGTCTCTGTATACATTTTCTTCCATATAGATAGTGAATAACCCCTGCATTTTATTTGTTGAATAATACTTACTTTTCCCGCTGAATTGAAATACCAACCTTATTAAGTAGTACGTTCACAGACAGACATGTGTTTGTTTCTAAAATGCTTATTCTATTCCATTGATTGACTAAACTCTTTCTGTGCTGGTTCCACATTGTTTTCATTAATGAGACTTTAGTACATATGTCCTCTCTTATTATTCTTCTTTTTCAAATATATCTTATTTATAATTACATTAAGAAGAAATTCAGAATCAATTTGTAAAGTTTGAAATAAATCACCATTGATACTTTGACTGAAATCACATTTTTATAATAATTTGCAAAATATTTACATCCTTGTGATGTTGTCTTTCTCTCCAGAAACCAAGTATGTCACTCCTTAAATCAGGTCTTATTGTGTGTTATTTGCTAAAATTTGGGTTCCTCTCTCTAAGTCCTTCTCGGTTTGTTGTTCATCAAGCCTCCACTATAGTGTTTGCACCCATCAAGATAAAATAGATGACATTATTTTATTAACCAGGCATCTGATATGCAGATCAGGGATAGGGAGAAGGAATGATTACCTCAGGGTTATACAGTGAATTAATGACAGGGCTGGGGCCATGAGGGATGAGAAGGAGAGAGAAGAAGGGAAGACATTTTGAGCAGAAGATAAATAATCTTTGATAAAGGAACTGTGAGAAACCAACAAAGTTGTTGGAGGGGTAAGAAGTAGAAGGAATGATAAGAGTGAAGAGTTGGGGGATGGTCGTGCCTAAATCCCCTCTTCTTCTCATAGAACTGAGCTGTCAAAGGGGAAGATAACATGGATAGGGTGCTTAGTTAATACAAAATTATCCTCAGTAGGTCTGTTATTAAAGGCTCAGAAACTCTGGGTGGGAGCTCAAGTCATTTAGAGACTCTTAAATGTAACCAGATCCTCAATTTCTCAGTGGCAGATAATGGTCTGGGAAATGAAGATTATTCACAGATGGTTGGTCTAAGTCAGAGATTATTTGGATAATGGATTGTGGCAGCATCTACTAGACAGAATACCCACCTAAGAGCCAGGATGCTTAAGTCATAATCTTGCCCCTAATAGCAACTCACCAAGGGACCTAGGGCCAATCATGAAATCTCTCTGGGCTTCACCTTTCCCACATGCAAAATTGAGATGCTACCTGATCCTGTCTTGTTTACCTAAAAGGGCTTCAAAAGGTTAGAACAAGTGTCACTTGTGAGTAAATGGTGAATGCTGGGAAGGAGACAATATGGCCACCTTTACAAGGAGTGTGATATCTCTGAAGAAGTAGCAGTTTAGGCTGCCAGGCCCAGATGAGGACAGAGGGAGCCCAGGGTAGGCATAAATAACAGATGGGAAGGAAACTCGAGTACAATATCTACCTGCTTTGGAGCCAGCTGCACGTGAGAACCCTTTAGAACAGGGATACCAAGGAGAAACTCCAGAACTGGGGTAGATGGAAGGGATGGAGGGAGGTAAATGTGGAGAACTGCAAGGAAGAAGTGAGAAAGAAAAGCAGTGTAATATTTCTGTACCTGCAGTGTTTTGAGTCAGGTTAATTGAGAGGAGGAAAGGACAAGTGGAAGTGAGAAGCAACTTTTCAGTTTCCTCAGGATGAGTGAAACAAGCTGGAGACCCCTGCAGGGGAAGATTCATTTGGAGGATGAGAGCAGCCGCTCAGTTGGAGACAATCCGGTGGGGATCCTGCTTATTAATTTGATTGTAACTGACTCACGAGACCGATTAACAGTAATTCACGTCCTGGCAAGTAAGAGGTTTGATGGGAGCTTCAGATTGAGCAGATAAATTTGATTTGTGGTGGAGACTGTATCAGGAGAAAAGGGGCCAGGGCGGTGGCAGGATGATTCCACTTGGCAGGCCATGGCCAGGGACTCTGTTCATTCTCTGCAGGAACGAAACACTGACCTGATCAGGGGAGCTATTGTAGACGTATTCGCAGTCATAGGACAAAAATCAGACAACTCTGGGAGCTGGCCTAAGCGTATAAGCATGATCCAAAGAGCTGAAGGACAAGCAGGGCTTCTCCAGCTAGGGTCAGGCAAGAGTTGAATCTGGGGAGAGGAACACTGCTTCTTTGGAGTACATTTCCTGGGACGTACACATGGAACACATTATGAGCAAAACTCAGTGAGATGTAGTCTCTATCACTTTCTTTAGGGGATGTTTCATAATGGCAAAGCCCAAGTCAAAAAAAAATCTGTCATTGTTCTGATTTTGGTTTGGAAATTGTTTCCACTGCAGGCTTTAGGGAGGGCCAAAGATAGGACATGGGCGTAGCACAAGAAATCACTGGCAGGACAAGGGGTTTGGTGGCCCAGCAGTGCTACTGGCAAAGGACATTGGGTATTAACTTTGTCTTGGGAGAGAGGTAGGAGCAGAGGGAAAGGAGAAAAGAAAGAACCAGTGGCTCAGATATCTCTTAGTCTGTAAGAGAAGGAGAAAGGAAGGAGGAACCAAGGGAAGGCAAACAAAGAGGCTGAATTTTAAGTTTCAGTCGGGTAGAAAAATAACTCAACCAGAAAATGGGTTAGGGAGGACAGAGAGGTGTTTGGAAGTGCACTGGGCTGAAGACAGTGGACAAGAAGGCAGGAACTTTCCCTGGTCAAGAAGAGAGCATTTTGCAAGAATCCACTGAGGAGGAAAGGGTTGGGTGGAGGGGGTGGCAGAGATTGGGAGGAGGGTGTCCAGGGTCCAGTGAAGGGAAAAGAGCCAAGAGAATGAGCTCAGCAGACCCAGCCTGGATAGAATCAGAATACGGGAGGTGGGAGGTCGCCCCCAGCGAAAGAGCTGGAGCAGAGGGAGGGGGAGGGGGAGGGGAGTGCAGAGAGTTCAAAGACAGCCTCCAAGGACTCATTCAAATGACACAAACACAAATCACAACTTAGCGTAGGAATATGTACAACAAGTGGGCTAAGAATGCAGGAGGCCAGAGAGGTAGCCGCTGGGGCCCTGGGAGAAGAGAAAAGAGATGTCTCTTCAGTGTAAGACAAGGCTGAATACAAAGCGGACGGTGTATTGTGGGGGAGGCCAAGAGGGCCGGGGGCTCTTCACAAGGGGAAGCAGGGAGCAGAGCCAGAAGGGGGAAGCTGGATTTCTCACGCAGTTTGCATTTTCTAGGACCTGTGAGATGTGGGTTTCAAGGTATACAATTGTGAAGGTGAATTAGGGAGGGAGAAAGCAGCATTGTGACGATGAAAAGCAAGAGAAGCATGAAAGGGGAACATTATTTGAGCAAGCCGCACATTTTCCCCAAATGAGGAAGAATTTAGGACTGGAAGGGGACTCCCACTGTATCTATGCTGCAGAGATAGGGTTGAAAGCAACTGGAGAGTGATCCATCATAGCCAGGAGTCAAAATTAGTTGGGATGGCGGGTACAGAGTTTCAGTTTGAGAAGATGAAAAAGCTCTGGAGATGGATGGTGGTGATGGTTGTATAACAGTGTGAAGTGCTTAATGCCACTGAACTATGCTTATAAATAGTTACAGTTGGTAAATTTTATGTGATGTATATTTTACCACAATAAAAGGATTAGTCTGTACAAGAGCCCTGCATGTAGGAGCCACTCTATGGAGAGCTGTTGTTACTGACCAAACTAGCTCTGGGAGAGGGGAGATGGCAACCAGAAACTGAGGACATCTGACCACCAACCAAGGTGCTTGGCAGTGTCATCTGGTGGTCAGATGTGATCTCTGGAGCCAAATGTCTAGGCTTAATCCCAGCTCTACCACTTACTTGCTGTATGACCGCCAATAAAAGGCTTTCTTATTTGTAAAACTGGCATAATAATAATCATAGCGCCTACTCAATGAGTTGGAGAAATTGAATTAACGCTGGCTATGTCCTGACACAGAGGAAGCACTCAACAAATGCAGGCTTCTGTCACCGTACCCATACTGTCCCCACAATAAGAAGCTCTTAGCTTGGAAACCAATTTCTGTAAAGTACTATGAACATTGTCTAGGATGAAATATGTATGTACTCAGTAAAATTTAGTTTTCTTTCAGCTTTTTCACTTACAAAGTATACCATATTCATTTTCTCACCAGTCATGTCAAGTTAAAGATAACACTTTTCAGTCACCTTATGGGAAGAATAGAAATCAATTATATAATAAGAGGGGGGTGATCAAAGGGAAGGAAGGCTCTCTCCTCTGTTGAAACTTAGAGCAAATTTTCTCTATGAATGGTCCTGGGACCCTGTTCTCCAGAATGACCAGGGTCACTGACTCAAGGCAAAGACTCCAGGGCCTCTTCAAACCTACAAAACCAGAGTCCCTGAGGTATAGCTTAAGAATTTGCACTGGTGTGCTCCTCATGTGATTATTCTGAATGCTCAAGTCTGAGAACAGCTGCTTTAGGGCTTGTATTGGTTTTTGCAGCTCTGCATCTCTTGGGAGTGGTCTGTCGTATGCTAGGTCCAGTCTGTCGTATGCTAGGTCCAATCTGCCTCCTTTCTCTGTAGCCACCATCATTTGATGTCTACACACAGGTTGAGCTTTGTTTCTGATTTGGAAGCCCAGTTTTGATTTTGATTGGAGGCACATAAATGGAAACCTGTAGTTCTAAATTTTTAAAGACAAGGTTCCTGTTCTTCTAAATCTTCCAGTACCTCCAGCTCTCTCCTGAGACTGGCCTTTGCCTTATGATGGCCAATCTTCCCTCCAAGGGACCAAAATTATTCTCAAAATGGGGACTGAGTCCTACTAAGCACTGAAACCTGCCTGTCAGATTTCCCAAGGAGCACCTCCCCCAAGATGCCTTAATTCTGCTCCCCCTCCCCACCACTGAAACATCCTAATACTTCATCTTGCACTTGGGGCCAGTCACTTGTGTAGACTTCCATCTTCTCTTACTGTTCTCCTTGGCCATGATGGAGATGCATCCCCATCCATCTCAACAGCCAGCACCTGCACCTGTAGCTATTAAACCCTCAAACAGCTGTCCAGCCCCCAATAGATGGGTCAAGTACTCTGGCAACTCCATGCTGTAGTGTGATGCAGGAGATTATCTTTGCTTTAAAATATTTGTTTTACAATATTTCAGAAAAGAGAAAGTAGAGAGGGGAAGATGACATAAGTTTGTCAAAATATTGATGATTGTCAAAGCTGAGTGGTGGATGCATAGAAGTAAATTATACTCTTCTGTCTCCTTTTGTGTATATTTGTGAGATTTTATTATGACACATGTTAGGTTACTCACCTAGAATTCTGACTTCCTGAATATGGAGTTTATATGACTGTAAGAAATTTGTGCCAGCTTATACTGGCTCATGAGTGCTGACAGTTAAATTTTCAGGAATTTTGTGATCTGGTTGTTAAACATGGTCATTATTAAAAATTAAATTTTATGAGCTCATAATTAAATCAATTATATTAAAAACAAAGGGAATGAATACTTCAAACTCATTAATATTTATTTCAGTATGCTTTCTTATTACATACGACCTTGACGTTATTTACTTCTGTTGTATCTGTGTGATGAAATGCTGTATACATCTCTTCTGAAGCCTATGTTCAGTAACATCACATTGGTAGTTTAAAAACAGGCATAGCAGGAATATTTTACACCATGTGAATTGGAAAACTATAAATCAGGACTTGATTCATTGCCTAGACTTAAAGAAAGAGATTGTGAAAACAATAATTCAGGTGAAATAAAAATGTGTTGTGTCTGTAACCATGACATTTATGCACAAAACATTAAGAAAATATTCTTCCAGAATTTGAAAACTGTTATTTGGCTCAGCAAAAAAGTCACATCTATCATGGATAAACAAGTGAATTTTTGCCATACATAATGCTGAAGTAGAAACATGTTTCAGTTTTTGCCATACAAAATGAATGTAATGTGTACAAAGGTGAAATATAGTTTATCTATAATTATATATCAGGTTTAATGACAATAAAGTTATTGAGAAAAGAGTTAGTAGGCTGGGATGCAGTTATATTTGTCAAATTATGGTTAAATTGAAGCCAGACATTAGCTATGGATACAAGAGCTTAGGAAAAATTAATTAAAGTATTCTGGGAGAATCAATTAGCCATATGGAATTTATAATAAAGAGTATTGTATATTTTATCAGTATTTGTAACTTGTGTGCTACACATTATTTACCAATAAAAATATTCTATATAAATATACTAGCATACCACTACTGTGAGAGAGAAAGCATTTCCTGCAGATAAAACCATTGTTAAATAACTCTAGCAAACAAATGCAGAGTAAATGTTTAAAGACTCAGGATTTATTTTTATTTTAGACTTACTTCTCCAGTTATCTCAATCTTAAAACTCAATTTTTAGGTCACAAAGTCAAACTCTTGTCTTTATGTATCCTTGTTCTGCTTACTCAATGTAGATTCCATGGAAGTAAGCAGAGAAACATCAGTGCCTCCCAGTTAAAGTAAACTTCCCCTTTGTGACTCTCTCAATGTCTTCAAAGATGATCAATGAAATATTATGGTCATTTGGTTAAAAAGCAATCAAAGTTGAAACCATTATGAAAATAAGAAACATCCCAGAGAGGCCAGGCATAGAACAGAGTGGAAACCAGAGTCTAAAGCCTATGACACAGGATGCCAATAGGCCTGCACTGTCACACCCCCAAGTTCCCAATGGACTCAGTGCCTCAACAGTTTCAATTTAAGTAGCTGATATGTGTGCTATTCCTCCTCTGAGACCACACTGACTCCTGATCTATAAGAAAAAAAAATTGACTTTTAATATTCAAATTGGAACTTGCTTGGTTTGAAAAACTATTATTCTGCATTAGTGAATATTAATAAAATGTTGGTCACTGATACAAATACATACCTGCATACATATTTATTTTCATATGAAAACCTTAAAATGGAGAGGGGCCAAGATGGCCGAATAGAAACAGCTCCGGTCCGCAGCTCCCATTAAAACCAACAGAGAAGGCAGGTGATTTCTGCATTTCCAACTGAGGTACCAAGTTCACATCATTGGGACTGGTTAGGCAGTGGGTGCAACCGACAAAGAGTAAACAGAAGCAGGGTTGGTCTCACTTCACCCAAGAAGTGCACAGAGCTGTGGGACCTCCCTCCCCAGCCAAGGGAAGCGGTAAGGGACAGTGCTACCCACCCTGGGTGCTACGCTTTTCCCACGGATTTTTGCAATCTGCAGATCAGGAGATTCCCTCTTGAGCCTACACCACCAGGGCCCTGGGTTTCAAGCACAAAACTGGGCGGCTGTTTGGGCAGGCACCAAGCTAGTTGCAGGGGTTTTTTCATACCCTTGCGGCACCTGGAACTCCAGTGAGACAGGAGAACTGTCCACTCTCCTGGAAAGGGGGCTGAAGCCAGGGAGCCAAGTGGTCTCACTCAGTGGCTCCCTCTCCTATGGAGCCCAGCAAGCTAAGAACCACTGGCTTGAAATCCTCACTGCCAGCACAGCAATCTGGAGTTGACCTGGGACGGTAGAGCTTGGTGGGAGGAGAGGCATCCACCATTACTGAGGCTTTAGTAGGCAGTTTTCCCGTGACAGTGCTAAGGAGACTGGGAGGTTTGGACTGGGTGGAATCCACCACAGTGTGGCAAAGTGGCTGTGGCCAGACTGCTTCTCTAGATTCCCCCTCACTGGGCAGGGCATCTCTGAAGGAAATGCAGCAGCCCCAGTCAGGGGCTTACAGATAAAACTCTCATCTCCCTGGGACAGAGCACCTGAGGGGAGGGGTAGCTGTGGGCGCAGGTTCAGCAGACTTAATCTTTCCTGCCTGCTGGGTCTGAAGAGAGCAGCTGATCCTGACAAGGGTGATTCTCCCAGCACAGCACATCAGCTCTGCAAAGGGACCAACTGCCTGCTCAAGTGGGCCCCTAAACCCCATGCCTCCTGACTGGGAGAGACCTCCAAACAGGGGTCGACAGACACCTCATACAGGAGAGCTCTGGCTGTCATCAGGCTACTGCCTTCTGGGACAAAGCTTCCAGAGAAAGGAGCAGGCAGCAATCTTTGCCGTTCTGCAGCCTCCACTGGTGATACCCAGGCAAACAGGGTCTAGAGTGGACCTCCAGCAAACTGCAGCAGATGGGCAGAAGGGGGACCTGACGATTAGAAGAAAAACTAACAAACAGAAAGCAACAACAACATCAACAAAAAAGACCCCCACGCAAAAACCCTATCCAAAGGTAATCAGCCTCAAAGATCAAAGGTAGATAAATACACAAAGATGAGGAAAAAATCTGTGCAAAAACGCTGAAAATTCCAAAAGCCAGAATGCCTCTTCTCCTCCAAATGATCACAACACCTCTCCAGCAAGGGCGCAAAACTGGACCAAGAATGAGATTGACAAATTGACAGAATTAAGCTTCAGAAGGTGGGCAATAAACTCCTCTGAGCTAAAGGAGCACGTTCTAAGCCAATGCAAGGAAGCTAAGAACCTAGATAACAGGTTACTGGAACTGCTTTCTAGAATAACCAGTTCAGAGAGGAACACAAATGACCTGATGGAGCTGAAAAACACAACATGAGAACTTTGTGAAGCATTCACAAGTATCAATAGCCAAATCGATCAAATGGAAGAAACGATATCAGAGATTGAAGACCACCTTGCTGAAATAAGGCATGCAGGCAAGATCAGAGGAAAAAGAATAAAAAGGAATGAACAAAGCCTACAAGAAATATGGGACTAAGTGAAAAGACCAAACCTACGATTGATTGGTGTACCTGAAAGTGATGGGGAGAATGGAACCAAGTTGGAAAACACACTTCAGGATATTATCCAGAACATCCTCAATGTAGCAAGACAGGCCAACATTCAAATTCAGGAAACACAGAGAATACCACTAAGATACTCCACAAGAAGACCAACCCCAAGACACATAATTGTCAGATTCATCAAGGTTGAAATGAGGGAAAAAATGTTAAGGGCAGCCAGAAAGAAAAGTCAGGTCAACTAAAAAGCGAAGCCCATCAGACTAACAGCCGATCTCTCTGCAGAAACCCTCCAAGCCAGAAGACCATGGGGGCCAACAGAATTTTATATCCAGCCAAACTAAACTTCAAAAGAGAAGGAAAAATAAAATCCTTTACAGATAAGCAAATGCTGAGAGATTTGTCACCACCAGGCCTGCCTTGCAAGAGCTCCTGAAGGAAGCACTAAATATGGAAAGGAAAAACCGGTACCAGCCACTGCAAAAACACACCAAAATATAAAGACCAATGACACTATGAAGAAACTGCATCAACTAATGTGCAAAATAACCAGCTAGCATCATGATGACAGGATCAAATTCACACGTAACAATATTAACCTTAAATGTAAATGGGCTAAATGCCCCAATTAAAAGACATAGACTGGCAAATTGGTTAAAGAGTCAAGACCCATTGGTGTGCTGTATTCAGGAGACCCATCTCATGTGAAAAGACACTCATAGGCTCAAAATAAAGGAAGGGAGGACTATTTACCAAGCAAATGGAAAGCAAAAAAAAAAAAAAAAAAAAAAAAAGCAGGGTTTGCAATCCTAGTCTCTGATAAAACAGACTTTAAACCAACAAAGATTAACAAAAAAGACAAAGGGACAAAGAAGTACATTACATAATGGTAAATGGATCAGCACAACAAGAAGAGCTAACTATCCTAAATATACGTGCACCCAATACAGGAGCACCCAGAGTCATAAAACAAATTCTTAGAGACCTACAAAGAGACTTAGTCTCCCACACAATAATAGTAGGAGACTTTAACACCCCACTGTCAATATTAGACAGATCAATGAGACAGAAAATTAACAAGGATATTCAGGACTTTAACTCAACTCTGGATGAAGTGGACCTAATAGACATCTACAGAACTTTCCACCCCAAATCAGCCAGATATACATTTTTCTCAGTCCCACATGACACTTATTCTAAAATCAACCACATAATTGGAAGTAAAGCACTCCTCAGCAAATGCAAAAGAAGGGATATCATAACAGTCTCTCAGACCACAGTGCAATCAAATTAGAGCTCAGGATTAAGAAACTCACTCAAAACCACTCAACTACATGGAAACTGAACAACCTGCTCCTGAATGACTCCTAGGTAAATAATGAAATTAAGGCAGAAATCAAGAAGTTCTTTGAAACCAATGAGAACAAAGAGACAATGTGCCAGAATCTCTGGGACACAACTAAAGCAGAGTTAACAGGGAAATTTATAGCACTAAATGTCCACATGAGAAAGCTGGAAAGATCTCAAATCAACACCTTAACATCACAATTAAAAGAAGTAGAGAAACAAGAGCAAACAAATTCAAAAGCTAGCAGAAGGCAAGAAATAACTAAGATCAGAGCAGAACTGAAGGAGATAGAGATATGAAAAACCCTTCAAAAAATCAATGAATCCAGGAGCTGGTTTTCTGAAAAAAAAACTAACAAAACAGATAGACTGCTAACTAGACTAATAAGAAAAGAGAGAAGCATCAAATAGACACAATAAAAATGATAAAGAGGACATCACCACTGATCCCACAGAAATATAAACTACCATCAGAGAATACTATAAACATCTATATGCAAATAAACTAGAAAATCTAAAAGACATGGATAAATTCCTGGACACATACACCCTCCCAAGACTAAACCAGGAAGAAGTCAAATCCCTGAATAGACCAACAAGAAGTTCTGAAATTGAGGCAGTAATTAATAGCCTACCAACCAAAAAAACACAGGACCAGATGGATTCACAGCTGAAGTCTACCAGAGGTACAAAGAGGAGCTGGTACCATTCCTTCTGAAACTATTCCAAGCAATAGAAAAAGACGGACTCCTCTTTAACTCATTTTATGAGGCTAGCATCATCCTGATACCAAAACCTGGCAGAGACACAACAAAAAAGAAAACTTCAGGCCAATATCCCTGATGAACATCAATGTTAAAATCCTCAATAAAATACTGGCAAACTGAATCCAGCAGCACATCAGAAAGCTTACCCACCATGATCAAGTTGGCTTCATCCCTGGGATGCAAGGCTGGTTCAACATATGCAAATCAATAAACATAATCCATCACATAAACATAACCAATGACGAAAACCACATGATTATCTCAATAGATGAAGAAAAGGCCTTCAATAAAATTCAACATCTCTTCATGTTAAAAACTCTCAATAAACTAAGCATTGATGGAACATATCTCAAAATAATAAAAGCTATTTATGGCAAACCCATAGCCAATATCATACTGAATGTGCAAAAGCTGGAAGCATTCCCTTTGATAACCAGCACAAGAAAAGGATGCCCTCTCTCATGACTCCTATTCAACATAGTATTGGAGGTTCTGGCCAGGGCAATCAGGCAAGAGAAAGAAATAAAGGGTATTCAAATAGGAAGAGAGGAAGTCAATATGTCTCTGTTTGCAGATGACATGATTGTATATTCAGAAAACCCCATCGTCTCAGCCCAAAAACTCTTTATGCTGATAAGCAACTTCAACCAAGTCTCAGGATACAAAACCAATGTGCAAAAATCACAAGCATTCCTACACACCAACAATGGACAAGCAGAGAGCCAAATCATGAATGAACTCCCATTCACAATTGCTACAAAGGGAATAAAATACCTAGGAATAAAACTTACAAGGGATGTGAAGGACCTCTTCAAGAAGAACTACAAAGCACTGCTCAAGAAAATAAGACAGAACCCAAACAAATGGAAAATCATTCCATGCACATGGATAGGAAGAATCAATATTGTGAAAATGGCCATACTGCCTAAAGTAATTTATAGATTCAATGGCATTCCCATCAAGCTACCACTGACTTTCTTCACAGAATTAGAAAAAACTACTTTAAATTTCATATGGAACCAAAAAATAGCCCGTATAGCCAAGACAATCCTAAGCAAAAAGAACAAAGCTGGAGGCAGCACACTACCTGACTTCAAACTATACTATAAGGATACAGTAACCAAAACAGCATGGTACTGGTACCAAACCTGATATATCTATATCTATATCTATATCTATATATCTATATCTATATCTATATCTATATCTATATCTATATCTATATATCTATATCTATATATCTATATCTATATCTATACCAATGGAACAGAACAGAGACCTCAGAAATAACACCACATATCTACAACCAGCTGATCTTCAACAAACCTGACAAAAACAAGCAATGGGGAAAGGATTCCCTATTTAATAAATGGTGCTGGGAAAACTGGCTGGCCATATGCAGAAAACTGAAACAGGACCCCTTCCTTACACCTTATACAAAAATTAAGATAGATTTAAGACTTAAATGTAAAACCCAAAACCATAAAAACTCTAGAAGAAAACCTAGGCAATACCATTCAGGACATAAGCATAGGCAAAGACTTCATGACTAAAACACCAACAGCAATGGCAACAGAAGCCAAAATTGACAAATGGGATCTAATTAAACTAAAGAGCTTCTGCAGAGCAAAAGAAAACTATCACCAGAGTGAACAGGCAACCCTACAGAATGAGAGAACAATTTTGCCATCTACTTATCTGACAAAGGTCTAATATCCAGAATCTACAACGAACTTAAAAAAATTTACAAGAGTAAACAACCCCATCAAAAAGTGGGCAAAGGATATGAACAGACACTTCTCAAAAGAAGACATTTATGCAGCCAACAAATATATGAAGAAAAGCTCATCATCACTGATCATTAGAGAAATGCAAATCAAAACCACAATGAGATACCATCTCACATCAGTCAGAATGGTGATTAATAAAAAGTCAGGAAACAATAGATGCTGGCGAGGCTGTGGAGAAATAGGAATGCTTTTACACTATTGTTGGGAGTGTAAATTACTTCAAGCTTTGTGGAAGACAGTGTGGCGATTCCTCAAGGATCTAGTACCAGAAATACCATTTGACCCCGTAATTCCATTATTGGGTATATACCCAAAAGATTATAAATCATTGTACTATAAATCATTGTACTATAAATCATTGTACTATAAAGACACATGCACATGTATGTTTATTGCATCACTATTTACAATAGCAATGACTTGGAACCAACCCAAATGTCCATCAGTGATAGACTGGATAAAGAAAATGTTGCACATATTCAACATGGAATACTATGCAGCCATAAAAAGAATGAGATCATGTCTTCTGCAGGGACATGGATGAAGCTGGAAGCCCTCATTCTCAGCAAACTAACACAGGAACAGAAAGCCAAACACCACATCTTCTTACTCATAAGTAGGAGTTGAACAATGAGAACACATATACACAGGGAGGGGAGCAACACACACCGGGGCCTGTCGAGGGGTGGGGGGCAAGTAGAGGGAGAGCATTAGGACAAATACCTAATGCACAACAGGATTAAAACGTAGATGATGGGTTGATAGGTGTAACAAACCACCATGGCACATGTATCCCCCTAGGTAACAAACCTGCACATTCTGAACATGTATCCTGGAACTTAAAGTGAAAAAAAAAAAAAAAAAAGAAAGAAAGAAAGAAAAAAAACCATTAAAAATGTATAAAAATAGAATAATATAATGAATTCCCATATATCCATCACCCAGATTTAACACTTAACAATTTTGCCATTTTAATCTCAGGTTACTTTTTATTTTATTTTATTTATTTATTTATTTATTTTGAGACAGAGTCTCACTCTGTCGCCCAGGCTGGAGTGCAGTGGTGCAATCTTTGCTCACTGCAACCTCCACCTCCCAGGTTCAAGTGATTCTCCTGCCTCAGCCTCCTGAGTAGCTGGACTATAGGCGCATGCCACCACGCCCAGATAATTTTTTGTATTTTTAGTAGAGATGGGTTTTCACCATGTTAGCCAGGATGGTCACGATCTCTTGACCTCGTGATCCACTCACCTCAGCCTCCCAAAGTGCTGGGATTACAGGCGTGAGCCACCACACCCGGCTGGTTTACATTTTTAATATAATAAAGAGCTGGCTATTTACAGGAATCTCTTACTAAAGGTTTTTAGAAATGAAAAGGTTCTTCTCCTTCTTCCCTATCACCTCTCTACATGTCCCCATTCTATTCATCCTCAGAGTGTAGCTCCACTGACACATCTTGCAGAAAGTCCTCCCTGAGAGCCTTTCCCCACCCCCTCAATAACTATAAAGTCTCCACTTCCTTTGAATTTGCACAATCCATCTTTATACTACTCATATAGCTCTGTGCATTTTCCAGTGATGGGTGTTCTTGTTTCAGCCCCTCTGTTAAGTTGACCCACTCACTTCTGTTTCTATGATAGCCCAACCTAAGGCATTATCTCTTTCCAAGTATCTTGTAACCTGTAGCAAGTGTATTAGTTTGCTAGGGCTGCTGTAACAAAGTACTGCAAATTGAATCTGGGTGGGTTAAACAGCAGAAATTTATCATCTCCCAGTTCTGGAGGCTAAAAGTCAGAAATCAAGGTGTTGGCAGGGTTGGTTCCTTCTGAGAGTTGTGAGGTGGAATCTGTTCCAGGCTTCTCTCCTACCTTCTATTACCTTCAGAGGTTCCTTGGCTTGTAGATGGCATTCTCCCTGTGTGTTTACATTGTCTCCCTTCTGTAGGTGCCTGTGTCTAAATTTCCCTCTTTTATAAGGACACTAGGCATATTGGATTAGGGGCCCACCATAATAACCTTATTTTAACTTGACCACTTCTGTAAAAACCTTATTTCCAACTAAAGTTACATTCTGAGGTACCAGGGGTTAGGACTTCAACATGTCTTTTCTAGAGATACAAGTCAACCTGTAAGAGTGGGCATCCAGGCTGGGCGCAGTGGTTCAGCCTGTAATCCCAGCACTTTGGGAGGCTGAGGTGGGCAGATCATGAGGTCAGGAGACTGAGATCATCCTGGCTAACACAGTGAAACCCCGTCTCTACTAAAAACACAAAAAATTAGCCGGGTGTAGTGTCACGTACCTGTAGTCCCAGCTACTCAGGAGGCTGAGGCAGGAGAATTGCTTGAACCCAGGAGGCAGAGGTTGCAGTGAGCTGAGATTGTGGCACTGCACTCCAGGCTGGGTGAAAGAGTGAGACTCCGTCTCAAAAAAAAAAAAAAAAGAAAAAAGAGTGGGCATCCATTACTGTTAGTCACATGACTTCATGGATGCAAAAAAGTCTTCTCCTTTGGAGTTACATCCTGAAGTAGTTGCTAGTGAAAATCTAAAATCACTCTCCTGTCCAAAATCTCCCTTCCAAGTTTCCTCAGACTAGCACACTTCTGTATGTTCCCTTTCTAGAAAAGGGGGTCAAACTACAGTGACATGATGACACATTTCTGTTTTCTCTTTTACTTTCTAATTTTGCAATCCTTTAAGCCAAAGCTGTTTAGAGAGACTATATAAAGCATAAACTTTTTGTTTGTGTTATATAACCCCAAAGAAAATATGATAGTGTATCAGTGATCAAAGGATTTTGTTTTATCCAACACATAAACACCTTTCCCATTTTCTCTTTGGGAACCCATTCACTCATTTACTCACTAATTTAACCAATAACTATTGAGCATTTACTATATTCCAAGTTCTAGGTTGGCACTGCAAGTACATTTATGAATAGACACCATTATTACCTTCATGGGGCTGAGTTACAATTGGAGGGGCATGCAATTTCTCAAGCCCAATCTACCTCTCAGAAGTTGGCTCCTTCTCCAGAGTTCCCTTCTGCTGATCTGGCCAGATTTCACAGCATAATTATCAGGCTATCAACATTTGATATTGCCAATGACTTTCAGTCACTAATATCCCGTCTCCCCTCTCTAAAAAAGTGGCTTTCAAACACTCCTTTCTTTAGGGTCTTGGCCATTTCCTCACTCTTCTTCCAAGGTATTGGATAGTCATCATACTTATCATTTTCTTTCAAACTAGAGTTCAACTTTCCCTTGAGAGTTTTCTTTAGATTGTTCCTGAACTATTCACTTGCTCTTTAGACCAGTGGCTTTCCAATTTTAGTAGTAGGCAAAACATTTTAGTGGTTAGTCTGACAACCCAGGCAAGAGATTAGAGTAGCACAGACTTAAATGTTGGTGACAGAGAACTGGAGAGTAAGTGGTTTATAGAAGTAGTTCACCAACTTTAGTATGTATAAGAATTACTCAGGGAGCAGATTTAACGTGCATATTTTCGGGTTTCACCCTGAGCATTTCTTTTTCAGTAGGAAGACAGTAGTCCCAGGACCATACTTTGAGAAACACTGAACTAGAGCACAGGGTGCTTGTAGGGAATGCACATTAAGGCCAGGGAGGACAGGGCCAAGTTACTGGGGGCCTTCAATACCAGAGGTAGTAATCAGGGCCTTGGGCTTTCTGTGCTAAGAGATTAATGGAAAGGCAAGGGAGGCTGGATAGCCCAGGGTAGAAGCATAATAAGAACTTTGGTCTGGTGGGAGCATTTACCTCATCAAAGAGGAGAGGAGGAACGAACCTGGGGTTGGGGAGACCAGCAAGGGCACTGGTGCAAGAGCCCCAGGGAAGGTGTGGTGATGAATGAGGGGCTAACCCGGGATACTCTCCATCCAAATGCATTCCTACTGGGTGCACATGGACAGAGTGGAGAGAGTCACTTCCAAAAACTGAGTCCAGGAAGGAGGAAAAGAAGTTGCTCTTTCCCTTCATGGCATGTGGAATTTTGCTGATGATTTATTGGAATTCTTCCCAAAGCTGGAATGACCCAAATAACTCACTGAAGCCATGCGGAAGGGGTCTGATACTGGAGTTGGCTTTAAGAAGTCAACTCTGCAGAGAGTACATGGAGGTAATTTGTAGGGGTTGGAAAGACAGATAAAGACATTTTCCAAAATTTTATACTGGGAGCAGAATGTATCAGTGCTGAACAGGCTCACAAAACTGGTATAGATCATTCTTCTCATTTTACAGATGTAGAGACTGAGATTAGGAGTGGAGAAGTAGTTCATCTGAGGTTGGAAGGAAAAATGTAGAAATCCAGACAGAAATAATATCCTCTTTCAATCTTTACCTTTAGGCAGGATAGTGAATCCTCAAGCCTCAGCTCCTGGGCTGACATAATGGCTCAATGTAAGAGAACAGGAGAAAAGATTAGTGCATCTGTTTATTTCCAGAAAGCTATGGAAATTCTGGCTGTGAATAAAAATATGCAGGGGTTTTGGACCCTTTGTAGACCAATCATGGAACTGGTTTTTAAAAACAATATTTTAACATGCAAGTTACTACCTCTCTGCAGCATATTTTTGTCTTCTTTTACACTACTGTCTAGAACATGTTCTAAAAGACAGTCATGCAAACCTTATCTTATGTTGGCCACCTTGTCAAGCACAGAAGGAGCAGGAAAACATTGGGCCAAACACTGACCAAACATTTGCCTTGTGGGTACTGTGATCAGCTCTCTACTGTTATCAGGAATCAGAGCAAACACTTGCATTAAGTCAATTGTTGAAAAGCAAAGAAACACTTCTATGGATATCAGGTGCATCTTTTGGGACTTGAACATCTCTCAGGTGGGCCACCTGCACAAAGTTGAAGATGATCCTGCACCATGTTACCTCTGGGAAAATGTATTCCCTATAACCGGCAAGGGGTTAGTCGTATCACTTGATAATTACAGTGAACTTCATCAATAAATGTTTAATACATGTATTTTACAGCATGTGTATTGTCCAACCACTACACTTGAGAGGATGGTTACAGGACTCACAACATGTAGTACGAGGGCAACATCGGAAGCCTCCAGAAAACAGATTTGGGCTCAATATAAGGAACAACTTGCTAACTTTTAGATTTGTCAAATAAGTAGGATAATTGTCCTCAGGATTAGTGAGTTCCTTTCCTCTGGATGTGGTGAGCCAGAGGTTGGCCATGCCTTGGTGGGAATGTGGCAGTGATGTCCCTCAGGCATCAGAGGGGTGTAGCTACTGTGGAATTCCCTGAAGGTCCTTTCCAGTCTTGCAATTATATCAATCCATGAACTGGTGACAGATCACCTAAATGCTCCTAACCTTGAGAGCCTTAAAACTGTTCTCTCACTTCTCATCTTCATGATACACTTCTAAACTTAGTAAATCCTACAGAATATTAAGGAGTGACTCAGAATCTTAACTTCCACCCAAAGATCAATTATACATGTCTGATTTCTTGAGGTGAAAGAAGGAAGTCTACTCCCATGAAAGGAACTATTTACAAATAAAATATGGCTCTTGAAAACTTGAAAATAAATTATTGAGAATTCACTTTATCTCAAACTTACCTTGTCAAGTTTGAACACCTTGCCTACAGAATTTGATAAAATCTGCCTGCCCCACAAGTGTACAACTGATAAGCTGTAATACATTTGAGCACTGAATTTTTCAGGAACATATCTCCCCTCATTTCCAATCCCTTAAGGCCATCACGTTTGGCAAGCACATTGAAGACTGAGTATAAAGTTTGTTTTTTATTAAATAGAACATTGTTGGCATTTTCTTCCAAGATAAAATGGCTACATAACTAGATATGTCAACTAACAAAGATGGAGATAACAGAACACAGGGTGATATGTTTTGGGTCTGTGTCCCCACCCAAATCTCATGTTGAATTGTAATCCCTAGTGTTGGATGTGGAGCCTGGTGGGAGGTGATTGAATTATGGGAGTGGTTTCTAATGATTTAGCACCATCTCCCTAGTGCCGTCTTGTGATAGAGTTCTCAGGAGATCTGGTTGTTTAAAAGTGTGTGGCACCTTCCCCTTCACTCTCTCTCTCCCGTTCTGCCATGTGAGGAAGGTGCTTGCTTACACTTTGCCTTCTGCTGTGACTGTAAGTTTCCTGAGGCCTACCCAACCATGCTTCCTGTATAGCGTTTGGAACTGTGAGTCAATTAAACCTCTTTTCATAAATTACTCAGTTTCAGGTATGTCTTTATAGCAGTGTGAGAACGAACTAACACATGGGGGAAAACTACAGAAAGACAGGCAGCACAGGCAGGGCTCTGAAAGTAACATTTCATCAACACTTTGACTCCCAATAATTTCTTTGCTGCCACTTGCATTTATGACCACTGTGATGTTGACAAAAGACATATAGGACTTGCAGCAAAGATGGGACAATGGAGGTTGAATATACAGTAGTAGTGCATAAAGATAACATGCATAAATTAAAATCAAAACAGGAAAGTGACGTAGCATTAGTGGAACTTAGCCACTGTAATAGTTTCCTGCTGATGCTGTAATAAGTTTCTACAAATTTGGTGGCTTAAAACAACAGAAATTTATTATCTTAAAGTTCTGGAGGTCACAAATCTGAACTGGGTCTCGTGGTCTCGTTGGGCTAACGTCAAGGCAGGACTGTGTTCCCTTTGGAGGCTCTATGGGAGAATCTGTTTCCATACATTTTTCAGCATCCCGAGACTGCCCACATTCCTTAGCTTGTGGTCCCTTCCTCTATCTCCAAAGCCAGCAATGGCCTGTTGAGTCCTTCTCTCATGGCACGGCTCTGACCCTGATTGCTCTCCTGCCTCCTGCTTTCATTTTTAAGGACCCTTGCAATGCTATTGGACCCACCTCAGTAATTCAAGATGATCTCATCTCAAGGTCATCTGATTAGCAACCTTAATTCTATCTGCTACCTTAATTCCCATTTGCTGTGTAAACTCACATATTCCCAGCTTCCAGGGATTAGGACACAGATATCTTTGGGAGGCCATTCTCCTGCCCACCACAGCCACTAACAGAAGAGAGAGGAAAGGGGTGTTATTTTACTTCAGAACTAAGGTGCAATGTCAGAATTAACAGGCTCTGGCAGTTGTGTAGCAGCATGAGCTCTCCTTCAAAGGAGGGAGCTGCCTGCAGAGGCTAGCAATGTAACCTCCATGATATATTTCTGTTTCTTTCTTCTTTTTTTTGGAGATGGAGCCTTGCTCTCTCGTCTAGGCTGGAGTGCAGTGGTGCGATCTCGGCTCACTGCAACCTCTGCCTCCCAGGTTCAAGCAATTCTCCTGCCTTAGCCTCCCAAATAGCTGGGACTACAGGCACACACCACCACGCCTGGCTAATTTTTTTATATTTTAGTAGAGACGGATTCACCGTGTTGCTCAGGCTGGTCTCAAACTCCTGAGCTCAGGCGATCCACCTGCCTTGGCCTTTCAAAGTGCTGGGATAACAGGCATGAGCCACTGTGCCCGGTCGTTTCTCTTTCTTTATCCTTCATCAGCCCAGTCAAACAACACTCACATTTGAATACCTACCGGTTCCAAGATATTGTGGCGAGTACTATATGGAATAGCCTGGTAGACTGAAAGTACCCTACATTTAAAAAACATTTTTTTTTTTTTTGAGACGCAGTTTTGCTCGTATTGCCCAGGCTGGAGTGCAACAGCATGATCTTGGCTCACCACAACCTCTGCCTCTGGGGTTCAAGTGATTCTCCTGCCTCAACCTCCCAAGTAGCTGGGATTACAGGCATGCGCCACCATGCCTGGCTAATTTTGTATTTTTAGTAGAGATGGGGTTTCTCCATGTCGGTCAGGCTGGTCTTGAACTCCCGACCTCAGGTGATCCGCCCGCCTTGGCCTCCCAAAGTGCTGGGATTACAGGTGTGAGCCACTGCACCCGGCCTAAAAATCTTTTCTTGTGGAAAATTCCCAACATGTACAGTAGAGAGACCATAATGACTATGCATTTATACATCATCCAGCCTCAACAATCATCCATGTGTGCCAAGCTTGCTTCCTCTCCACTACCAACTCCCTTTTTGTCCCCTTTTCCTTGCCCTGGATTGTTTGAGGCCAACCCCAGGCTTCCAATCATTTCATCTGACAATCTTTTAGTTCACATATTTAGCAGGTAAGACTCTGCCTGAGATTTAGTGAGGCCTGGCATTGCCATTAACTAGTTGTACAATATTGGACAAGAAGAGCCCCCTTGGAGCCTCAATTTCCCTTTTCTGTAAAATGAGAGGTTTGTATTATGTGAGTCTGAAATTTTTTTGAGTCTGAAATTTCTACCAGTTCTTGCTTCTGAGAGTCCAGGGTTATTGTTTTTCCTGTTTTCAGGTTTATATTATAATTTCATTATTAAATATATCTCTTATTGAAGAAATATCTTTCTATATAAGAAAAAAAAGCAGTTTCATGCCCTGTGGCACATATATAATGTTACACAATGGAATGGATCTTCTCCCTCAGTTCTAAAGTATCTTATAGGAAGAAAATCTGAAAACAGTAAGTCATAGAGAATAGTAGTAGCCAAATTCTGTGAACTCTGACTCTCTGAAATCAAGTGACATATAATTTCTGTGGTGGAATAGAGTCAAAACTTTAAAGAAAAATATTTGTTATTTAATTTGTTTAAATTAATCATTTTTGAGATAGAATGGAGCAAGGTAAAGACTTGTTGGAGCAAGCTCTAATTGTCTGGATGACAACTCACTTAATCCCTAATCCAACAACTTCCACTTTCCATAACATAGTCAAGAAAAAACAAGGAAGAAAAACAAAAATACTTAACGATCTCCACCTCTTTTTTTGTTTGTTTGTTTGAGACGGAGTTTCACTCTTGTTGCCTGGGCTGGAGTGCAATGGCTGGATCTCAGCTCACCGTAACCTCTGCCTCCCGGTTCAAGCTATTCTCCTGCCTCAGCTTCCTAAGTAGCTGGGATTACAGACATGGGCAACCCGCCCAGCTGATTTTGTATTTTTAGAGAGACAGGGTTTCTCCATGTTGGTCAGGCTGGCCTCGAACTCCCGACCTCAAATGATCTGCCCGGCTCGGCCTCCCAAAGTGCTGGGATTACAAGTGTGAGCCACCACGCCCAGCCTGACAATCTCCACCTCTTTAAATCAAATATCTCAGTAATAAAAAATGAATGCTGCATAATTCATGCACCAAGATGCAGGTACTTCCCTTTCAGGAGCGCCTCAGAGGTCATGGCGCTGTTCTGTATACAGACAGCACCAGCAGGCTCAGCCTCTCAGGCTGTGAGACCAAGCCAAAGCTAAGGACAGTCTGCTTGGGGACCTTTTGGACAGTCTGCTTGGGGACCATTCAGAAACCTACCTTGGAGGCTGCATGGCGGGGCCCATAATGCCAGCTATGATGAGTCTGACAGAAAAGCAAGCTAATTACACACACACACACACATACACACACATACATACAGAAAGAGAGAGAAAAAGAGAGACACAGAGAGAAACCTCTTGGTTTTAGCTTGGTTACTACTATAGAATAGTGGTTCCCTTAGTCAGTGGGACCACGACAAAGTGCTCATCTGCATGTTCACTATGAAAAGTTTTGGTTAATCAGAGAAGAATCTTTCTCTCCGTGGGTCTATATATGAGAGGAAGCTCCAAGAATCAGGATTCTTGCAAATGAAAGTATCAGTGAGAAATGAAAGTTAGGGGTAATCTAGAGCCAGGGACACACAGCTGAAGAGCAGATCTCAATGCAAGAACTGATTTATGGGCCCACCACATCCGGCAGATGCCATAGTCTGAATCTACTCTAGGTTGCTTGGTCAAATATTTTGGTCCCCTCACTGGCCTCCAGCATCCAACCCAAAGCAAAGGGCCTGAGAGGTTGAGTACCCTCATGAGCTCTTCCAGACAAGACTGGGGGCAAATCACTAAAGTTAGAATCAGACACCTGCCTTCTGTGAATTCCATTGTTGCTCTGCTCTTTCATTTGGTCTGCATTATTTTCTTTAAGTTACCTAGTTAGCATCTTTCTCTGAAAAATCCCATACTTCCTTCAACGGACCCTCAGTCAGGATGGAGAGCAAGGGAAACCAGCACATTGCTGAGGCACTGGCAGTGGATTGGATCATTCCTCAGTCCAAATCCAAGGGCCTTCCAGACAGACATGAAGGAATTCTGGCTTGGCGCTTTTAGGTCAGCGACTAGACCCATGAGGTAGAATAGGGGTTTTGAACATGAAAACCTATGGGGTGAGGCAAGGGCAGAGTAGAAGCAAGTCAGTTTAAAGACAGCCCTGTGTGCCAGATTAAGAAACTTATATATCATTCTATAGGCAATGGGGGAGCTTTCAAAAGTGACCCTTGGGAAGTAGCTCAAGCAGGATGCACCTGGTGGATGAAGAGAGGGGCTGAGAATGGAGAAGAGCCATCCAGTTAGGAGGCCACTGCAGCAGGCCAGCCATGAGTGCCCTAATAAAGAGTGCCAAGACTCTGCTTATTCAAATAAACCCCTATCGTTCCTGGAGAATTCTTCGTAAGTCCACTTGGGAAGTGACACTGGAGTGTAACTTTGAAGCTTAGAGAAAGAACCTATTTGGACTGACAACTACAAATTTGAGGGATTTTTTTACCTAATCCACATAGGAAATATCAGACCAAGATACTGATGAATCATTTGCTTTTATAGGATATTAGTTACTGGAAAACACAGAACAAGAATGGGAATGCCTTGATAAGATGCTAACAGTGCAACCACCCACCTGCCTCATTCCCCTCCCCATCGCACAGCTCTTAAGGAATTCCAGAGTCTATTATCAGCAGGGTTTAAAGGCTAATGAAGAAACAATCTTTTTGTAAAGCAACAAAGGACAGAGTTTGAAAGCAGGTCCAGGGGAATGTAAGAGGAAACACTTGGTTCAGTGAAAGGCAAACTTTCCTATGGACGTGCATTTTTTTTTTTTCTAAATACCGTACGTTGCTTCGCAACCTCTAAAGCCTGTGCTTTCAATGCCTGTTCTGTGGGCAGCACTTTGCTAAATGCACCATGTGTGGTTAACACGGGCAGTTTAGGAGGGGAAAAAAAAAACTAAGAAAAATGAGACTCAAAGCAAGAGAGTTCAGGGCAGTTTTATTATGTGTTTTCTAGACTTCGAATGGAGGCTGAGGTTACTCTCAAATGAAACGTGCTATATTCCTTTGTTCAAAAACTGCTGGGCAAAGTAATTGTGGGAAGTGTTTGAGAAAATTGCTTTACAAAGGAAAAGTGGAGAGGGGACCCAAACCCAGACAGTCCTCCTCACAGTGTGATGTTCATGCCATTGAGAAAGAGGTATTCCATGGTGGTGACAAAGCAATGCCAATTAGGCAAATGGCAGGAAGCGAGAACTTGGAATCCTGCCTCTGATGCTTGTGAACCCTGTGGCCTTGGGTGAGTCACTTCATGTTTCTGAGCCTGTTTTCTCATATGTAAAATGTAGATACTAATCCCTGGCTTGTCTATAGTGCAGAATGATTGGTAGGTTCCAAAGATGTAACGTACGGGAATACACTCTGCACATGCTAAGATCTAGATAAATGTGAGCCATTATCTTTTTTCTCTTCTACTACACTGTGAGCATCTTACATCTTATTATTTTCTTTAAACTGTCGACACTGCGAGAGTGTCTGATGTTTATTTTGTCATTTCACAAGCATTTAATTAGGTCCCTGCACTCAATAAATACAAAATCAAGTGGGAGAGAAATTATAATGCCTTGTTTATATATCTATCTTAGGCACTTTATAAATGCTTATTAAATGAGTGAACAGAAGGTAGTATCTTCTCTTTAGAACCATTAACCTGGGGCTATGAAACTTGGAAGCCCTACTGCCCTCCTCAGTGCCTCCCCTCATTCCTTAACACATCCGGCCTCTTTCTTACAGTCTTCCTTTCCAACCCAAACATTGCTCTCATCTTGAATGACCTTGGCATCTATGAGAATGAATCCCCCAGCACCTTGGTGTCAGCTTCCTGACCTCATCTCCAGTGCTCTCATATACTCCATCACAGCCATGGTGACTCTGGAAGTTATCACTTATACCTGCTGTACTTTTGAAATCACAAATTCATATGGCTTATGTACTACCTGATCTCCTCAACTTCCAGCTTGCTAATGTATTTATTCTCAGTTTATCAGTTATTCAACTATATCAGTACTTTAAAGCAATGATCCTTCAGTTTTCCTATCCATTGGTATCCTCCTGTCTTCCCTTCCCTCCCTCCCCAGCTTAGACCCCACATGGTCCATCACTTCATCCAGTACTGTTCTTAGTCTGCGGCAAGAAGAACCCTGCTCTGGCCTCATGTTTCAAGAAGCACCATGCTTTGGAGAGCCCTCAAAACATTTTCTGAGTCCCCCTTGTCCCATGCCTTGGACTACTCAAGGACAGCAGTGCTGGCCAGGCAGAGCACCTTGAGCCTGAACCAAGACCCTCATGGACCTCCATCCCCACGTCTTCCCTTCCACAGAACTCTCAGACCCTATATCCCACATGTGGGGTTGATCAGATGCCACAAGGAGCTCTGGACATCTACACCTATAGGGTTGTCCCAAGACTTAATGGCTGCGCCATGGTTCCAGGTGGTAGGCCCGGTGAGAAGATACCTCTGTTGACTGGTGCAATATTTCCTTGGTAGCATAGGGGAAAAGTAGGCTGCCAGAATAGAGATGACATGCTGATTTGGTGTGATTCTTACTCACAATGGCTCCTAATCATTCACCAGTAACCCCTGGGCTTGTGCCACATATGCACATCAGACCGTGGTCCCACTTTCTGTCTACAGCACTCAATGGTTGGGGGAGGTGGTGGCAGGTATTATTTAACCTGTGTGCCTCCTCCACCCCCACTTACCACTACTGGCACCCAGGGTGTTATTCCACCTCCTCTGCAGGCTTCATGCCACTTGTCAAGCTGTCTTCTGGAGGTTACCTGTCTCCTCTGAGAGCTTTTGAGATCATTGGTTTTCATCACCAACAGAGCTCTCTGATTAATATCTTCTCTTGCCTGTGATCAATATGGTGATGCCATGCTCTCCAAAGTTGATCTTATTCCCTGCCAGAAGATGGACAGACATTCCTTACATGAATGGTACCCCTCTTCTCACTCCACTAATGGGCCCCTAGTCCATCCTCCCTGCTGGTGGTGGTGTGTAGAATGTAAGGGTCCAGTCAACATAGAAAGAGATGGATGTGATTATGGCCTATGGGGTTCAAGAGAGAACATGTTTGGAAGATGTGTCATTCTACATGTGTGCTATAAAGTGCCAAATGGTATACTGAACATGACCATAAAATGATATATTGTTCACATTTTCCTGCACACTCTGGAGAAGGTGTGCCTTTGTGCTCATCAGTGAAGCACAGTAACAACGTCTGAGAGTCCACAGGGAGCTGATATTCACAGGCAGCCTGGTGGATAATGGCAGTGTCATGGGTCTTGGTGTAGCCTGAATGAACTTAAGGGTATCAGGGGCCTGTAGAGGCAAGAAGATCTAGACTGTTTCAGTACAAGTAGGTGCTCAAGAGCCATGGCACACTGAGCAACAACAGTGATGCTCTCTTTTCTTCTCAGTGGGAGATATCACCTTAGTCATGTGTGGTGCATTAGACAATTAGGAACATAAAGACATGCTTGCTGAGCCCAGGCAAGAAGATGTGGAACCTGAACCCTATAGGGAAACTTCACAAGCACTAATGGCACAGTAAACAAACAGCTAAGTACCTCCTCTGCCCTTATTATGCTAAATCTTCATCAACAAATCACTATAGCTCATTTGAGCCCATGAATTTTACAATACATGTTTTCACTAAATTGTTCGTATAGCGAAGAGCCCACAAAAATATTTGTGTAGCGCTCTGCACACCCTAGTGGCAGCCCTGAATTCACCTACTTTTTTTACCAACTTTCTCAGCTCCCTCACTCCATTACTGATCTGTTGCAGTACACTGAAAAATTCTAGACTTAGGTGAACCCAACCTAAGTTTTCTCTGGGCTTGCCTTTAAGCCGATGAGTGATACTGGGGAAAAAACCCACATCATACACAGATGGGTACTGGTATATATTCACCAACCTCAACCAGGACTGTTCTTCTAATGTCCTTTGCTCTTCCATTCTTTATAATTATCTCTTTAAACATTCAGTTTTTTGAGCTGGGTGTGGTGGTACATGGCTGTAGTCCCAGCTACTTGGGAGGCTGAGCCAGGAGAATCACTTGAGCCCAGGAGTTCAAATGCAGCCAGGGCAACATAGTGAGACCCTGTCTCTAGAAACAAAACAAAAAGTTCATCTTTTGCAAGCCTTCAACCACTCCCCGCTATTTCCTCTTTAGATTACCTGGCATCTTACTTCACAGAGAAAATAGATGCCACCAGGTGGGAATTTCCTCAATTTCCAGCCCCTAAGCCTACAAGCATGTGTACCCATCTCCTTCAGTCCACTTATAACAGAAGAAATTTCCTTCCTTCTGTCTAATCCAATCCTGGGACATATTCCCTGGATCCCAGTCCTCAAGAACTCACTCATTGAATCATCTTTGCACTCTTGTATTTTCTCTTCTTTCTACCAGATTTTTCCAAACAGCATTTAAACATGCTCAAGTCTCTCCTGTCTTACAGAAACAACCACTCTCCTTAATTTCACACACACTTTTAGCTACTACCCAAGCTCTCTCTTCCCCTTTCACAAACTTCTCAAAAAAGTTATATACAGTCATCTTCTCTACTACCTCAATTCCAGTTCCTCAGTCCTGTACAATCCCATGCAGTTGTTTTAGACAAGTCACCAATGACCTCCATAATTATTAACTTGAAAGGACACTTTCATGCCTATTTCTTCTCAAAAATAGTGTCTTCTCAAGACACTATTGCTTTGGCTCCTGTAAGAAGAGTGAGAAGAAGAGTGAGAGGGTGCTTGATGCATGAAGAACAGTAACATTTTTGGGAGGTCATGGGAGAAGGGCAAAGGGGCTCATGTATCTGGCAAGATGAGGAGCTGCGAGGTGAGATAAGGCTGGGCTACCATAAGGGACCAGGAGGGAAGATGGGGAGAAGAGGAGACTGAGTCAGGGGAGAAGAGATGAGTATAGCTGTCCCAGTGGAGGGAGACAGGCCAAGCCTGCTCAGACTGGCCTTCGAGACAGCTCCTAGCAAGGGCCTGGCTGAGGTTTGGGCAGGAGCCATCACTGCTCCAGAACTAATTTCCTTCTGGATGGCATCTTAATTGCCACAGCAGCAATGGGAGCTTTAGGGAGTAGAGTACAATCTGGACTTAATATGAAGACTAGGGACATGGATACTGTTTTCATTAGTTCTTCAAGCTTAAAGGAAGAGAGAGTCACATGTGGAAATGTATTTGGTGTTGGGAAAGAGTAGATTTTCTATATCTCTGACTATGGCTAGATATTTGAATATTTCAAGATAACTCCATTCTCCTCCATGGCAGTTTATTCAAGTGCTGATAAATTAGTGCTGTTCAATTACTTGTTGACTGTCGTTTTCCCCCGATAGAATGGAGTTGCATGAAGGGGAGGGACCTTATTAGTTTTCTCCTTGTCATATTTGCTGTACTTGCAACAGTGTACACACTGGGCAGGGCTTCTATAAATGCTAAGTCAAAGAATGGATGCCCAGAATCATAAAAAAATTGAGAGTAAAAAAATGGAAGGAAGTAGAGATGGAACGCTCAGATTATCTTATGAATATAGACACGTCAGAAGACATGGAATGTGGCACAGAAAAGGAAAGACAATTATAAAGATGCCCAATAATTCTTAGGGGAAAATGATTTAAAAGGCAGTAAAGAACAAAACATGTAGTCTCAGATGTCAGTATACTAATGGAGCATGGGGCATAAACAGGGTGGCATGAATATTTATTTATTTGTAATTAAAAATTAAAAGAAAACTTTGTGGGTACATAGTAGGTGTATATATTTATGGGGTATGCATGGGTATTTAAATACAATCTCATAATTGTCAAAAATATTTGCAGGGGCTGAAGCAACTTTGAAAATGTATACTTTGGCCTAAAGGAGTAGCTCTTGTAGACAAAGAGGCAGGATAGCATTTCAAGCAAGCAAGCTGGGTGTGGTGGCTTGTACCTGCAATCCCAAGTATTTAAGAGGCTGAAGTGGGAAGAAAACTTGAGCCCAAAAGTTCAAGACCAGCCTGGGCAACATAGTGAGACTCTATCTCTAAAAAGAAAATAAAACAAAATAAATTAGCTGTAAGTGGTGGAACATGCCTGAGATCCCAGCTACTCAGGAGGCTAAGGTGAGAAGATTGCTTGAGCCCAGGAATTTGAGACTGCAGTGACCTATGATTACACCACTGCACTCCAGTTTGGGTGACAGAGACAGACTCCATCTCTAAATAAAATAAAATAAAGCAAGCAATTAACTAGGGCCCTAATGCTAAAGCTCAATGAAAAGCCAATGAGCAGAAACAAAAGCCGACAGTGCCTTGCACATGCTGCCTCAGTCAATGTTTACTTCATTAATGGAAGAGTAAATAAGTGATGAAATCCTCTTGTGGGAGAAAAGCCTCAAACACCTAGCCTGCTGGAAAAGTTGGAGATGGTAGTCATTATGTGTATTTCAAAACAGACCCACAGGCAAGGTACACATATTTGATCCAATTGATTGCTTCTTTCTTATTCCATCCAAATTCCTCCCCACACCTGCTCTACCTACCCTCCTATCTTTCTGGAACTGAAGAGAGACCCTACTCAGTTCTTGTGCTAGATAATTCCAGAAGGTCCAACTTCTGGAAAATTTTAATGTTCCTCACAATACTCAAGAAATATGAACAAAACAACCCTCATAGAATTGCTGAGCTGGAAGAAATTAGAGTTAACCAAGTACTTAGAATAGTGTCTAGCCCATAATTGCTATCCAATTAAATGTCCACTGAATTGAATCTAATCAACCCCACACACAACCCCTTCACGCACCCCTACACTGCTTTACAGATAAAGAAATCAAGACCTAGAGAAATGGAGGATGCATGTCTGAGCCACATGTTGGAAGAACTGGGACCAGAATTCCAGGTTCCAAACTCCTGAGTTAATACTTTTCAGCATTTCTACATCATTGCTTTTGGCAATTGCTGGACTCTATTCACTCTGGCTTCTGCTCCCCAAAGGTAAGTTCTAAAAAGCTCTCTCGCTTGTCACTCATTTCTTTTTTACTCCCCACCTACTACCCATGCCAAATTTTAATAGATTCTCCTTAGCCATATGATCTGTTACTTGCACTCCTTCCCTCTCTGCTCCAACATATTTGCTTCTTAATAAAGAGGCCGGCTGGGTGTGATGGCTCATGCCTGTAATCCTAGCACTTTGGGAGGCTGAGGCAGGAGGATCACTTGAGCCCAGGAGTTGAAGACTGACCTGGGCAACATAGTAAGACTCTGTCTCTACAAAAAATAAAAAATTAGCTGGGCATAGTGGCATGTGCCTGTAGTCCCAGCTACTGGGGAGGCTAAGGTGAGAGAATCACTTGAGCCCAGGAGGCCAAGGCTGTGGTGAACAGTGATCATGCCATTGCATTCCAGCCTGGGCAACAGAGTGAGCCCCTGTCTCTAAATAAATAAATAAACAAATAAAAGAAGCTCAGTATCTTCAGTAGGAGTGATCAACCAAGTCGGAAAAAAAAGTCTTCAAGTTGGTGAAACTCTTTGTTAACGAAGGTGAGCAGGCTCTACAATCAATAGTAGCATTTAGTATTTAGCAAAGGAGTAGCTCTGGTAGACAAAGAGGCAGAATAGCATTTCTGTGAAAAGAAATGCCATTCTCAGGGCAATCAGGCAGGAGAAGGAAATAAAGGGTATTCAGTTAGGAAAAGAGGAAGTCAAATTGTCCCTGTTTGCAGATGACATGATTGTATATCTAGAAAACCCCATTGTCTCAGCCCAAAATCTCTTTAAGCTGATAGGCAACTTCAGCAAAGTCTCAGGATACAAAAATCAATGTGCAAAAATCACAAGCATTCTTATACACAAATAACAGACAAACAGAGAGCCAAATCATGGGTGAACTCCCATTCACAATTGCTTCTAAGAGAATAAAATACCTAGGAATCCAACTTACAAGAGATATGAAGGACCTCTTCAAGGAGAACTACAAACCACTGCTCAATGAAATAAAAGAGGATACAAACAAATGGAAGAACATTCCATGCTCATGGGTAGGAAGAATCAATATCATGAAAATGGCCATACTGCCCAAGGTAATTTATAGATTCAATGCCATCCCCATCAAGCTACCAATGACTTTCTTCACAGAATTGGAAAAAACTACTTTAAAGTTCATATGGAACCAAAAAAGAGCCTGCATTGCCAAGTCAATCCTAAGCCAAAAGAACAAAGCTGGAGGCATCACGCTACCTGACTTCAAACTATACGACAAGGCTACCGTAACCAAAACAGCATGGTACTGGTACCAAAACAGAGATATAGACCAATGGAACAGAACAGAGGCCTCAGAAATAATGCCACATATCTACAACCATCTGATCTTTGACAAACCTGACAAAAACAAGAAATGGGGAAAGGATTCCCTATTTAATAAATGGTGCTGGGAAAACTGGCTAGCCATATGTAGAAAGCTGAAACTGGATCCCTTCCTTACATCTTATACAAAAATTAATTCAAGATGGATTAAAGACTTAAATGTTACACCTGAAGCCATAAAAACCCTAGAAGAAAACCTAGGCAATACCATTCAGGACACAGGCAAAAGCAAGGACTTCATGTCTAAAACACCAAAAGCAATGGCAGCAAAAGCCAAAATTGACAAATGAGATCTAATTAAACTAAAGAGCTTCTGCACAACAAAAGAAACTACCATCAGAGTGAACAGGCAATCTACAGAATGGGAGAAAATTTTTGCAGTCTACTCATCTGACAAAGGGCTAGTATCCAGAATCTACAGTGAACTCAAACAAATTTACAAGAAAAAAAACAAACAACCCCATCAAAAAGTGGGCAAAGGATATGAACAGACACTTCTCAAAAGAAGACATTTATACAGCCAACAGACACGTGAAAAAATGCTCATCATCACTAGCCATCAGAGAAATGCAAATCAAAACCACAATGAGATACCATCTCACACCAGTTAGAATGGTGATCATTAAAAAGTCAGGAAACAACAGGTGCTGGACAGGATGTGGAGAAATAGGAACACTTTTGCACTGTTGGTGGGACTGTAACCTAGTTCAACCATTGTGGAACTCAGTGTGGCGATTCCTCAGGGATCTAGAACTAGAAATACCATTTGACCCAGTCATCCCATTACTGGGTATATACCCAAAGGATTATAAATCATGCTGCTATAAAGACACATGCACAAGTATGTTTATTGCGGCACTATTCACAATAGCAAAGACTTGGAACCAAGCCAAATGTCCAACAATGATAGACTGGATTAAGAAAATATGGCACATATACACCATGGAATACTATGCAGCCATAAAAACTGATGAGTTCATGTCCTTTGTGGGGACATGGATAAAGCTGGAAACCATCATTCTCAGCAAACTATGGCAAGGACAAAAAACCAAACACCGCATGTTTTCACTCATAGGTGGGAATTGAACAATGAGAACACATGGACACAGGAAGGGGAACATCACACATCGAGGCCTGTTGTGGGGTGGGGGGAGTGGGGAGGGATAGCATTAGGAGATATACCTAATGTTAAATGATGAGTTAATGGGTGCAGCACACCAACATGGCACATGTATACACATGTAACTAACCTGTACGTTGTGCACATGTACACTAAAACTTAAAGTATAATAAAATAAAAAAATAAATAAATAGTGGAAAAAAAAAGAAATGCCATTCTGAGAAAAGTACTACAAGTCTTTGAATGATAGGCTCAAATGCTGGTCAGTTTCTATATTACAGTTTTTCTTCAGAGATACAGAAGTCCTCATTTTTCCTCATTCAAGAAAAGAGTATGTTAGAAATTTAATGTCAAAGATTTGAAGGGTTGGTTTAAAGTCCCTGGAAATACACCATGGCAAATTCTAAGTCGGGAAGATATTTAAATGTGAAAAATAAAACCATAGATATGTAGAAGAACATATAAGTGAATATTTTTACACTCTTGAAGGGCAGAAGGCATTTTTTTCTTAAAGACAAGAACTATAATGCAAGATATTGACAGATTCTGTTACACATAAATCCAAAACTTTTGCACAGCCCACTGAAACAACAAATTGCAAAAAATATTTTGCATCATACATGACGAAAGAGTTAATCATTTCAATGTAGAAAAGTTCTTAAAAATCTATAAGAAAAAGAAAAACGAGCAAAGAACATGAATGGAAAAGAGATCAAAAGTTAATAAAGATTTGAAAATATATTCAATCAAACTATTAATCAGAGAAATTTATTGTCCATTAGAATGGTGCAAACTTTCTGCAGGGTGATCTGGAGGAATGCATGAAGGATGCAAAGAGCTATCACAAGGAGAGCTTGTTTTTATCAAGGTTTTTGTTACAGTCTTGTTTACAAAAACAACATATTAGAAATAATTGAAATATTTGTCAGTGGAATTTAGTTAACTATACTATTGGTGTATCCACACCAATGAATATTACGGATGTGTTAAAAATGATAATGTAAATCTGTATTTACTGGCATTAAACGATGTCCTCAGCATATTACTGTGAGAAAATAAGGATACAAAAACAATATGCATAAAATAATCTTTCTTTTTCATTAAAAAATGTTTCTTTGTACACGATAAAGAAACCTACACCTGCACCTACATCAAAATTTTAGTTATGGGTTTTCTAGTGTGGGATTATATGTGATTTTCTTAATTCTCTTTATATTTTTGCATTATCTGGAATTTTTAATGATAATGTTTGCTCTAGTTTACTTAACAAACATTCTTATAGTAATTATATATGTCAGGTACTGTTCTAAGAACTTTATAAATATTAACTTATTTTCTTAAAACAGAAAAATATAAGTAATAAGGATTTGTGTGTGTGGGGTCGAGTGGAGGGGAGGGTCTTGGAAGCAAGAGGATGCTGGATAAAATGAGACTCATATAGAAGAAACCCACCAAGTTTCGACTCAAAGCTATCTCCTTTTAATGACACAACAGGGTCAGCAGGTCATGGGAGCCCCATTCCTTTGCCTTTCTCTGATTCCTTTTAATGATGGGACAACTAATTAGCCATTAAGGATTAGTCAAAGAGGGCTTAAGCAGAGGAGCCTGTTGAAGCTGAGAGAGAGGGGGCTTTCAGTTACACAGGCCTGGCTTTAATTCTGGGCTCCACTACTGTGTGATTTGGGGCAAGTTATTTCACTTTTCAGAATCTCAGTTTCCTCATCTGTAAGGTGGGGGAATAATTTTCATATCATAAGGCTGTATATCTTTTAAATTTGAGCTCCCTTATTTCCCCCTCTTCTTTAAGGAGCTAGGAAAGCTAGCCTCCATCTTCCCTAGATCATTCCAACACCCTCTGGCCTGGGCCAGCTGGACCCCAGAACTTTGCCTCCCTCTCTGAGTCCCTAGGGGCCAAAGTCTTATATTCATTTGATTGTTAGGCTAACCCCAGATCAAGCTGCGAGGCAACTTTGGCTTATCTTCTGGGATCTGGAATGATTGATCTTTGGTCTTGGAGTTCTGAATGTTTTGCATTTCAAGTGTTTCTTGTCCTTTCTGCTATACCTGCCTTAGAAGCACCATTAGTATGCAGAGTATTTGATTACCATATAGGTAGAGTCTGCTTGATAATTTATTCTCTGGCCAAAAACACCTATGAGGATGGATTCTTTTTGCAAATGACCAGCAAACTCCAAATATTTCTTTGTTCTCTTTCTCTAGCTCCAAACTTCTCAAGAATCTCTCCTTTTCCCAACTTCCCACATTTTTAACCTCTTCCTCTCTCTCCTACCTACCTTATTATCCCATACATTTGAACATAATACCAAGATTTGGGGCATACCTGAAAGGGCTCAGGGCCAGGGGCAAGATCATGCCATGGGTTTGGGTTGGCCTTATTCAAGAACTGCCTGGAGGCTTGGATTTAGTGATGGGAAAGAAGATTCTAGACTATCGTATATGGCAGGTCCCTTAGAAAGCACCATCTTTATCCTACTGATGTTAAGACTGAGGTCCTGAAACTAGCAAAGTCTTAATGAAGGTTATAGAAATTAATGGTGAAAACGGACTGAGTCTCAGGTATACTGGTTCCAAATACAGCACGGAAAAATTTTTATCAGTGTCAGTTGTTCATTCATTTAACAAACATTTCTTGAACGTCTATTTTTTGTCAGGTACAGGAAATACAGCAGTGACCAAGATAGACATTGTTCCTGTTCTCCCAGAGGTTACAGTCTGGTAGGGGAGACTGACTTGGGTCACAATAGAAGTAATACAGCATGGTGGATATAAGCATGGGCTTTAGGGCTGCCTTGCCCAATGCATATGCTAACTAGCTTGATTTAGACATTCCACAATGCATACATATGTTAAGACCATGTTGTAAGCCATAAATGTATACAATATTTATTGATTTTCAAAATAAATAATTAATTAAAAATAAATAAGAGTAACATGGATATATTAATAGGGTTGTCAGGAGTATATAAAAATCACTTAGATCAATGCCTGGCACCTAGTAAGTGCTCAAAAGTGTTAGCTTGTACAGTATCACCACTATAAAACCACACAGAGAAATGTGCTAAGAAGGAGAAGTGCTTTTTGAGTACCTAAAGTAGGCATTCAGTGTTCTAACTGGAGCCATCAGAAGATGACAGAGAGCAAGGGACTAGCAGGAACAAGGTCTGTTCAAGCTCCTTCCACCCCTGGCCTGTAGGAGCTGGGAAAGAACTCTGGCACCTGATCCACAGTCTAGACGACCTGGTTAGGGGCTTTCACCTCTCAGGCTCCAGTTGCCACAGCTATGGATGGAAGTCAAAGAAGCTTATTTCTGTGATTGCTGCCAGCTGAGTCAAGGAGAATTATCGTGGCCCAGGGTTATATGCAGTAGAGGAAACCACTACACTGATTTACTCTTTGAGTTGCCCATGGGCCATTCTTGTTCTTTCTTATTTAATGAGCTCTCATAGAACATGGTGCTTTTCAAAGGATGCCTGTGAAAGGCTTTGCTAAGGCATAGTCTGCATTGCTTTCAACAATTATAATAAGTCTTGTTATTTCTCTACCTCTAGACTACCTCTGCAGCTGGTCTCATAAAGACAATTGGAATAGTAAATAAGCTCTCTCCCTTCCTTGAACCAACCTGGCATTTTTTTTCCTGCCCATTTTAGAGCTCTTGACACTGTCTCCATGAAATGCCCAGCTCACCTCCGAGACAATGTGAGGATAAGGACTCAGCTTCTGTACCTCGGAACCCCTCAAAGTGATTAACGCAGAACCTTGAAAAGACAAAGACCAAGATAACTGTGTGTGTATGTGTGATGGTTGAGCTTTATATGGTAATGATTTTTAAAGCAAGGGCCTTGACTACTTGCATCTGAATCTCCTAGGGGAGGGACTTGTTTGGAAATGTAGATCTCAGGTCTCCTCGCCAGCTGTAGGAATTAGAATCTTGCAGGAGGAGCAGGAGTCTGCATTTTGCCAGATACCTCAATTGATTTGGATGCATCCTATAGTCTGAAGACCACTGGGTTAGAAGTTGTAAGTATTTAGTTAACAGCTCAGTGGGACAGCAATTCATTTTGCCTGTTGTCAGCTAGAGAACTGAGTTTTAAGTGCTGTTCAGCACTAATGCACTCTGCTCCCAGAATAAAATTTTGGAAAATATCTTTATCTGTCTTTCCAACCACAACAAATTACCTCCAGGTACTCTCTGCAGAGCTGACTTCTTAAAGCAAACTCTAGTATCAGACCCCTTCCGAATGGCTTCAGTGAGTTATTTGGGTCATTCCAGCTTTGGGAAGAATTCCAATAAATCATCAGCAAAATTCCACATGCCATGAGGGGAAAGAGCAACTTCTTTTCTTATTTCCTGGCCTGGGTTTTTGGAAGCAACTCTCTCCTCTCTGTCCATGAGCATCCAGTAGGAATGCATTTGTTTGGAGGGTGTCCTAAGCCAGGCCCTCATTCATCACCACACCCTGCCTGGGATTCTTGCACCAGTGCCCTTGCTGGTCTCCCTGACTCCACACTGGTTCCTCATCTCCTCTTTGATGAGGTAAATGCTCCCACCAGACTAAAGTTCTCATGGTGCTTCTACCCTGGGCCACAAAGCCTCTCCTGCCTTTCCATTAATCACTTAGCACAGAAAGTCCAAGACCCTGGTTGCTGATTCTGGCATTGAAGGCCCCTGGTAACTTGGCCCTGTTATCCCTGGCTGTAATGTACATTTCCCTGTAAGCACCCTGTACTCTAGTTCAGTGTTTCTCAAAGTGTGGTTCTGGGGCTGCTATCTTCAGAGTATCCTACAAGTGCTTCTGAATTTGACTTTGCACCATGGCATTCACACTATCAGAGTTCTAAAAATATGCAAGTCCTGGCTACTCCAAAGCTTCCTCTCTTGCTAGACACTTATGGTGTATTTGCCAAAAAGGCTTCATCATATTTACACAAACTTTAGGAAGCTTTATTTCAGTTGTACTGCCTCTACCTTTAATCTATTTTTCCTGACACCTTCAAGTGGAATCAGCTTATGGTCAATGGACCAGGGCTAGCTAAAGCTTAATATTTTATCCCAAATGGTCCCAGACTTCAATGTCAAGCCAGAGAGGCAAGTCCAATACACAGATAATATAGGAGAGCAGAGAATCTTAATTCAAGAAGATCAGCTGTAAATGTCAGAAGCAGGATTATATATAGAAAATGGAGAACAAAGTTAGAAGCCAGGATAAAACAGAACTGGAAGGGACATATTGGGAAACAATGAGGAAAGTTGCCAACATTAGAAGTCTACAGTGTTGGGTCACACTTGAGTCTCCTTCATGGACCATTAAGTTGGTGACTCTGAACAAGTCATCCCTCCTGACTTAGCACCTTTTAATGGCTTCCTACTCCCTACAGAATAAAGATCAGCACTCTTACTTATCCTTGCTCATAATGCACTGAACAGCATGCTCCCTTCCTGCATATTCATCCTCATCTCCTTTCACTCTCTCTCTCTGTGACCCTATCAATCAGTCCGTCTGGCCTTACTAAGCTACTTGTAGTTCCTATACAGAACCATGTTTTTCCATTCTCCAAGTCTTTTCAGTGCTCTTTTCCCTGTCTGGATGCCATTGCTTCCTCTTGTCTGTCTTTTATTCCTGCTGCCAGACCTTTTTCTTGAATCTTTCCCTAACTCTCTCCATGGAAAAAACATTCTTTTTTCTCGGCCCATGGCATCCTTCTCCATCCTCCAATTAGTTTGGTGGTAGCTTTTTCTCTCTCTCCTCATAGGTTGTGAGCAGCTTGGAGACAGCCTAGTCCCAGGACCCTGAGCTTTGTCAGTATCTCCTGAAGCATTTACCTAGCCAGCGGCTTTGTATAGCATAGTCACTCAAGAGACACTTGTTGAATGAATCTATGCCTGAAAACTGTAAAAGTGAGATGAATTGAGATGAGACAAAAGCAGACCAGATTAAACCAGACAAGATGAGATGTGATGCTAAGGAAGGTTAGGAGAACAGAAAGTGATGAAATATAAGGCCCTCAGCCTCCTTTCTCAGGGATGTATGTGTCACTTCAAAAATGTTGCTTCTGCCTATGACTCTATCTGTGAAAGAGGCTCAACCAACTCTGCATGATCCCCCTACATCCTCAGGACTGGAATCTCAAGTGTGCTTCAGGGTGGAAGTGGGTTGACGGGGTTAAGAGAACCTTTGCAGTGGAAAAATATGCTCACGAATGCCTCACTGATGTGTCCCCTGCTTTCAAGAAGGTCCCCTAGATGGTCAGCCATCCTAATGACTGGCTCTTCCATCATTGATGGCTGTGTTGGTCACAGACACCAAGTCTCAGCTTTCATGTGGTGTTGGAACCATATCATGTCAGTCTACTAGTAAATGTCTTACCTTCTGTAACCTGAGAGTTGCGAAAATCCAACTGGTATTTCATAAAAGTCCTTTACAAGTTCCATGTTTGGAAGAAAATGGATTACAATGGCATATATAGGAGAAAAACAACAATTAAAAAAAAAAAAACTTGGCTATATGGGTGCTTGCTTTTTTTAAAATCTTGACCAGTGACAATCTCACATGGCTTCAATGATCATCTGTATAGTATTCATTCCCAAATCCTTTTGGCAGCCCCAATATCTCTAAAGAGCTCCAACTGCCTGCTGAGCAGAAAATGCCACCCAAGGGTTTACCTATAACTCTCAAACTCAATGTACCCAAATTGAAACTCATTCTTCTCCTGTCTATCACATCTTCCTGACCAACCTTCCCCCCTTCCCTGAAATATCTTTATTTTCGTTGTAGTTAAATCAGCCTCAAAGCTGAATATTATCTTTTTTAAAAAATATTTATGGGGTACATGAGATCTCCAAATCTCTCTATGCCTTATTCCCTACATGCAATTGGTAGACACCTCCTATCAATCTCACTTCCCTAATATCTCTCTTCTCAATTCTTGGTGCATGGCTATTGTGCAGATCTTATTGCCAATCACCTGAAATAATAATTTTGATTGCCAAGTCTTTGCTCAAAATCTTCAATTGTTATCTATGTCCTAGAATAAAATAGTCTTAATTCTTAGCTTCCACTCATAAGTGAGAACATGTGGTATTTGGTTTTGTTTCTTCGCTAATTTGCTTAGGATAATGGCCTCGAGCTGTATCCATGTAACTACAAAGGAAATAATTTTATTCTTTTTTGTGGCTGCCTAGTATTCCATGATGTATATGTACCACATTTTCTTTATCCAGTCTACTGTGGATAGGCACCTAGGTTGATTCCATATCTTTGCTATTGTGAATAGTGCTGCAATGAACATAAAGGTGATGTGTCTTTTTGGTAGAATGATTTATTTTATTCTGGGTAAATACCCAGTAATGGGATTGCTGGGTTGAAGGGTAGTTCTAGTTTAAGTTCTTTGAGAAATCACCAAATTGCTTTCCACAGTGGCTGAACTAATTTATATTCCCCCTAACAGTTTATAAGCATTCCTTTTTCTCTGCAGTCTTGAGAGCATCTGTTGTTTTTATTGACTTTTTAATAATAGTCACTCTGACTGGTTTAAGATGATATTTCACTTTTTTTTTGTCTGTTTTTTCTTCCTTTTTGTGGAGAACGGGGTCTCGCTATATTGCCCAGGCAGGTCTCGAACTCCTGGACTCAAACTATCCTCCCGCCTCTGCCTCCCTAAGAGCTGGGATTACAGGCGTGAGCCACCGCACCTGGCCTAAGATGATATTTAGTTGTGGTTTTGATTTGCATTTTGCATATCTCTAATGATTAGGGATGATGAGCATTTTTTCATGTTTGTTGGCTGTGTGTATGTCTTCTTTTGAGAAGTGTTTGTTCTTGTCTATTCCCCATTTTTAAATAGGGTTGTTTTTTGCTTATTCAATTGTTTCAGTTTCTTATAGACTCTGGATATTAGACCTTTGTCAGATGCATAGTTTACAAATATTATTTCCCATTCTGTAGGTTTACTCTGTTGATAATTGCTTTTGCTGTGCAGAAGCTTTTTAATTAGGTCTCACTTGTCAATTTTTGATTTTGCTGCAATTGCTTTTGAGTAGTTAGTCATAAATCCTTCCCAAGGCTGATGTCCAAAATGTTATTTCCTAGATTTTCTTCTAGGATTCTTTCTTTCTTTCTCCTTCCTTCCTTCCTTCCTTCCTTTCCTTCCTTCCTTCCTTTCTTTCTTCTCTTTCTCTTTCTTTCTTTCTTTCTCTTTCTTTCTTTTCTCTTTCTTTCTCTTTCTTTCTCTCTCTTTCTTTCTTTCTTTCTTTCTTTCTTTCTTTCTTTCTTTCTTTCTTTCTTTCTTTCTTTCTTTCTTTCTTTCTTTCTTTCTTTCTTTCTTTCTTTCTTTCTTTCTTTCTTTCTTTCTTCTTTCTCTTTTTCTTTTTCCAGGATCTCCCTCTGCTGCTCAGGCTGGAGTGTAGTGGTATGATCATAGATCACTGCAGCCTGAAACTCCTGGGCTGAAGTGATCCTCCCACCTTAGAATCCTGAGTAGCTGGGACTACGGGCACACATCACCACACCGGGCTAATCTTTTTTAAAATTATTATTATTATTTTTGTAGAGATGAGGTCTCATTCTGTTGCCCAGGCTGATCTCGAGCTCCTGGCTTCAAGCGATCCTCTCACTTTGACCTCCCAAAGTGCTGGGATTAGAGGCATGAGCCATTGTGCCTGGCCTCTTCTAGGATTCTTATAGTTTGAGCTCTTACATTTAAATCTTTAATCCATCTTAATTTTTGTAAATGGTGATAGATAGATAGATGGCCATATGTATTCTTCTGCATATGGCTAGACAGCTATCCCAGCACCATTTATTGAATAGGGATTCCTTTCCCCATTGCTTATGTTTGTTGACTTTGTTGAAGATCAGTTGGCTGTAGGTGTGTGGCTTTATTTCTGGGCTCTCTATTCTGTTTCATTAGTCTACGTGTCTGTTTTTGTATCAGTACCATGCTGTTTTGGTTACTGCAACCTTATAGTGTAGTTCAATATCAGGTAATGTGATTCCTTTGGCTTTGTTCTTTTTGGTTAGGATCATGTTAGTTATTTGGGCTCTTCTTTGGTTTCATGAATTTTAGAAAAGTTTTTCTAGTTCTGTGAAAAATGATGTTGATAGTTTGATAGGAATAATGTTGAGCTTGTAAATTGCTTTGGGCAGTATGGCCATTTTAATGATATTGATTCTTCCAATCTATGAGCATGGAATGTTTTTCCATTTGTTTGTGTCATCTCTGATTTATTTCAGCAGTGTTCTGTAGTCATCCTTTTAGAGATCTTTCACCTCCTTAGTTAGATGTATTCCTAGGTATTTTATTTTTTATGTGGATATTGTAAAGAAGATTATATTATTGATTTGGCTCTCCACTTGAATGTTATTGGTGTATAGAAATGATACTGATTTTTGCACATTGATTTTTTTATTATACTTTAAGTTTTAGGTACATGTGAACAACATGCAGGTTAGTTACATATGTATACATGTGCCATGTTGGTGTGCTGCACCCATTAACTCATCATTAAACATTAGGTATATCTCCTAATGCTATCCCTCCCTGCTCCCCCCACCCCACAACAGGCCCCGGTGTGTGATGTTCCCCTTCCTGTGTCCATGTGTTCTCATTGTTCAATTCCCACCTATGAGTGAGAACATGTGGTGTTTGGTTTTTTTATCCTTGCGATAGTTTGCTGAGAATGATGGTTTCCAGCTTCATCCATGTCCCTACAAAGGACATGAACTCATCATTTTTTAGCACATTGATTTTGTATCCTGAAACTTTACTGAAGCTGTTTATCAGTTCTAGGAACCTTTTGTTGGAGTCTCTGGGGTTTTCTAGGTATAGAATTATATTGTCAGTGAAAAGAGATAGTTTGACTCCTTATTTTCCTACTTGGATGCTTTTCATTTCTTTCTCTTGCCTGATTGCTCTGGCTGGAACTTTCTCATTCAACTTTTTAAGAAAATATATTAAGCATCTATTATGTGTTATGCCTTGGGATTTTGCTTGTACTCCTCTTTCTGCCTGAAATGCCCTTCTCTCCATCTCCATATTTCCAACCCTATCAATTTCCAAGACCCAGATCAAATGCCACCTCCTCCAAGAAACCTTCTCTGAACCCTCAGGTGTTCGTAATTCACCCCTCCTCAGAATGCCCATGGCACATTATCTGCACTGCTCATACAGCATGCTTTACTTTCTGTTCGGTACCTATGTACACAGCTCTTCTCCACCACTGGATCAAAAGCAAGTTGAGAATGGGCTCAGTGTCTGTTTCCTTTATGTCATCTCTGCTTTGCACATATTGGGCATTCAATAAATGCTGAATGAATCAGCGAATAAATGAGGCTTGTCTCTTTGTTTTCGCAGCTATGACACAATAGAAGCAGGGAGTGGTGCTTGAGGAGGCAAGTGTGCTGAGAGCTGTGGTGGCTGATAGATTGGTTAGGAGGAAAATTACGGAAAATCTACACAAAGCTGAAACAAAAATTCAGGAATTAATTTGAGACAATTGAAAACATGGACCAAATAGGTTCTGATGGCAGCTTTGTGTTACTGCCCAATGCATAAATTTTATTTCAGAATGATGAATCTAGGGCATTGCAGAAAGGTAGGACTTGGAATATTACTCTGTTTAAACAGAAGGCAAGTTTGTAAGCCTTCTTGCAAGATTTCATCAAAAATGATTAAAATGGTTTTTAAAGCGTTCTTGGGTTAAAAGGGGTTATATTATGTGCAAAGTTCACATCTAAAAACACCTCATTTCCAGCAATGCTGGATAAGTGAAGCATTCTAATAGATTAAATTGTATATTTTGTATATTTAATTTCTCTATTCATTCCCTTCTGTTTACAGTATGTCCTGCGTCAGTGAAGGAAAAAGAGAAAGATGCATTTTAATCCTCTAATTAAATGTTCAACCGTTACCCAGGTAGCCACAGGACAGTGTACTCAGCACATCTGCCAGAGCTGCTATCCATCAACCATCCTTTTCTAGGCAAAAATGTGATTATCTCTTGGAACGATGTCAACAATTTCTAACTGCAGAAAGTTGATCTGGTTTGATATTATTCACAAAGGGACATATTACTGGAAACACGATGAACTAAAAAAAACCCTATATTCTGATTGTATTTTAGTTATGGATCAGAAATCAGTACTTGAAAATGCTGACCTTTCTTTCTTCTTTCCGGACATCAGAAGTTAAATTTAATTAATTAAATCTTTCTGTATTTAGTTAATACAATTAAGTTGTATTAATTGTGTTGATCATAAGTCTCCATTCATGGCACTTCATCAACCTCAGACCATGATGGGCCTTATTTATTTTTAAAGATCTAATAAGTACCTGTGAACCCACCATCCAGCCTAAGAACTATGAAGAACTCCCATCTGTCTATGTGCTCCTCCTCACTCCAGGTACCCTGCCTTTCTACTCCTGCGTGAGAGAAAACCATAATTGTGAATTTTCTGGTTACCATCCCGTTGCTTTTTAATATTTTCCTTTGCTTCTCTTGTAGTTTAATTCCATATGTATGTACTCCTAAACCAATACATTGTTTAATTTGGCTTATTGCATTTTAATAAGGATATCAATGTCAAATAGTGTTCTGGAATTTGCTTCATATTGTTAGGCTTTATGCTATATGTATCCTTGTTGTTTTTTGGTAACTGAAGGCCATTGTTTTTCACTGTTATAGAATATTGCAGTGTATAAATAATCATTTATCTTTTCTCCTATTGCTGGAAATAGAGGTTATTTACAGATTTTTTCTTTTTGTTTGTTTCTTGCTATTATAAACACTGCTGTTATGAATATTTTTACGCGTGTCTCCATGTGCACATATGCAAGAATTTTTCTTCTAAGTCTTGGCTATGCAAATTTTACACTTTACCAGTAAATATCAAATTGTTTTCCAAAGTGGTTTGACCTATGTACACCAGCAATTTAGAACAAATTCTACTCTTAATGTTAGTTGTCAAATTTATCGATCTTTCCTTTTATGGTTAGTGCTTATTTTTGTTCCTTGTTTAAGAAATTTTTCCTTACCCTAAGATCAGAAAAACATTTGCCTCTATTTTCATCTAAAATTCTTTGTTTTGTTTTCTTTGTGTGTATTTTTATTTTAGAATATTTATTTGACAAATAAAACTTGTATATATTCAAGGTGTACAGTGTGATGATTAGATATACATTGTGTAATGATCACTACAATAAAATTAACAAACACATCCATAGCCACCCATGCTGTACATTGGAACCTCAGGACTTAAGCACCCTGTAACTGAAATTCTGTACCCTTTGACCAATATCTCCTGATTCCTCCAGCCCCTGGTAACTACCTTTCTACTCTCTGCTTTCATGCGGTTGACATTTTTAGATTCTACATATGAATGAGATCATACAGTGTTTGCCTTTCTGTGCCTGCCTTATTGCACTTAGCATAATGTCCTCCAGGTTCACCCATGTTGTCCCAAATTACATAATGTCCTTCTTTCTTTGGCCGAATTATCTTCTGTTGCATATATATGCATACTAAATTAATGAAATCATTCTGTTTAATTAATATAATTAAGTTGTATGAATTGTGTCAATCATATGTCTCTTCTCATGGCACTTCATCATCCTCAGACCATGACAGGCTTTATTTATTTTTAAAAACATAATAAGTACCACCATCCAACCTAAGAACTAGCTAAGAACTATGAAGAATTCCCATCTATAATATATGTATATAACATTTTCTCCATTCATTCATCAATGGACACCTGGGCTGTTTTCATATCTTGGCTACTGTGAATAATGCTGCAGTGAATATGGTGATGCAGATATCTCTTTGAGATACTGATTTCATTTCCTTCGAATATATGCCCAGAAGTGGGATTGCTGAGTTATGTGGTAGTTCTAATTTTAAGTGTTTTTTTTTGTTTGTTTTGTTTTTTCCGAGATGGAGTCTTGTTTTGTTGCCCAGGCTGGAGTGCAGTGGCATGATCTCGGCTCACTGCAACCTCTGCCTCCCGAGTTCAAGTGATTCTCCTGCCTCAGCCTCCCAAGTAGCTGGAATTGCAGGCATGCGCCACCATGGCCAGCTAATTTTTGTATTTTTAGTAGAGACGGGGTTTCACCATGTTGTTCAGGCTCATTTCGAACTCCTGACCTCAGGCGATCCACCCGCCTCGGCTTTCCAAAGTACTGGGATTACCAGCGTGAGCCACCATGCCTGGCCATATTTTTAAGTTCTTTGGAAACTTCCATATCGTTTTTCATAACAGCTGTACCAATTTATATTCTCACCAACAGTGCCCAAAGATTCCCTTTTCTCCACACCCTTACCAACAATTGTTATCTCTTGTCTTTTTAATGATAGCTATCCTAACAGTTGTAAGGTGAAATCTCGTGGCTTTGATTTGCATTACCCTGATGATTAGTGATGTCGAGCATTTTTTTCATGTACCTGTTAGCCATTTGTACATCTTTCTTTGAGAAATGTCTATTCAGATCTTTTGTCCTTTTTAAAATCAGATTATTTATTTATTTATTTTTGCTATTGAATTGTGTGAATTCTTTCTCTCTCCCTCTTTATTTCCATATTATATATATGTATGTATTAGAGACAAGGTCTCACTCTGCCACTAAGGCTGGAGGGTAGTGGCACAAACATAATTCACTGTAGCCTTGAACTCCTAGGTTCAAATGATTCTCTCACCTCAGCCTCTCAAGCAGCTAGCACTACGGGCATGTGCCACCGCACCTGGCTAACTTTTTAAATTTTTTATTTGTATGCTGAGTGTGGTGGCTCACACCTGTAATCCCAGCACTTTGGGAGGCTCAGGTGGGCAGATTGCTTGAGCTCAGGAGTTTGAGACCAGCCTTAGCAACAAAGCAATACCCTGTCTCTACTAAAAAAAACACAAAAAACAAAATTTAGCCAGGTGTGGTGATGTGTGCCTATAATCCCGGCTACTTGGGAGGCTGAGGCATCAGAATCACTTGAACTCAGGAGGCAGAGGTTGCAATGAGCCGAGACCATGCCACTGCACTCAAGCCTGGACGACAGAGCCAGACTCTGTCTCAAAAAAAAAAAAAAATTTGTATAGATGGGGTCTCACTATGTCACCCAGGCTGGTCTCAAACTCCTGGCCCCAAGCAATCCTCCTGCCTCGGCCTCCCAAAGTGCTGGGATTAAAGGTATAAGCCACTGCACCTAGCCCCTTATATGTTTTGAATATATCAGAGGTATAGTTTGCAAATATTTTCTCCCATTCTGTAGGTTATCTTTTCATTTCATTGCTTGTTTTGTTTTGTTGATGATTGTTTCCTTTGTTGTGCGGAAGCTTTATAGTATGATGAAGTCCCACCCATTTCTTTTGCTTTTGTTGTTTATGATTTTTGTGTTACACCAAAAAAATCATTGTCAAGACTAACATCAAAGAGCTTTTTCCCTATGTCTTCCAGGATTTTTACAGTTTCAGGTTCTTACATTTAAGTCTTTAATCTATTTTGAGTTAATTTTTATATGTGATTAAAGACAAGGGTCCAATTTCATACTTTTGCATGTATATATCCAGTTTTCCCAAAGTCACTTATTGATGATAGCCCATTGTGTATTCTTAGCACCTTTGTCACAGATTAGCTAACGATATATATGCACGGATTTATTTCTGAGCTCTGTATTCTGCTCAGTTGTTCTATGTGTCTGTTTTTATGCCAGTACCATGCTATTTGGTTACCATAGCTTTGTAATATAATTTGAAATCAGGGAGTGTGGTGCCTCTAGCTTTGTTTTTCTTTCTCAAGATTGCTTTGACTATTCAAGATCTTTCATATTTCCATGTGAATTTTAGGATTGGTTTTTCTGTTTCTTTGAAAAATGTCACTTGAATTTTGATTGAAATTGCTTTGAATCTATAGACAGTTTTGGGTAGTGTGGGCATTTTAACAATATTAATTCTTCCAATCCATGAGCACAGGAGATCTTTCCATTTATTGGTGTCTTCTTTGATTTCTTTCATCAATGTTTCATAGTTTTTAGTGTAAAAGTCTTCCACCTCCTTGGTTACATTTATTCCTTTTATTTTTCTTTTTGATTCTATTGTAAATGGGACTGTTTTGTTAATTTTATTTTTTGGATAGTTTGTTGTTACTATATAGAAATGCAACAAATTTCCTTTGATTTTGTATGCTGACAATTTCCTGAACCCATTTATTTTTATTTTTATTTTTATTTTTGAGATGGAGTCATGTTCTTTCTCCAGGCTGGAGTGCAGTGGCGTGATCTCAGCTCACTGCAACCTCCACCTCCGAGGTTCAAGCGATTCTCCTGCCTCGGCCTCCCACGTAGCTGGGACTGCAGGTGTGCACCACCATGCCCAGCTGATTTTTGTATTTTTACCAGAGACGGGGTTTCACCATGTTGGCCAGGATGGTCTCTATCTTTTGACCTTGTGATCTGCCCACCTCAGCCTTCCAAAGTGCTGGGATTACAGGCATGAGCCACTGCTGCCGGCTGAACCCATTTATTACTTTTAATATTTTTTGGTGGAGTCTTTAGGGTTTTCTATATATAAGATCATGTAATCTATAAACAGAGACAACTTAACCTCTTCTCTTACAATATGAATGCCTTAAGTTTTGTTTTTGACATTAAAGTCTTAAATCCATCTAGATTTTTTTTACTGTATGGTGTGAGGTGGGACCCAATTTTTTCCATATTGGTAACCAATTTTTTTTTAGCTCCAGTTATTGAAGTCTCAAATGCCTTCATATCTACCTTTTTGAATTTGCTGGGTTTTTTTTGAGTCTTATAGTAAACATTCCTCTCCAAGAATGTCCACTTTGTCCTAGCTAAGTTAAGGAAAGTAGGGTTTTCCACACCTAGAAGGTCATTTTATGAAGAATAGGAAGTGGTTGGGTTAGTTAATGAGTACAAAAGAAACAGAAAGAATGAATAAGACCTAGTATTTGATAGCACAATAGGGTGACTATAGTCAATAATGACTTAATTGTACATTTTAAAATAACTTAGAGTGTAATTGGACTGTTTGTAACTCAAAGGATAAATGCTTGAGAGGATGGTTACCTCCATCCTCCCTGATGTGCTTATTTCACATTGCATGCTTGTATCAAAGCATCTCTTGTACCCCATAAATATATACACCTACTATGTACCCACAATTTTTTTTTTAAAAGAGTAGGCAGTAGTGGTAGTAAAAGTGTATGACCACAGCCACTTTTCTTGCTGTCTGGTGAGATTGGGGCTGGTACAGCTTTAGAGCACTGACTCACCCACACAGCTCTGGATTCAAAGTCCGGCTCTTCCACTCACAAGATGTGAAAACTTGGGAGAGTATTTCACCAATTTGAGTGTTGGTTTCCTTCTGTGAAAAATAAAAGTAGGGATATGTTTACCTCATAAAACCACTGTAAGAATTAAAGGAGAGGACACATGTAAAGGGCCTAGCTGAGGGTCCAGCACACATAGTTGCCTTGGGTAAGGAGAGCTGGGAGTATTGTTAAGGCCTTTAGCCCAAGTTGGCTGTCCCCACCACTTCCATTCCCATTTGCAAGTGTGATCATGGTGTGGTAGAAGAGCATCCTTGATATATAAACCTATATAGCTTTATATGCCTATATACCTGTTATATACCTATATACTTATATATGCCTGTTGATATCTGTATCCTTTATATCCAGTGTTTGGGTAGAAGAAATAAGGTGTTAGTGACTGAGGTATTTCAGGATAGAGTGTCAGAGCATGGTTGCAGCTACTGTTGTGGGTAATTCATGTGAATTCCTTTCACATTTTGCCAAGGCCCATTGTTTATATTTTATTCTTTATTAAAGCTTCTGAACAATACTCATTTTTAAAGCAAGTATGGTCTTTTCAGTTGCCACTGAGGCCCTCAGACTGATCATTTCTCACTTTCTCAGTATTATTCTAGCACAGTTCACTTGTCTTTTATGGGGTACATGTGATGTTTTGATATAAGCATACAATGTGTAATGATCAAATCAGGGTAACTGGAGTATCCATCACCTCAAGCATTTATCTCTTTTGTGTTAGAAATATTCCAATTCCACTCCCTTTGTTATTTTGAAACATATAGTAAATTATTATTTACTATGGTTGTCCTATTGTGCTACTAAACACTAGATCTCATTCCTTCTATCTAACTGTATTTTTGTACCCATTACCCATCCTTTCTTTATATCCCCTCCCTGTTACGCTTCCCAGCCTCTAGTAATCATCATTTTACTCTCTATCTCCACAGGTTCAATATTTTTTTTTAGCTCCCACATTTGAATGAGAATATGCAATATTTGTCTTTCTATGCCTGGCTCATTTCGCTTAACACAACATCTTCCAGTTCCATCCATGTTGTTGCAAATTACAGGATCTCATTCTTTCTTTATAACCGAATAATATTCTATTGTGTATATGTACCACATTTTCTTTATCCATTCATCTTCTTTTGTCTTAACCTTTCATTTTCTTTCTTGTTCTAAGGTACCTGATCACTTTATTTCTCATTTTCCTATTATGAGTGTTATTTTATTTTATTTTTTACATCTTGAGAAATAGAAATCGGACTTTATAACTTATTTTATGTCTTATGCTTTTTAAAGCTAATTGTGAAACTCTCATTTATCTGAGCACTCATTTTTCTTTCCATTGTACATGGGATTCTGTATGTTGGTGAATATATATATATTTATATAGCATTTTTCTGGCACTGTTCACTCTTTATACATATATATGTGTGTGTGTATATATATATAACTTTGATTAAAGTATATATTTCCATGGTCATTAAAAACAGATCTTATTAAGCCATGTAGAAACGGATGCCCCTCACTCCTTGTTTTCAGGGTGCCACAGTACAATTTTTGACTGCTGAGGTCATTCTTAATATTATTTGCTTGATTTTTATCTCTTGAATTTCCTTAGGAATCATCCCCTCAGGAGCCAGCATACAAGGAAAAGGACCATGAGACCGTATGGGCTTCTCAACGTCTGCCCATATACTTTTCCAGAAGGGTTTTGCTGTTTCACATGTCTTCCAGATGAGAAATAAAGTCCTCCCTCACCTACATACTTTCTAGATTTATTACTAATATTTTCCCTTATTGCTGCAAAGCATATTAATGAATAATTATATATTTTTACAAATTTAATTTGCATCTCTTGCAGGTACATGGAATTTGTAAATCATCTTTTTTTTTTTTTTGCTCTAAGGATATCTGTGACCAATGTCCCCAGGGAAGAGCAGGGCTATTTTCTTGCTTTTGTAAACATTATACTCTGCTAGTGAGCATAGGAGTGTGGTTTTGATAGAAAAACATATTTGACTTGTAGATGAGACACATGTAGGTACTCATTCTCCCTGGGTGATAGTAGGGTACATTGAAAAGAACACTGGGGGGCCAGGTACGGTGGCTCACGCCTGTAATCCCAGCACTTTGGGAGGCCGAGGTGGGCGGATCACCAGGTCAGGAGTTCAAGACCAGCCTGACCAACATGGTGAAACCCTGTCTCTATTAAAAATACAAAAATTAGCCGGGCATGGTAGCATGCGCCTGTAATCCCTGCTACTCGGGAGGCTGAGGCAGTAGAATCGCTTGAACCCGGGAGGTGGAGGTTTCAGTGAGCCGAGATCGTGCCACTGCACTCCAGCCTGGGCGACAGAGTGAGACTCTGTCTCAAAAAAAAAAAGAAAGAAAGAAAGAAAAAAAAAGTAAAGAACACTGGATTCAGAATCCAAAGCCCTGGGTACCAGTGCTCCTGCCACTCTCATTAGCTGTGTGACCTTGGGTGACTCTTCTACCTCTCTTTACCTCAGCTGGCTCATGCACAGAACAGGAATACGGATCCTTGCCCTGGCTAACTCGTAGGGTCAGTATGTGAGCCATGCAACACAATGCAAATGGAAGCATCTTGACACTATTATTTGTGTCACCATCACCACTGCCAGCACTACCAGCACCATTATCATTAGTGGATACCCAAGTATTGAACAGGGAGAAAGTCTCCCAAGGATGTCAATAAATGACACACTGAAAATATAACAACAATAATAACACCCAACATTTGATGAACTCTTACTATGTGTGCCGGGCACTATGTGCTAAGTATCTTACATGTTTCATCTCATATAATGCTCACAACAATACCGTAAGATAAGTGCTTGTATTATCCACATTTTACAGATAAGAAAACTGAGGCACAGAGTGGTTAAGCATCTTGCTTAGGTCAGAACTGAGAGTGAATCCAGGCAGCCTGCCTCTAAGCCTGTACAATAATACTCCACTCTATTAGGGTTCTCCTGGGCCCCAGTAACACATAATGAGAGCTCTGCACATGTGAAGAATACAGCTTGCAGAATATTTTCCTATTATCTCGTATAAGCCTCACATCTGACTCATTTTATAGATTGAGTCAAATAGCTTCAATATCTTAGTCAAGGTTATCCAGCTTGTCAGTGATAAATATTACCTAAACTCCAGTCAGTTCTCTTTCCACTGTCTGTCCTTGCCTCTTCGGGTGAATTGATGGATTCTTACCAGTAATCTCACTCCCCTCACGTCATTGTTCTATCTTTGCTTTCTTTAAGGAGAGAGGAATGCCGAAACCATAAAGTTACATTCCTGATGAAAATCTTCTAGAAGAAACAGTGTCTTGTTCGATCTTTTTAGTAGCTGGTTTCTCAGAGAATCCTAAATCAATACAGCTGGGAGGGGCCCTAGCACTCTCCTGCATACAGACCACTGGGCGCTTATTGAATGATTCTGCAAGTCCCCATGTAAGAAAACTGTAACGTAGCCTGTGGCTAAAAGGAATCCAACCGAATACTTCAAGGATATTAAAGACATAGTCATCTTAATTATTCATCTGACACATGCTTGTAGCCATGTTGTACTGATATCCACAGTGTGTTTATTTGTGAGAGACTTGGCATTTGGTAAAAGACACTTGACTAATTAGATAAAAGATATTCTGTTAATGCAAAGGCCGACACTTTACCCGTGTCAGGTCTCAACAGTGATGGTCTCTATCAAAGAACTCATTCAGTGTTGTTTCTAGTTCTCCAGCTCCCCAAAAACAACCTGTAATATGTGGACTTCCAGTGCCCTCTCTTCTCCCATTCCTGTTTTATATTTGTTTACCATTCTTTACAAGGAGGGAGTTTTCAAACACAACTTGAAATTCAAGTGGAAAAAGCAAGACCTCGGGAGTTGTGTGTCTGAGGCAGGTTAATGAAGCATCTTTAGTCGATATTTAGACAGTGAAAAATTAATCAGTCATGACCTCTCCGATCCTTCAGAACACACCCTTAGGTCACTGCCTCATTAAGACCTTCAAATCATTTATCGAATTTTATTCAGGAAATATCTTTACCTTTTAAAGTAGGATGCATGAGGTAAGAGGATGTTCCTCCCCAGAGCAAAAATTGGCACCATTTTAGGGTTTTTTTGTGTGTGCTTTTAAAAAAATTTACTTTTTACTTTAGATTCAGGGGATACTTGTGCAGGTTTGTTAAATGGGTTTATTGTGTAATGCTGAGATTTGGGCTTCTAATGATCCCATTGCCCAAGTAGCAAACATAGTACCTAATAGAATCAATAGGTAGTTTTTCAACTCTTGTCCCTCTTCCCCCCTCCCCCCTTTTGGAATCTCCACTGTTTATTGTTCCTATCTTTGTGTCCATGTGTACCCAATGTTTAGCTCCCACTAAACATGACAACATGTGGTGTTTGGTTTTCCGTTTCTGTGTTAATTAGCTTAGGATAATGGCCTCCAGCTGCATTCATGTTGCTACAAAAGATATGATTTCATTCTTTTTATGGATGCATAGTATTCAATGGTGTATATGTACCACTTTTTTAAAAATTCAATCTATCATTGATGGGAACCTGGGTTGATTCCACATCTTTGCTATTGTGAATATTTAGACTCTTTTGATTCTCTCCTTGCTCTTAGTGAGTTTTCCCCACAGAAGTTCCAAGCTGTTAGTGGTGGCTCAAAATGAGCTTTTGGAAATTCAAATCTGAAAACAGAAAGGGCTCTCAAAGGTCTGTTCCTGGAGCCCTCCAGGAACAAGGCTACTCAGTGTGTATCCTCAGTCTCCTTTTTTTCCTCAAAGAAAAAAACTACTGTGGTATGAAAATGCCAAACTCCATTGACTCAAGAGCCACAGTTTGGAAGGACTGTTTCAGTCAGCACAGGATTATAGTGTCCAGCTCTTTGCAAAGAGGCGCTTAGTAGCAGTTAGAGTGTTCAGGGCCTAATTTAAAAGGCCATTTCAAGAAGTGAGTTCCCAATTATCTCTGGAGATGATCAAATAGGGGTTGGATTACCTCTTGGTTGGAATGCCGTCAGAGGTTTGGAGTGACAGAGAGTTGAACTCAGTGGCTGTTTAAAGTCTCAAACAGCATTAAAATTCTAGGACTTCACACTTTTTACTAATGGAAGATCTATACAGGAAAGCAAACCTGACAAACTATTGGAAAATTTGCATGGTGAAAATAGCCTATGATTTTTTTTCCAGGCTAAGTTCCCCTAATCTTACTTTTATGAAATTAAATTTGGATAATTGTAGTAGTTCAGGACTGGTCAAGACCTTAACCTCAGGGAATATCTAGGTAAGGTGACGTTCCATAAGAAAGTGTTAAGTAATTGAAATCCAGATATCTTGCTCACTTGTTTTTTTCCCATCCATTGGTCAATTTCATTATCTTTGTGTCCCTTGGATCTTCTTCCAAGGAAGAACGTGCCTTGGCTTGTGAACCAAGGACATGTTCTCCTAGGCAGCTTTCAGCCAATGGTTGTGCACAATGAGCACACTAGGGTCTGGCCAACTTTGTTCAATGTGAGACTCCTCTAAGGGGTAGTCTTTGCTCTGGAGCTCTCCTTTGGTTTGGGCAAGATTTTGTCATCTCTGCATTCCAGTCCGTGGGTCTCCCTGCTCAATCCTGCTTACTCTTCCCATTCCTTTCTTAGGTGTTAGCTCTGCATTGCCTCCTGAAGGCTCCCTGCCCATTCTGTTTCCTCTTCTTTTATGGTTCACAGGCATTACACTCATAACTCCACCTCAGCATGTGTTGCCCAGAGGATGTGAACTAACGCAGTCCCTAAATGTGCTCCCAGGCACTGTGCTGCAGTGTCACCACCTCCATGCTTTATTCTTTTTCCTCAACCACCTTATTCATTAGCTTCTCAGTTTCTCAGACAACAACGTCTCTTTGTGTGCAATTCTGGCCATGTGTCTTGGAGTCACTGGCTTCCAGAGTGTTCAAGCAGAAAGGGGCCTCCAAAATGGTCTAATTGATCACCTCATTTTCCATAGGAGGTAACTAAGGCCCGAGATGAGAACAGACTTGCCAAAGTCACAAGTGAGTAGCAAAGATGAAATAAGAACCCTGGTCCTTTGACTTCAAGTTGGTGCTCTTTCACTGTAGCATTTTAAAAAATTATGTCCAATGTGGCCCTATACTTGTGACCAGGAATCAACCTTCTCAATCTCAGTAGACATTTTTCTGGGAAGTTCTGAAACTATGCCTAGAGTCAGTCTCTTTAATATTTAGTCAGTTTAGCACTTCTTGTGCTCACTAAAGCTGAACTATGCTCACTGGTCAACCACCTAGGAAGAAATATTCCAATCATTGTTGTGTTCAACTTCTAAATCTAGTGACTTGCCTCCACCATTGGAAATTTTCCAACCATTGTTGTGTTCAACTTCTAAATCTAGTGACTTGCCTCCACCATTGGAAATTTTCCATTAAAAAGTGTCAAGAGGTCCCAGCACAGGAGTTCATGACTATAACCTAGCATTTTGGGAGGCCAAAGTGGGAAGATTTCCTGAGGCCAGGAGTTCCAGGACAGCCTAGGCAACATAGGGAGACACTGTCTTTACAAAAAAATTTAAAAAACAAGTACCTGGCCATGGTGGTGTGCACCTGTAGTCCCAGCTACTCAGGAGGCTGAGGCAGGAGGATCGCTTGAGCCCAGGAATTCGAGGCTTCAGTGAACTATATTCACGCCACTGCACTTCAGCCTGCGCAACAGAATGAGGCCTTGTCTCAAAAAAAAGTGTCAGTGTTCTGACCTCCCTGTATCCTGCTTGCAGCTCTTGGTTTTCCATTTATTAGGTTGGTGCAACCTAAATAGCATTTTTCCATTTATTAAGTTGCACCAGCCTAAACAGCATCAACGCAATGTACCTTTTTATTCTGCCCAGAGATTTGCCCTGTCTCTCTACCCGCTTTCTTAGCTCAGGGAACTAGATCAATGGTGACTGAGAGATGAACTTGTTCATCTTGCTTTCTGGACCTTGGTGAATGCCAGTGGGGCATTGTGGTTAAAAGGATAGGCTTTAGGGGCAAGCAAACCTCTCTGTGTTCAAGTCCTTAACTTAAAGGATCAAGGTGAGATGAAAAGAGATAATGCATGAAAAGCAAATGGTAAGCACTCAATAAATGCCAGCCAGTATAGAGGGCAGCTGTCAGCCACCTCCACCCCTGGGGCTTCTCCTGTCTCTCTTTGCTCTGTAGAACTGAAGAGGCTTCCTGAGCAGAAGGTAGTCACACTTAACTGGAGAGAGCAGAATGGAGCCCTTGGATCTTCCAACAGGTCTCACTTTTACAATACCTTCTAAAAGCATCTCATCCCATTTTATCAAACTTTAAAGTGGAGAGGATTCATGTCTGTCATTCTCTCTGCCCTAGGGCAAAAGATTTATTTACCTCTTTCCATTCTTTCCTTGTCTTTTACTGTCTGATGATGAATTTGCTGATACTTTGTGATCATCACCTCTTCAGTGTTGTTCACATGTTCTATCCAGCATCTCCCCAGCATTTCCTTGTGCCTTCTTCCATACCTCTTACCACTGTGGGTCCCTCTAAGGAGAAGGCTGGGTGAGAGAATTCCCTCACTGCTCTTCAGAGATCCCACTGGGGAGGCCATCTGGGCATATTCAATGCTCCTTCATGAAAAATTCATGGGCTTCTCCTCTAACTCATTTCCATCTCCAAAGGTTGATTAGAAAAGAAAAAGGAGAGAAGCATGGTAGCATGAAAGAGTCATGTGCCTTTCCATTTCTTCCATTGCTCTTTGACTGCTTCCTATCTCAGAGTTCCCAAAAGAGTGATGGGAGATATAGACAGAAGGTCTTTACTTTCCTCATTGTTGTTGCAGCCCGACCTGAGGTCAAGGCTAAAGAGTCATTCAAAACCTTTTTTTTTCTTTTTGAGTTTGCAAGCTATTCTGATCCGGCAACAAACACAAATCTCAGAGCAAACAAATCCTATAACACCGTGTGATAAAGGCAGCAACATGATGAGGAAGAAAGAACATCTGACTCCTGGTTCATCTGCAGGCCTGCTCCTGAGTAGCCAGACGACCTTCGGCAAACCCCTTCTGCTTTGTGGACCAGTATTCCATGTGTGGAATTAGGAAGTTGGACCAGACAGAGAGCTTCCTGAGGCTGTTAAAAGAAAACTTTAGACAAATTAAATTTAACAGAGTCTAATTGGGCAAAGAATAATTCATGAATTAGGGAGCCCCAGAACCAGAATAGGTTCAGAGAGACTCCAGCACTGCCTTAGTGTATAAGAAGATTTATGAACAGAAAAAGGAAAGCCATGTGCAAAAATGGAAATGAGAAACAGCCAGATTGGTTACAGCTTAGCGTCTGCATTTTTTGAACACAGTTTGAAAAGTTGGCCACCTGTGATTGGCTGAAACTTGGTGATTGGCACAAGAGTAGGTTAGTATACATCCAGTTAAGTTACAGCTCACTATGTATGGAGCAACATTTCGGTTGAACTTAACATATATCAGGAGGCAGATCTGGACTAAATTTAACAAGGCAGGGCCTATGCTTCATTGGTCTTGTACTTTTCTAGCATCTAGCACAGGTCTTGGCACATGGTAGGTACTCATGATGTATTGTCTCACTTTGAAAGCCCTTCCAGTGCCAACATTGCATGATGATGGATCAAAGATATTCCCTGTGATATTGAGCTAAGGGAGTCACTTTTCACCAGGGAGAGGATGGAGGTGTAGTTGATGAGTGTCCCAGGATCACTGATCCATCCTTTGAGGGCTCTTATCTCTTTCTTGTGTTAAGGCAATAGGACTATGAGACTGTTGCTAATACCTTTGCTACCCCAGGCCTGTCCTGTCCATCCTTTCTTTCCCTCCACCTTGCATGATCCAGGTGTTTATGCTTTGAAGTGTACCTAAGCGTTCAGTTAATATTGCAAATTACTGAAAATTCTAATTTAAGGAATCAATTTGGCACCCGGAGTGTATCCATTCTAAACACATTCTGGCTAAATTTTGGGTTCTATCTAAATCTTTGTGAAAAAGTATCCTTGCTTAATACTCCAGAAGCCCTGGGAGATTTCCCAGGCAAGCACGAAGGCACTCTAAATAGCTCATTTGGGAGCCTATTTGAGGGGGAAAGAAAGAAATCCATCCTAAGTACCCATCAGTGATTCACAAAAATAGGTCACATTTCTTAGCACATTTTTCCAGTGTTATTTTTAGAAATTATTATTTACAAAATGAGTGAATCTATTCAATACATGATCTTTTAAAAATCTTGATACATTATAAAATACGTTTTTGAGAACAAATTGTTTTCTTCCTAACAGGAGCACTTATTTATATTTTTGCAGTGTTAAACAATGGGGAAATATGATATAAACATAATATAATATGATATAATTCTATAAACAAAATTTCCCCTTAGCACAACTCTTTATGACAAGATCAGATACATCAAGCAAAGAAATATTAATGAAAATGTTCTTCTGTGCAAAATGAACATTTAATTTTGAGCTTTTTTTACATGACTCACAGATATTTGTTGCCAGTATTTTAATTCAAACTCTATTCAAAGGCCTCCAATGGTTACAAAAAGTCATTAACAATATTATTTCAAGAGAAACATGAAAGTCAAAGCATCAGGATTTATGTTTCAGTTGCTATTGGAAAGCAAGTGCTTTGAAGGGGGGAGATGTTCTGGAATTGTCAGGAAGTCTAATTAAATTGACAGAGTTTTGCCAATTATTGCATGAAGTGTGCTGCAAATGGTAGAAAACTGAAAGGGGTTTCTGAGAAGCAGAAAAGGAGCAGAGTCCAAGACTGCTAATGGGTTGATCCACCTCTAAATAGAAACCACTGGAGGCAGAGAATGAGAGAATAAGAGAAGATGTGAATTTGAGAGAGCTTAGCAAATGCCTAGGCCTGGGGCAACATACTTTCAAATAACAGTTTAAGCAGAACAGAAACAATTTGCTTTTACCTCACACATTTAAAACAAAAACTCAGACATATATGTTTTTCTGTAGCTTCCTCCTACTTGTCCCCATCCCTTAGGATGTTAGGAACTTCAGATGTCAGTTAGATGACAAGTCAGTGATTCTTGTCACATGCCAGTAATGACAAGTCAGTGATTCTTGTCACATGCCAGTAGGTCAAATTTAGTTTAAAGAATAAAACTTCCTACTTAGGAAGACAGACATAAACACATCCTTTATATTTAAAGGATCATAAAGAAAGAGGGTCTGCAGATGCCAAGGCCTTTTTCTCCCTCTTCACAGTAGCTACCCTCTTTAAGAGCCAGCTAGGTGTCAGGTTGGGGCATTTGGGGCCTGGACATCTTTCTTATTGCTTAGTACATTAGTCTGTTCTCACACTGCTATAAAGAACCACCTGAGACTGAGTAATTTATGAAGAAAAGAGGTTTAATTGACTCCAAGTTCCACAGACTTAACAGGAAGCATGACTGGGAGGCCTCAGAAACTGAATCATGGGAGAAAAGCAAAGGGAAAGCAAGCACTTTCTTCTCATGGCAGCAGAAGAGAGAAAGCGTGAGCAAGGGGGGAAGTGCCATACACCTTTAAACAAGCAGATCTCATGAGAACTCACTCATTATCAGGAGAACAGCATGAGGGAAGTCCACCCCCATGATCCAATCACTTCCCACCAGGTCCCTTCCCCAACATTAGGAATTACAATTCGAGATGAAATTTGGGTGGGGACACAGAGCTAAACCTTATAATTCCACCCTTGGCCCCTCCCACATCTCATGTCCTTCTCGCATTTCAAAACCGATCATGTCTTCCCAACAGTTCCCCAAAGTCTTAGCTCATTTCAGCATTAACTCAAAAGTCCGAGTCCAACATCTCATCTGAGAAAAGGCAAGTCCCTTCTGCATATGAACCTGTAAAATAAAATAAAAAAAAAATTAGTTACTTCTGAGATACAATGGGAGTACAAGCATTGGCTAAATGCTCCTATTCCAAAAGGGAGAAAACAGCCAACAGAAAGGGGCTACAGGCCCTTTCCCATGCAAGTCCAAAACCCAGTAGGGCAGTCATTAAGTCTTAAAGGTCCAAAATAATCTCCCTTGACTCCATGTCTCACATCCAGGGTATGTTGATGCAAGAGGTAGGCTCCCAAGGTCTTGTGCAGCTCTGCCCCTGTGGCTCTGCGGGGTACAGCTCCCATGGCTGCTTTCATGGGCTGGCATTGAGTGCCTGAGGCTTTTCTAGGCTCACAGTGAAAGGTGACAGTGGATCTACCATTCTGGGATCTGGAGGATGGTGGTCCTCTTCCCACAGCTCCACTAGGCAGTGTCCCAGTAAGGTCTCTGTGTGGGAGTTCCAACCCTACATTTCCCCTCTGCACTGCCCTAGTAGAGGTTATCCACGAGGGCTCCACCCCTGCTGCAGACTTCTGCTTGGACATCCATACATTTCCATCCATCCTCTGAAATCTAGGTGGAGGCTTCCAAGCCTTAACTCTTGCCTTCTGCACATCTGTAGGCCCAACACCATGTGAAAGCTGCCAAGGCTTGGGGCTTGAGCCTTCTGAAGCAACAACCCAAGCTGTACCTTGTCCCCTTTTAGCCATGGTTGGAGCTGGAGTTGGTGGGACACAAGGCTCCATGTCTGGAGGCTGCCAGAGCAGTGGGGCCTTGGGCCTGGCCCACAAAACCATTTTTCCCTCCTAGGCCTCCAAGCCTGTGATGGGAGGGGCTGCTGCAAAGGTCTCTGACATGCCCTGCAGACATTTTCCACATTGTCTTGGCTATTAACATTAGGTTCCTTTTTACTTATGCAGGTTTCTGCAGTCAGCTTGAATTTATCCCCAGAAAATTGGTTTTTCTTTTCTACCATGGTCAGGCTGTAAATTTTTCTAACTTTTATGCTCTGCTTCCCTTTTAAATATAATTTCCAGTTTCAGATAATTTTTGTTCATGCATATGAGCAAACACTTTTAGAAACAGCTAGGTCACATCTTTAATGCTTTGCTGCTTAGAAATTTCTTCTACCAGATACCCTAAATCATCTCTCTCAAGTTCAAAGTTCTAAAGATCTCTAGGGCAGAGTCAAAATCTTGCCAGTCTCTTTGCTAAAGCATACCAAGAGTGACCTTTACTCCAGTTCCCAACAAGTTCTGCATCTCCAGCTGAGACCACCTCAGCCTGGACTTCATTGTCCATATCACTATCAGCATTTTGGTTACAACCATTCAACAAGTCTCTAGGAAGTGTCAAACCTTCCCATATCTTCCTGTCTTCTTCTGAGCCCTCCAAACTGTTCCAACCTCTGCCCATTACCCAGTTCCAAAGTTACTTCCACATTTTCAGGTATCTTTATAGCATTGCCCCTCTCCCAGTACCAATTTTCTGTATTATCCACTGTCACACTGCCATAAAGAACTAACTGAGACTGGGTAATTTATAAGGAAAAGGGGTTTAATTGACTCAACGTTTTGCAGGCTTAACAAGAAGCATGACTGGGAGGCCTCAGGAAACTTACAATCATGGCAGAAGGGTGAAGGGGAAGCAAGCACCTTCTCATGGTGGCAGGAGAAAGAGGGAGAGTGAGGGGTAAGTGCCACACACATTTAAACCATAAGATCTCATGAGAACTCATTCACTATCTTGAGAACAGCATGGGAGAAATCTGCCCCCGTGATCCAACCACCTCCCACTAGGTCCCTCCCCCAACACTGGGAATTACAATTCAACATGAGATTTGGGTGGGAGTACAGAGCCAAACCATATCACTTACTATCATTGGCAGCCCCAGAAAGTAGCCACTGTGTTATTTCATACATTTCTCAAGGAAAACAAACCAGAATCTTCACAGAGTTTGTCTTACAGCATCCTCAGACCAGCCCTGTGGTAGAGCAGAAATGACTGTCCTGATTTTTCATATAATGTAACTGAGGCTCAGAGAGGTTAAGTGACTTGCCCAAAGCAAAAGAGTCAGTTAGTGGCAAAAATTGAACTTGAAAGTGGCCCTGATTCCAATCTCTCCTTGACAGCAACTCTTGCAGTAGATCTATTTTTCCTGATTTCATTGACTTCATCCTTGGCATTGGACCCAAAATAGAGCAGCAAATAAAATGGAATCAATGGAATTAGAACCTTTGTTAAGATAACTCTAATGTTGAGTCCATTTATAAACTGTCCAGATGTCCTGTTCCTACAACTTTTGTTCAAAGTTTAAAATTGAACATTTTTTTTTATAGCTCCTGTCTCATATACCTGAAGTTCAGGCCAGGAAGAGTCATGGAAAACTCCATAGAAAGATAGAGAGGAAAAAAGTACTTGTTCCCAGAACATCTTGTGTAATATGAAGGGGAGAACGCTCACACCAAGATCTATGGAGCACAAGAGATTGGTGGCTACAGTCCCTCACCATGAGTGGATAGATGTTATTCTTCCATTTAAGCATTTAACAAAGAGGCACTCTCCCCTTGACAATATCTATACATGGCAAATAGGAATCAATCATTTCAGCCCCCTTGGGGCTATTTGCTAAGTAATCCATCAAATAGCTGAAAGGGTAATCCAATTTGGTGGGTGTGATGACGAAGTACAGTTATTTCAATCATTTGCATCATATTCTCAAGTGGATAACTGAAGAGTTGATCAGAACCAAACTTCCAAAATAACTGAAAGAAGAAGATAGACTTGCAGTGGTGTGACCTTTGGGTGCAGCAGGTGGTGGGCAGAACAAGGGCTCACAGACATGAGGAAGGCAGATTTCTAACCCAACCCCAGAAAGACCTTCCAATCAACAGGGCTGCATACATGGGCACAGACTGACTCCATGAGAGAAGAGGCACCTGCCATGTCCAGGACACTGCTTGTAGACAGTGAGGCCCTTTGGCAAGGACTCTGTGGAGGAGATTCCTAGGTCTGGTAGGAGGCTGATCTGAGTTCCTTACCCTTAAAGAGCCTAAGGCTTCTATGATTACAGCACTACACCAGCTTATCCTCTATACTGGGGACTGCCCAGGACAAGACCATTATGAGGGTTCCAGAATATGGAACTGGTTCTACAAATGGCAAATATGTTCCATGTAGATAGGGCCTGAGTTTCTCCTTGGATGTGAATAATGTATTTAAGATGGTGACTGTAAATTTATTGAGGGGAGGGACCACATCTTATTCACCTATTTTGTGTAAGATACTCCACTGGGCACTTAAAGGAGCTATGACGGTGAGGAAAGTACAGCCTCTACCCTAAAATCACTAGGCCAATGTGGGGAGGTGAGCAGCACACTCTATAAAATGTTTGTAAATAGCACAAATCAAAGACAAAATATGAAAAGTGCCATAATAGGAAGTTTGCAAAACTCTAGGAGCACAGAAAATGGAGGCTGATTCCAACAAGGAGGATCTGTGAAGGCATCGTGAAGGAGGCAGCATTGGACCTCAAGAGATGAAAGGAATTTTGACAACAAAGGGAAAGCACTAGAGGAATAGGGAGTACTATGAGCAAAGACTTAGAGGTAGACAATGGAGGCACAGTAATGCCAAGTTGGAACCAGGCTGCCTGGATTTGAATTCCAGCTTGGCCACCTGGTAGCTATGTTTTTAAGCAAGTTGCTTAGCCTCTATGTGCCACTGTACCTAATCTTTAAAATTAGGATACTAATAGTAGCTCCCTTATGGGGTTGTTACGAAGATCACATAAGTTAATCTAGGTAAAGCATCCAGAACAGTGCCTGAGACTCAGGAAGCATTATCCATTATTTCTTTGTCATGAATGCAGTAGTCAAAACCCATTTATAGTTTTGCTCTTATCACATTCTGAGGTAATAAGTGCCTTGCTTTTAATTGTCTGCAGCTTAATGAGGCAGACAATGAAAATCGGACCACTGTTTCTCCTAATTAAAGTGTTGGAAGAACATAAGTCATCCCCAGTTTACTGATGAACAGGCTGTGCACCAAAAGCTTATTTGTACATCCTACTTTTGGAACTCTGAGGACATTTTTCCATAGAAACATTGCACTCAGTTATGTATGACTGCACTAGTCCTCCAAAGGTAGGTAAGGCACAATGGAGGAAAATACCAGGTCTGAGGGCACCAAAGGGAGTTCTAGAGTCTTCAAGCAGAAATTTCCTTTTATGGAGTGGTAGGCAAAGGAGAGATTTACCCAAAGTTGGTAATGGAAAAAGTCACTTCAATTCAACTACCATTTCCTAAACAAACCACTGTGCCTGGCACTGTGCTTGGTGCTACAGGGGGATTTTGGAGATGAATTTTGTGTTTTTTCTTTCAGTGTTACAATTGACTGGGTCTTTTCCCTCCTCCCTATTTCCTGATCTTCAGTCTCCTCAGGCTATACTAATGCTTTCACTCCAGCATTTTTTTAGGTGTGTTCCCTAACCCACTTCAGTAACAAAGAAAACAAAATGGTTGTTGGGGGTGAAGGGTCAGTTTATAAGGCAACTAAGTGTTAGAAGGAAAGCAATTGAATTGAAAACATTCACCTTGAAGTTGGAGCTACAAAGTAGGCAGGTCAATCCAGTCCTCCATCCACCCACTGGATACTCCTCTTACTTTTTTATTCTGCCAAACCTGTGTGCTCCGAGAAAGCATCAAGTTATTTGCACAAGAATTTCCCCCCAGTTAAATGACACTTCAGCTAGGGAACAGGGGCAAAGATGGAGTGGGAAGATGCTGAGATGATAATCACTTTTAAGTTAAGGACTGGATTTGGCCTGACTCATCTATCATCTTCATTTGTTTTCTTGCAACTTGTGTGTGTGTGTGTGTGTATACTTGTTAGACTGAGGGAGGGAGATGGTCTGAAGTTCACATATAGAGAGCCTTCTTGGCAACAAGAACCATCCCCTACCTTGATCACATTGACCAAACATCTGGCTGATAGGCCTAGCAGCTGACATCATTTAAGATCTGGAAAGGTGGAATTGGTGACAAGCGCATAGCCCTAGGTCTGTGATGTATTGGCCCCACTCCCCACAAGCCTCAGGTTTGTGATGTATTGCCCCCTGCTCCCCACAATGTGCTCAGTGAGGGAAAAAAGTCTTCTCCCAGAGGTGATGAAAAGTTTGACATGGCCAAGGAAGTTTCCTTTTAAATGAATTTTCCATAACAAAGGTGTTGAAATTAAAAGCCAGCCTCTAGGGTTTCTGATTTCAAAATAAGCAAGTCTCTGGTTATTGTCATATATCAACTCCATGTCATAGAGAAATACACAAATATTTTTCTGCAAAAGCTAATGCAGACAGGCAGCAAGTTCCCTTTTAGCTAAACTTATTTAAAAACTCTCAAGAGAACAAATCTGAATTGATCATGGAACTTGATCAATGATGACTAAGTGTGGCTCCACATTGATTTGTCTTGCATAGGAACAGACCTAGTTAAATGACAAATAAACCCCAAAGCCACTCCCTTCAGCAATATGTGAGTGCAACTCCCACCTCGATTCTTTTGACTTGTTTAACCTCTATATTGTATTAATTTTTTTTCTGAAGAGATTTTTCTTCTTAGAACAGAGGGAAAGTGACACATAGTGAACAGTCAATGTGCTTCCAAATTTAACTGGTAATTTTTTAAAGAGAAACTTATATTGACTTTTAAAATGTAGAAAATTGATGAAGGCAAATGAATCCTCAGATCCATTAGATGAAATCACTTTTTGTTTTCCAGTTTGCTAAGATAGAATCTCAAAATAATACAGATATAATATTGGTGACAGCCAACAAAAATATTTGAGGTAACAGAAGGAATGAAACTTTTTAATCAAATGCTTAATCAAAGTTTTAATCAAACATTCTCTGATGGCTCACCAATGGAAACATTAAATGAATGTAAAATATGCTTTGTTACGATATCTCTACCGTTTGGGAGCAGGTATGTGGGATGGGGGCCTTTACTGGTCCCACAGTTCCTGGGCCTATCTTATGTACTGTTCCTGGTCTGTGGTTTTCTGTCACACTCAGTGCTTCCCTACTGCTGACCTCAAAATGCACACACTGTGCTCCTGCCATAGTGTGTGGAGGTCACGATGGAAGGATTGAGAGTAAATTTCTGCTTTATAGGCTTCTTTTCCTCGGCTCAACTCTCAAATGTCAGTGAGTCTCAGGGTTCTTCTGCCCTAGACTGTCCTTTTTCCCCAGACCACATATTCTCCAGGATAAGCTCAGTCATTTTTGTGGCTTCAGTTACTAACTACACATACGATGGTATAGACCCAACTACCTACTGGTCGTCTTTATCTGAATGGCCTTCAAATTCAGCATGTCTTTCCTGTAAACTTTTGTATTTCTGATGCTAAATGGCATCTTCATCTGCTAATCACCCAAGCCAGAAACCTGAAAGTCATCCTAGACTCCTTTGTGTCTTCCAAACCCACATACAATCTATCATTAACTCCTGTTGATTCTATCTTCTGAGTACCCTCTCTAATCTGTGAATTTTTCTCCTTTCCTACTATACTATTTTTAGTCCAAGGCACTCTGTCTCTTGCCTGGACCTCCACTTTCCCTTCACCCACTTACAATCCATTCTCCACACTGCACCCAGAATGATGCTGCTAAACTTAACTAAACAAAGCAAAATCACAATCTGATCCTGTCACTCCCCTCCCCTTGAGAAACAGGCATTGCTCCCCACTGACAATAGAATCAAGTTTAGCCTTGTCTTCCACCACTGGAGGCCTCCTTATTTCTGGAGCAAACCATCTTGGCTCTTCCAGGCCTCTGTGCTTCTAGACAATCTATCCTCTTTGACTAAATTCCCAGTATAGCATAGTGGTAGTTAAGGTAACAGGTTTTGGAATCAGATAGATCTAGGTTCAAATCCTGGCTCTGCCTTCTACCTGAACTAGCTGTGTGGCCTCAGTCAAGTTAATCTCTCTGAACCCCAATTTTCTCATCTCTTAATTGGAAATAGCAAAAGCACTTACTGCACAGAAATAAGTGAGCTAGTACTTGTGACACACATTATTCCCTGCTTTCCCAATTGAGTGAGTGCCCAGCTGAGACCCAACTTAAATATCACCTCTTCTGTAAAGCTTTTCTTGGCTAATGGCACCATAGTTGGTCCTTGTCTCCTTTGTATTCCATTGGGCACTTTTGTGCACTCACAGTTTTTGCCACTTGCCCACTTGCAGTGTAAGTATTTGTTTGTACCTCTGTGCCCTCCTTAGCACCTAGCACAATACCCAACACAGTGAGCACACAGTAAAGCATTTGGTAAATGCTGAATGAGTGAGGCTGATTTTGGAATGTCAGATTTGTCCTCCAGATTTGAAGGCATAATATATCACAGAGCAACCTCAGCAATGAGGAGGAAGGGATTCTCTTAGTGCTGTAGTTTTCCTCCAGTATTTTTATTTATGAAATAGAACTGTTTGCCAAGTTTTTGTTTATCTGTAATTCTGACTAGTTCTCCCTCTCTGTCCTGTGAGGGGAGATTTTCAGTGATAATTCCACCTAAACATTCAGAGCTGTCAACATTTACCTACACCCCTCTGCTCTGCCAGAGATTGCATCTGGAGAAGCCAAAGGCAAAGCCATATTCAGCCCAGACCATTTTTCCTTCTCTCTGCGATGAGTATCCTACACGTGGCCCTTACCCTTTCTGGGCCTCAGTTTCCCCATCTGTTACCTGAAGCCTCACTAGATAATCTCGAAGGCCCTTCTCAAGGAGGAAGTTCTCTGATTATAACTAACATTTGCCTGTGGGTGCGTAGAAATTATGTTATGATTATAAAACACATGTTATCTCTATGAAATAAAATCCATGAGGTATTATCATCTCTATTTTTTCAAATTAAACTGAGGCTGGAATAACTAGATCAGTCCTACAACTCCCACAGAAGTTGCAGGCAGCTCCTATGAATCCACATCCCTTGCTGTAGCCTGTTGTTTAAGGTCTTCCATGTAGACCAAGCTGAGCAACATGTCTCTCTGTGGTGTGTGCTTGAAAAAGCCATGTCTTAGCTGGGCATGGTGGCGGGCGCCTGTAATCTCAGCTACTCCGGAGGCTGAGGCAAGAGAATCGCTTGAACCCGGGAGGAGCCGAGATGATGCCACTGCACTCCAGCCTGGGTGGCAGAGCAAGACTCCATCTCAAAACAAAAACAAAACAACAACAACAAAAAAGAAAAAGCCATGTCTATTGCCACAGCTGTTCTCAGGACCATCATCATTGAGGGAAGGGCACAGAGCACTGATGAAGACCCCAGGTGAATTTAGGGGAGAAAGTGCTTAGTCAATGGGTGGCCTTTCAGAGAAGGTGGCTGTGGATCTCATTCTCTCAGACCAGTGAAAAAGTGATGAAAACAAAGAAAAATAATGGAATAAAACTGAATATAGAGATCCTCAGTTAGGCTCATAGAGGCAGAAACTATTTTTACAGGATTGGGTTACATCAATACAATGTTTCTGAAGACATCTTAGATTCATAGATTTAATTACTGTCCCATATCCCCAAAAGCAGATCACCCCGAACTGAAAAAATGCTACCTTTGAGAAAGGAACTGGGTTATATATTCCACTGACTCAAACGATTTTTTAATCTGGAAAAGGTGTTAGAGATCACTTAGTCTGACACCCTTATTTTACATACATAGGAACTGAGGTCTCGAGAGGTGAATTGACTTGCCGAAGGTCACACAGAAAATCAGTAGAGAAGTGAAATGAGGATCTGGGACTCCCAACTCCCAGTCTAAGTCTCTTTTTATTATACCTTGTTTTATTTATTTAAATCCAGATGCTAAGTGCGACAATACCCAGTGGAAGAGAAAGGAAAAAAGAAAGATTAATTTATGTTTCTGTTTAAAGCAGAAAAAGTGCTAAAACCAAAATGACTCTTAGATTATAGCCATTAATCAGTTAAAATCATATGAAAATATCACAACCACCATTACCAGCACCTCCTCCCCACCACCACCACACCCACGTACACATACACCCTGTTTGCCATGAAAAATTCAGATCTGTTAGTGATCAAAACCAGCTCTGGGTCTGGAATAGCCTTTTCTGGGAATATATATACAAACTTTGGCAGGAGTTCAACCAGCGCAGCTCAAACATCCACACCCACACCAAATCCTGGGCAATATCAGTCTCCTGTCAAATGCAGACATTTTCTGGGAACTTGAGGATGATGATTATGGCAACCTGTGGCCCTGAAGGCTCACAGGCCAATCTAGGTGGATTTGATTAAGCCAATGGGTGTAGCAGAATAAGCTTTAACATTCCATCATTTTATCATTCTTCATAAAATTAAGTATCAAAAATAATCTCGTTAGGAAAATTATCCTATATTTCATATCTTCTCAAGAGCCGAAATTCAGACTTAGAGGAAGAGTTGGTTTGTTTCCTCTATTTCATAACTTTCACATTCTTGTGAGCATGATCTTCACTGGCTTAGGATTTTGAACACTCTAAAAGGGTCACTTCTAAAAGGTAGGTAAAAGTGATGATGTGGAATCAGTGTTACATGAGATTATGACTTTTGCTATGGAAGCAGGACCTTGGATAGCATTTGTGCTGCTAAGTGTGGGGTTAATGGGGTTCTTCACCCAGGCATTTGGATGCCTGAGTGGCTCACTGGATGGAGCAACAAGACTAGCTCGAGAGTCCACTTGCTGAGGATGGGGTAAGATGGTGAGAGCTCCCATCCCCATGCCAGGCTCTGTTGTTCAGGGACTGAGTAGGGTTAATCCTAAGAGTGAAAGATCTTCAGTTCTTGAGATTGAGTAGAGCTTGACCAGTTAAGGACTGACATCAACTCTCAGTAAGTAGGTGACCAAGTGGAGAAGAAGGAAGAAGACATAGAAAAGCAAAACCATGAAAGATTAGGAAATGAAATGGCAAAGGAAATCCTGGTTTTAAAAAAAGAGTTGGGAATTGATGAACTTGAAGGTAATTCCATAGAATTAGCTAGGAACATAGTGGAAATATTCTGGGAAATGCCTCACAGACCCAATTACTCAGTTACTATCTTAAGTTGACCAAAAGAGGAAATAGGATTTCCCCAAAAAGAAGGGCACCAGAAAGATGCCCCAACCCTTGCTCTCTTAGAGACTTTGAATCCAACGGATGACGCTTATACAATAAAGAGTATGTAAGTCCAGGTGCAAAGAAAGAGCTTATTGAAAGGACTTAAAATGATAAAAGACAAAAGAATCGGGCTGCTGAGGAAAATGATCTCTAATACTGAACTTCAGAAGTATATGAGTGCATTAGTGGCTTAAGTGGCCAATAGGGCCAAGCATTGCAGAGAAGAGGAGGAGGAAGCCAAAGGAAGGGGAGCAAAGGAGGGGAAGCAAAGCTTAACTGCAATGCTGCCTGAACTCAAATGGAAAATAATCAGTCTTATGTAAGGTTTTCTATAGAAACCACAGGCAATACATATATAGAATATATAGAAACCACAGGCAATACAATATATTTGAAATGCAATTTCAAATGGAAAATAATCAGTCCTACGTGAGGTTTTCTATGGAAACCACAGGCAATACAAAGGTCAAGCTGAGGCAACATGAATGAGCTTCACTTCATCACCTCATGTCTTCACTTCATCACCTCATCCCTTCACCTATCATGTCTTTATTAATGAAATCTGGCTTTTGCCCCTTCCACTCTCAGATCGTTCTGGCAAAGGTCATTCATTCATCCATGCAACAAATATTTAGTAAGGACCTACTCAGTGCTTTGCACTGAGCTGGGCACTTGAAATTCAGACAGAATTAGACAAGGTCCCTGCCCTCAAGGAGCTTTTAGTTGTGTAAGGAGACATATTTATGTAATCAAGCAAGCTCTCTCAAGTCTTTAATGGTCTACAACAGGAATTTTTGCCTGAATGGCATTGTCCCCAGGCACTTTCATGTTTTAATATCTTTGCTCGTGCTGGTGCCTCTGATTACAATCCCATTTACACCCTCCTACCTCCTACCTCCTGTTCACCATTCAAGGTCTACATCAAATATCATCTTCTTTATATAAATAATTGTTCTCTCCATTTCTATATCTTTTTCTCCCAACTATTTCTAAAAATCTCTGTCTCATCATATTATTTTACTTGTTTGCTTATAGCTCTCCCCCTCTACAGAGAGGGCCAATTAATGAATCTATCTCTGTATCTCCAGTGCTCAAAACTGTATATACTTTGGAATGAATGAATGCATGCATGATTAAACGAGTTGGCTGATGAGCTTAACCACCATAACACTAGCTAACTAAGTAACTGCCTCTCAATTCTCTCTTACCTTCATGGATGTCCAGGGCAGTTTGGGGGATGTGTGTGTGTGTGCACGTGCTCGCGTGTTCTATTGCTTTGTTGTTTGTTAATCAAGTTTTTAAACTATCATCTTTGCTCTCCACCTTTTTTTGGCTCTAATTGGGGTAGCTGGAAGTCTGGCAGAACTGGTTTTGAGGCAGCAGAATATCCACAGTGAGTACCTATCATCTAGGACTAAAGCACTCTGAAGAGAAACTGATCCTCCAACCTGCTGCTCAGAGACCCAGGGATCCCAATTTTGGGCTTCAGAGTCTCAAGTTTATGTCACCATCACTCCTTGAAACAATGCGTGTTTATCCCCTTATCTCCTAGCATGTTGCCAAGAGGTTTTCATTGTTGAGTTCCTTTCCATTTCTTCTGCAGATCCCAGCACGCTCCTGTGGCACTTTGTCACAGCGTTTTCACCAGTCAACTTGCCGGACCTCTTGGCTCTTCTGTGAGATGGTTGTTGCTAACATAAAATGAAAGCCAAGGTTTTATATAAAATTCCTCTGTATTGTCCTTAAATTATAGCAGAACTCATTAGATTTCAACAGAGTTACTCAGACTTAAAAATTAAATTTCAGAGAGCCTTCTGTGCTTCCTCTTGGTTTTCATTTGACACCAGGCATTCTCTACTTAAAGATAAAGCATTAAAAATATAATTTGGAGATTTATTTATATCATTTATTTACATCATATGATGAGTACTTACTATGTTCCAGACACTGTTCAGGTTTCTGAGGCTACATACAGTAACATATAATACAGATCACAGTATCTTCCTTTATAAGGTTTACAGCCAAGGGTATATATAATGCAGGCAGCTATGAAAGTGGGGTGAGGATGGCAATGGGGGGATGCACAACAGCAAGTAACCTGTCAAATACGTAAAATCACCGCAATTTGTTAATAAGTGCTATGAATGGTGTGATCAGATGTAGATCTTCCAAGGACAGCACATTTTAAGTTATATAAAAATTAGTTCCCGTAAGTGCCTATTGAAACATCACTGAGAAGATAGAAGAAGGAAAGAATAAAGAAGGAAATAGAAAAAGGCACCTGGAATTTTAATTGTAGTCGAACCACTTTCAGAGATTCTTTGAAGGCTCTGAGCAAGGGAGACAATGCTATTTCTAGGCCTCCTTGGTGTCCCCTAGCTGTCTGTCTCCACTGCCAGGAGAACTACCTGTAAGATTGCTCTGCCACTGGCTCTTAATGGACTTTCTCAAGGCTTCCCTGGTTACATATCCCATGGTTATGAGCCCCACCACCCCACTACCCTACCACCCCATTTCCCTGACATAATTTCCTTTAACTTCCTCAGTCGAGTCTTTTAGTTGAAGGGAATGTTTTAATTTTATTTATAACTTTAAAAATGGTCAATTTGGTGACTCATTAGAGAAGTCATACCCTACATTTGAATACTTTGTTATCTTCCCTTGAAGAATCACAATGAAGGATATGAGAGGGAGACAATGTGCTTAGTGAAATGACCATTATATAGGGAGTTAGGATACCCAGTTTCTAGTCCTGGTATAGCCATTTACTCACGCTGTGACTCAGAGAAGACCATAGTATATCTCTAGACCTTGGCATCTCCGCCAGGACAATGGGGGAGATGGGTGTGTGTGAAAAATTCAGAATAAGCAAAACTTGGAAAATCAAGACAAGGCATTTCAAATAATCTAGTCTAGTGCTTGGCTACAAAACTATTCACAAAATCTTAGCCCATCACAGAACTCTGTCCTTACAAATCATGCCATGCAGCACTGGCCCTAGAAAGCAGCTGCACTGTTTTCTAGGCTGACACCAGTTTGGACATCCTGGATTAGTACACAAACTAAATAGTTATAAAATACTGAAATACAAAGTGATTTCTGTGTCTGAAAAGACTAAATACAACCAATGCTATGCTCTGGGTTGCTGAGTAGCAACAAGAATGACCAGTTATTTTGGCCAATAATTTTATTTCAGGTGCTCCTTTCCACGTGGAAGTGATTTCTAGGTGTGCTCAGCCTGGGTCCTTCCCCAAAAGAAGATGGTGCTCTCATGTGTTCTCAGATGGGCTGCTTGCACGTCCTCTTACCTGTATAGAAAAGAAAGCCTGTGTTTTTCTTCTTCCTGCTTCTGTATAATAAATTGCCAGACTAAAACTGAGCTGTTCAATAAATATTTCTTTTTATTACTGGAACTACCAGAGACCCAGGGCTTGGCTCTGTAATTTATGATGGTGTTTGCTCTCTCACTCTCTGCTAAGTTTTTCAAGATATAAAAAGTTTTGGCAGGCTCTGCTAGGTCTGATTTGAAAGCCAATTCTTATTTCTTCTATCTGTCTCGGTGTGTCTCCCAAATTCATCATCTTTTCTTCTCCAATCTCTGTGCCTCTTCCCATGGTCAGGCCTTTATCATCTCATATCTAAACCATTGCAGTCGTCCCCTCACTACTCTCCTTATGGGACTCTTCCTAAAGCAGAACTCTGATCCCAGCACTTTTGCTCAGAAACCTTCCATGACTCCCCATTTCCTATGGAATTAGGTCTAGATTCTTCTATTTTCCATTCTCAACTATATTCCTAAATTGTCTCCCACTGCTCAACTTCCTGAACTCTCTTTTATAAATTATGAAATATCTCAGATATATACAAAAGTATGGAGAACAACATAGAAAACATCCATGTGGTCACCACTTAGCTTTTTCAGGTCCTAAGAATTTGCACATTTGCTTCAGTTCTCTCTCTCTCTCTTTTTTTTTTTTTTTTTTTTTTGAGATGGAGTTTCACTCTTGTTGCCCAGGCTGGAGTGCAGTGGTGCGATCTCGGCTCACTGCAACCTCTGCCTCCCGGGTTCAAGCAATTCTCCTGCCTGAGCCTCCTGAGTAGCTGGGATTACAGGCATGTGCCACCACGCCCGACTAATTTTGTATTTTTAGTAGAGATGGGGTTTCTCTGTGTTGGTCAGGCTGGTCTCGAACTCCTGACCTCAGGTGATCTGCCTGCCTTGGCCTCCTAAAGTGCTGGGATTATAGGCATGAGCCACCGTGCCCGGCCCAGATCTCATTTTTAAGACAAAATACTAAAGTTCCAATTGATGCAATTCCCTCCTTACTTCAATTCCTGTCTTCCTAGAGCTAACCGCTATCTTAAACTTGTCTTTTTTATCATTCCCATGTATGTTTCTCTAATTTTATTACAGGTTTACACATTCTGAAACTATATATATAATATATATATAATATATATAAATATATACATATATAACTATATATACATATGTAACTATATATGTGTATATATATACATATACATATAATTGTTTTGTATGCATTTAAACTTTACATAAATGACAGCACACTTCAGCCTCCCACAATGTGCTTTCTTCACTCAATACTGTGTTCTTGTAATTTTTCGTGTTGATACATATACACTATAACTCATTTACTTTTACTGCTGCTATAGTATTATTTTATGAATATACTTCAATTTATCTATTCTCCTGTTTCTTTTTTCAATTTTTTTTACTATTGCAGAAAATATTGCCATGAATATTTATGTACAAGTCTCCTTCTGCACAGTGAGAGATCGTTTTTCTAGGATATTTCCTTCTTAGGTCTGGAACTGCTAGGTGTTCATTTTCAGTTTTACCAGATATTGCCATACTGCTTTTCTAGGTTGTATCATTTTGTACTCTTACTTGCTATTAGAGTTCTGGTTCCTACACACCCTTAAGATATTTAGTATTATCAGTCTTTTAAATATGTGTCTATTATATGAATGTGAAATGGTATTTTATTGTAGTTTTACTTTGTGTTTCTCTCATTGCTAGTGACGTTGAACATATTTTTATACGCTTATGGCTATTAGATTTCTACTATTGCCTGTTAACATTAATTGCCCATTTTTTGCATTGTTTTGTCTTTTTCTTGTTGATATTATGAATTCTTTGTTAATTCTGGATATTAATATTTTATAAGTTATATGCATTATATGTATCTTCTTGTTTGTGGCTTTTCTTTTCACTCTTTTTATGGTGTCTTTTATTGAGTAGATATTTTACATTTTAGAAAGGCAAAATTTATCAGTCTTTTTAATGGTTTGTGTTTTTTGTGACTTGGTTAAGAATCCCTTCCTTAATCTAAGGCCATAATGACATTTCCCTATACTTTCTTGTAAAAGTTTAAAATTTGATTTTCACTTTAGCACTGTAGCCCACTTGGGATTACTTCTTGCATATGGTTTAAGGTAAGAATAAATACCTATTATTTATATTTTTATTTGTCATTATGTGAATACCTAATTTTCCCTTGCCATTTATTGAACAGTTTTTCTTTTCCTCACTGTTTTTGTTTCTTTTTTTGAGGTGGAGTTCTACTCTTGTTGCCCAGGCTAGAGTGCAATGGCATGATCTCCGCCCACCCCAACCTCTGCCTCCAAGGTTCAAGCAATTCTCCTGCCTCAGCCTCCCGAGTAGCTGGGATTACAGGTATGAACCACCACACCCGGCTAATTTTGTATTTTTGGTAGAGATGGAGTTTCTCCGTGTTGGTCAGGCTGGTCTTGAACTCCCGACCTCAGGTGATCCACCTGCCTTGGCTTCCCAAAGTGCTGGGATTACAGGTGGGAGACACCGCGCCCGGCTTCCTCACTGTTTTTCATACATCTCTTTTATATATAATTTCCATAAATGTGTGGTATGTGTCTGAGTTCATTGTACTGTTTCATTGATCTGTTTGCCTATCCCTATGCAATACCACATTGTCATAATGTTCATTGTTTTAGAATAAGACTTGATATGTAGTAGAGAAAACCCCTTACCTTGTTTTACTTGTTAAGATTTTGCTGGTTATTTTTGGCCCTTTGATTTTCTGTATAAATTTTTTAAATCAGCTCATCAAGTACCACAAAAAGTTAAGATTTTGACTGAAAGTACGTCGCACATGTAGAATAATCTGGAGAATTGACATCTTTATGATATTTAGTTTTTTGCATCCATAAGCATAGTATATCTTACCATTATTTAGGTCTCCTTTTATGATTTTTAAACAATGTTTTAGAACTTTATTTATAAAGATTTTGCATGCACTGTCATAGATTTTTGTCTAAGAATCTTATAATTTTGGTTGCTATTGTAAATATTATGTTTAAAAATTATATTTATATCTTACCATTACTTAAGTCTCGTTTTATGATTTTTAAACTACATTTTAGAACTTTATTTATAAAGATTTTGCATGCACTTTCATAGATATCTGTCTAAGAATCTTATATTTTCAGTTGCCATTGTAAATAGTATATTTTAAAATTATATATTCTAATTGTGTGTTCTTAATTTGCTTTCTAACCCATTGTAATCAGGATCTTACCTCACTATTCTGCTAAAATTATTCTCATTTATAGCTCCCAACTAAAAAAAAAAAAAGTCAAATGGACACATTTCAGGCCTTAATTTTTGTAGCATTTTATATTCTTGATTACTTCCTTACTCTTGAAACAACTATTTCTTCATTTGTCTCCATGAAATCATGTTTCTGTTTTCCTCCAACTTTTTGTCAGTCTTTTATAAGTTCATACATTTCTTCCTAAATATTTGTTTCTTAGTTCTTGACTCTCTTTTCTCTGATCATGGGTGATTTCCCATGGCATCTGCCACTCCATCTATGCAGTGAATCTATGCGAAACTCCTCTATCCTGAGATCCAGACCCATAAAGCCAATCACCACCTGGAATTTCTACTTAGACGCACCATGGCTTCCTAAACTCAACATATCCAAAAGGTAGCTCAACATTTTCACTTTTCAATCTGCCTTTTTCTTGTCTTCTCAATATCAGTGCATGATTCCTCCATCTACTCAGGTGCTCAAGCCAGAAACTTGGGAGCCATCCTTGACTCTTCCATTCCCTTCACATCATTACCTGCTTTGTGGATTCCACTTTGACACAGCAGTCAGAGTGAACATTCCAAATTGTAATATGATAATATCACTCTCCTGATTAAAATTCTTTAGATTTCCCTATAACCTGACTTTCAAGACCTTTCCTGTTCTAGCCTTGCTAGTGTTAACACAGCCTTCCCCAAATAGGCCTTTGTCTAACTTTCTAGCCTCATCTCAGCTCATATCTACTTCTCTTATATTTGCTATCATGGTTAATGACATTCCACCTCATTTGCCTAAGTCAGAGACCCAGGATTGATCCTTGATTTCTACTGCTTTATTCATCCCATTGGCCACCAAGTCCTGTGTATTCTTAATCCTAATATTTCTCATGATTATCCATCTCCTTTTATATATAATGCCAGTATCCTAATTCAGTGTACATCACATTCCTTTTCATGTTCTTGATTCCATGTGCACAGTAGACTACTTGCAGTCCCTAAAAGCACCACACCATTTCATATCTCCATGTTTCTGAACAAGCTTTGCCTTTCCCTCTTTCATAAATGCTTTTCTTTCTTCCTTCTCAACTTAGCCTCCAGGCAAATTCTTCTCCAACCTTCAAGACTCAGCTCAAGTATCCCCTCCTCTAGGAAGATGGTCTTGACTCTTTTAGGTAGAGCTGTTAGACTGGGAACAACTTGAGGGCAAGGGTTGTGGCTTACTTAGTCATCTCTGTATTCTTAGACTTTTACATAGGACTTGGTGTATAGTAGATTCTCAAAAATGTTGGCTGGAAGACTTGAATGATCAATGTTTCTTCTGCACCACTAAGCTGTCCCAAACTGTCTACTTAACCTTACCTGAGCACACAATGAACCCTCCTGCCTTGTTAATTCTATTGTACCACTTGCCTGTCTTCTTCCATTGGCACTGGCCCAGTAAGCTTGGATTATCATCATACTACAACCTCTTTAAAACAAGTTTTATCATGCCCATGGCAGAGATTTGGAGAGAGCAAGCTTGTGTCTGCAAGCAGATTAGAATGATATAAATGTCTCAACAACACCTTCTTGCTCCTGCACTGAAGAACATTTTCTCTTTTTCTTGTGCAATACTTTTAGGTACATTTATTAAAGCAATCACAAAACAACTCAACCATACCTGGCTGCACATCCTGCACATGTACTTCAGATCTTAAAATAAAAGTTAAAAAAATAAAGTAGAAAAGTATCATTAATAGGAAAATAACAGCCAATGTAAGAAAAAGGGAAGCTTAAATCTAAAACAAAGTGAGACTTGCTAAAAAATGATGACATGGTAACTGGAGGAAAGGAGAGGCCATTTAAAATTTACATTCTGATTAAACACGCATTCAACAGTGGAGAACATGTCCACTATAAGAAGGCATTACAGTATTAGAAAAAGAAAAGATGCTTAAGTCCTATTTTATTTTAATCTTTTCTGTAAAACAGAATCTTCGGGGGCAGCTACATGTGAAAGACTTGAACTATCACATAAGTGAACTGATGAAAAAGCATCTAGGTGTTCTGAATAACATTATATTCCCCTTCCTGAGGGACATTTTCTTTCATCCATTAATCCATCCACCTATCCCCTTAACAGATATCTGAGGTTATTTCTGGGAAGAAGAAAGCTATTTCCAAGTTCACTGGAGGCCTCCCTCAGAGTGGACTGGAACCTGTGAAGACGGGAGTTTCAAACTGCCTAATCTATTAAGAGATCCTGAGTTTATCCTCCTTGAGGTGACCACACACCATTTTTACCGAAGTAACAAATCACAGACAAATATTTGACATCAAAGATCTTCCCAATTCTAGTCTCTAACCAAACAACATTGTTTCAGAGAGTCATAGAAAAAAAAAAAAAAAAAAACCTTTCTGAAGTAGAAGGTCATCAATGAGATGTTGTAGAAAGAGCATTGAATCAGGAGTCAGAGAAACCAAACTGTAGTCCCTTCTCTGCCATCCATCAGTCTTGTTACATCTCTGCACTTTGACCTCCCCCAGCCACAATACAGGGAAAACAAAAGGAGCCTACACAGCCAACTTCATGAGACATCCTAAAAGAGCAGTGAGAGAAGAGATAGGAGTCTTCCTTGTGTTAGTTATCAGGAAACTGATTTTATCCTCCCTGCTAGACAGCAAGATCTTTAATTTCAGGAATTGTTATTGTCTTCATTCCATCAATCAACAAATATTTATCAAGTGCCTACTATATGCCAGGCACTAAACTAGGTGTTGGGGATACAGCAGTGACCAGGACAGACAAAAATACCTGCTCTCATGGGGCTCACAATTTGAAAAGGCAGACAGTGAAAAAGCAACTGTGAAACATGATGAGAGTTCTAAACAGAGAAGCACAGGATGCGATGAGAGTACAAAGAAGAGGCTGCAGACACAGTGGTGATAACAACTGCCCTGGTGCTTTCCCAGCCCTGCTCAGAAGGTAGGATAGCCCCCTCTCTGAGACCATCTCCACATGGTGCACTATACAAACTTGACATGAACATGCATAAAGTATCAATAGTATTTTAATACTATGGTAAAAATACCATCATGAATTGCAAACCCAAATATATAAACCAAGCTTTATTCTCTGATAGACATTTATGGAGTTCCCTTTTATACCATGCAGTATTCTAGATGCATAAGACATGGTTTCTACCTCACAGAGCTTACAGCTTTGTGGATTTGTTATGGATTTTTAAAAATAGTGACTCACGTTCCATCTCGGTGGCTCACACCTATAATTCCAGCAGTTAGGGAGGCCAAGGCAGATGGATCACCTGACGTCAGGAGTTCAAGACCAGCCTGACCAACATGGTGAAACCCCATCTCTACTAAAAAAAAAAAAAATACAAAAATTAGTTGGGCATGGTGCCTGTAATCCCAGCTACTCGGGAGGCTGAGAGAGGAGAATCCCTTGAACCCAGGAGGCAGAGGTTGCAGTGAGCTGAGATCGTGCCATTGCACTGCAGCCTGGGCAGCAGAGCAAGATTTTGTCACCAAAAAAAAAAAAAAAAAAAAAAAAAAAGGCACAAAAAATATTTAAAAATAATGACACAATGACACCTTTGTTCTATTTAGGAAATAGAACAAAGTGTTAACAACTGTGGTTGCTTTTGACAGATGAAACTACCGTTTTTTTGGTTCTATGTTTCTGTGTTTTTCAAATGTTGTATAATGAGCATAAGTTACTTTTACAATGTAAAAAATAAATGTTATTGAAACTTTTAAAAATTAGAAAACGGTGACATACATTTTGCAGCTACACACCAAAACAGGACATTTTTCAAACTGATCTTAGAAGCTTGATTTGTTGTAACCTGAGCCAGTGCCATTCATAAATTCCCAGTTTCCAGCTTGTGGTTTTAGTTACCATGGAAAGGCACAAGGCAATTAGAAATACACCTTTGAAATTGTATGGAAATATAGTCTTCTGTGTACGACTTACGAAAAATCAAAGTTCAGAGAAATGGTATAAAAAGCACCCAGCGATCAAATGTACAAGATAAATATTTTGCCTCTTTTCTCCTAACAAACAAGAAAATAATGAGAAGAAACGTGATTGTTATAATATTTTAGAAAGAGATATGAGAGAGAATAAAAAAGATGAAAAGAAATCATTGCATAGAAACAGCAACAATTACCAAAGAAAAGGAAAATAAATAAAGGGAAAAAGAGCAAGGAGGGAAGGGGAAGGATAGGCTAAGAAATGTTTACATGTAGAAGTAGACATGAGTAAGGCTTGCAGACAAGCACATTAGGACCCCAGAGAACTGACAATGGTGCGGAAGTTTATGTTCAATGCCAGAGTGAGTGAGTAAATGCCAACTGGTTAGTTTTAGAGTTTGGGAAGAGTTCGAGAAAGATCAAGAACCCAAAGTAAAAGATACAGGACTCCAAGGCAGTCAGTTGAAGTAATGAGGTACAGTAGTGAAAGGGCATGGAGACCTATGCTTGGCATCTGGGGGTAACTAAGGGGGTGGGGGGGCATTTACTTGCCCTTGAGTCCAAGGGTGAGAAGTGTGAGCCACTGTTCAGGGCACTGGGGAAAGGCTGCACACTGGGATAAGGTCTATGAGCTGCAAAGTGGGTTTCCACCCATTAGCTTGTCAGACCCACCTAACCATGAGGTGGTTAGGATATTATCTATCACCACTTTTACAGGCAGACAAACTGAGAGCAGTAACATGGCTGTTGGTGAAGATCATGCAATGGTGAGGCTAGACTAAAACTGGCTTTTGAGTGTGGTATCTCTTCCCCTGTACCCCCATTTATCTCAAAATGAATTGATCCTGAGAAAAGCTATAGCTGTACCCAGGTAATTCACCACTCACCAAAGCACAGCAGCTATCCTCATCCCCCACTCTAACTACACACACACACACACACACACACACACACACACACACACGAGAACTGACCCAGATCCAGCTTGGAGCTCTCCTAGGTCCAGGATGGAACTAAGGCTCCAGCAATGATGTGTATTCCTCAGATAGAAAGCACAATGGCCCAATGGCCCAGGGACCGTAGAAGCCCAGGAAGCATCTCTTGAAGAAATAACAGGACTGCTCTGGGTTTCCTGCCTTGGTGATAATGGTGGATGCAGGATCATAAAGCACATTTGAGGACCTGAGCAACTAGTCAGAGTAGAGAGGTGCGGGGCAGGGTGTGCAAGCCTCTTCTTTGTATTTACTTAGGGGAGGGAAGTACTGGTTACAGGCCTGAGCCTTTCACCAACAGGCAAATTAAAAAAAAAAAAAAAAAAAAGCCTTGTCCAGAGATGCAGGCTGCAGAAGCGCCTTGTCACATTCAAAGCAAATGGGAAGAGAGGGGTCTGGGACCAGTTTAAATCGAGTGAGTGTCCATCAGCTGAGACTATGAAGAGCCTGAACTTATTGGATGAAGGGCTTTGGGGTGAAGAAAGGAAATTCTTTATCTTTGCTTAAAAATCATGTGTGCATTTGTGCAATAGTTCTGCCTCAACAGGTCTTACCTGCCACTCTCTTCCCTAGGGAAGCAGCAGAGTGGAATGAGACAGGCCTGTGTCAAGAGTAGAGGGCAGAGTCCTGCAGTCCAATCCCAGCAGAGAAACTTAGCTCTTGGGTAAGTAATCCTGTCTGTGATCTGACGCCTCTGAGCTTCCCTTTCCCGATCTTTCAGATTGTGGGGAGGGGCAGGGTAATGCCTACCTATTAGGGTTCTTATAAGAACAGGAGACAAGATGTTGAAGGCCCTTGGGCCGAGAGGCTGTTGGAGCAAGTGTGAGTGGGCTGGGGGCCTTAAGGCTCCTGGCTCCAGAGAGATGGGGAAAGTGAGGACCAGGTAGGGAGGCACCTGCCCAAGGTCACCAAAGAAGTCACAAATTTTCCAGCACCTGGTGAGGCTGGCATTGTCAGAACCCTAGCCTCTGAAAGCCCCTGAGCAGCACTGAATGTATAGCCAGGGCCTGGCCAGGAGGCTGGGGTGTTGTCTAGGCAGCTGTTTGCAAGAAATAAAGAGCCTCTGCCAACACCCTTCCTTTCCCTGCCAGGGAAGGAAATGAGAGAACTGGGCTGCGTTTACCTATTTCAGGTTCCAAAACTTTCAACTGTTTTTAGACAGTAAAGGAGCAGCGAATTTTTTTTTAATTGAAGGAAAGACAAAAAGAAGTTCAAGACATGGCCAAGTACGTATCTTATTCCCTCCAGACACATAGCTTTGATTTTACATCCTTAAACGACGGGAGAAGATAACTCTATAATGACAGCATCCAGACGTGCCCAGCAGCAGACCACAGGCAAAGACAGCTCAACAGTAAAGCCCTTATTTCCTGTGTCTCTGCCCTAAGAGAGGATGTCACCATGTCATGCAGAGTCTCTCTCCGTGAGGCCCCTAATTCTATTTGTCCCCTGAATACTATTGGATTGTGGTCCCAATTACCATAAGTGCATATTTATTGAGTTCTTTTATTTAAGAAATAAAGGGACAAGCTAGCTATGGAGCAATTGAGATAATCAACTGCTTTTGACATTTCAATCTGTGCAACTTTCTCAATTTGTACTCTGACCTCAAAGCTTCCTGTGCCCCAGGGTCCTGCTCGCAGAAAGATTTCCATATCTCCTTCCAAGACCTGCACCACCTGCCCACACCTGCTCCTAGCCCTGCTACCCTTGTACTTGGGTTCTCTCGCTCCCTCAGGCAGCAGCAACAGCATCACCCCATGAGCACCACACTTTTGACTTTACAAGGTTCTTGCACGTGTTAGTTCCTGTGACCTCTCAACAGTCCTGGGTAGATGGCAGAGTGAGATTTATGAGTCCCTGTTCAGAGGAGGAAATTAAGACTTAGAAAGGGGCAATAGCACCAAAAGCACACATCTGGAGGTGCTACTAGTGGTGGAAGAGCTTAAAGTCATTGCCATGCCCTCTGCCTCCTAGCTGCAACTGCATCTTGCATCCTTTGGAATGCTGGGAACACCTGGAGATTCCAAAGGACTTCTTTTGTTGATGTCACTGCAATGAAGCCTTCCTTGGAATCACAGTGTGTAAGTGCCACATGAAAAACAAAACAAAACAAACCTGACATTTGTACACCCATGTTGAGAGCAGCATATTCACAACAACCAAAAAGTGGAAACCGCCCAAATGTCCACTCATGATGAATGGATAAACCAAACATGGTACACACATACTATGGAATATTGTCCAGCCTTAAAAAGGAAGGAAATTCTGACACGTGCTACAACATGGATGATCCTTGAGGACATTATGGTGAGTGAAACGAGTCAGTCACAAAAGGACAAATACTGTAGGATCCAAATTTGGAAGGGCCTTAGAATAGTCAAACTCATGGAGACAGACAGTAGAATGGTGGGTGTCAGGGGCTGGTGGAGGGGGAGTGGGGAGTTAGTCGTTGCTGGGTATAGAGTTTCAGTTTGGGAAGATGAACAAGTTCTGCAGAGGGATGGTGGTTAACACTTAAAGATGGTTAAGATAGCTATTTTATCTTATGTGTATTTTACCACAATTACAAATGTATTTAAATATAAAAATCTTGAGTGTCCACATCCCTTATCTCTTCCTCTCATTACATCACAGTCTGTTGAAAAAACCCTTTAGTGCCCACTGACTGCATGAACCATAAGGGCCACACTCCTGAGCTCAGTCTACAGATTTATCCACCTCTTTTCCCTTTTGTGCATGTGATGCTGCAACCAGTCTAATTTTTCCAGTCTCCTGCCTGGAGGGAAAATATTCAGGTGCCAGTGTTCTGGGAGCCAAGAGGGTCAAAGGTGACAGGGTTCTCTGCTTTCAACATTTGGGTTACATGCATTCACACAATCCCTTGTTTTGTGGAGAGGCTACTGTCCTCCACTTTTCCTGGTGTCCCCAGTCTGGAGACCCTCTGTTCAATCCTCTCCGAGAATAACTTCACCATGCCCCAGTCCTGAGGTAACTGGGGCTGCCTGTTCTTGAGCCAGTGGAAAACTCTGTGATGTAGATTACGTTGCTCCTCAGCCATCCCCACTGCCAACCTGGATTCAGCTTCCTTGGGTCAGCTAAGTCAGCTACTCCTGGTTCATCTCTCAGCTTCTGAAATGCTGTTATGCTTGTCTCCCTTTCCATTCTTTCTGTCACTGTGAGATTGTTTTAAAAAATACTGATTCTCCTCTACTCTACTTATGATGGGGTTGTGTTCTGATAAACCCATGGTAAATTGAAAATGCACATTTGATTTATAATATTTTCAGTTTACGAGTTTATCTGGATGTGACTCCATCTTCAGCTGAGGAGCATACTGAATACGTGTTGCTTTTGTACCATCCTAAAGTTGAAAAATTGTAAATTGAACCACTGTAAGTTAGGGATTGTAGGTAATCCTTTACTGTGCTTCTGGGAGGGAGTGAAACTTAGATGCACATGACCATTCTACCATGTTTACCTGAACTTTGCTCTGAATGTTAAATAACTAGCAGAAGTAAGCCAGGAGACACCAGGAAGACAGCATTTCAGACAGAAGGGGCAGCATCGAGGGGGAGGAGCCAAGATGGCCGAATAGGAACAGCTCCGGTCTACAGCTCCCAGCGTGAGCAACGCAGAAGACGGGTGATTTCTGCATTTCCATCTGAGGTACCGGGTTCATCTCACTAGGGAGTGCCAGACAGTGGGCGCAGGTCAGTGGGTGCGTGCACCGTGCGCGAGCGAAGCAGGGCGAGGCATTGCCTCACCTGGGAAGCGCAAGGGGTCAGGGAGTTCCCTTTCCGAGTCAAAGAAAGGGGTGACGGACGCACCTGGAAAATCGGGTCACTCCCACCCGAATATTGCGCTTTTCAGACCGGCTTAAAAAACGGCGCACCAGGAGACTATATCCCACACCTGGCTCAGAGGGTCCTACACCCACGGAATCTCGCTGATTGCTAGCACAGCAGTCTGAGATCAAACTGCAAGGCGGCAACGAGGCTGGGGGAGGGGCGCCCGCCATTGCCCAGGCTTGCTTAGGTAAACAAAGCAGCCGGGAAGCTCGAACTGGGTGGAGCCCACCACAGCTCAAGGAGGCCTGCCTGCCTCTGTAGGCTCCACCTCTGGGGGCAGGGCACAGACAAACAAAAAGACAGCAGTAACCTCTGCAGACTCAAGTGTCCCTGTCTGACAGCTTTGAAGAGAGCAGTGGTTCTCCCAGCACGCAGCTGGAGATCTGAGAACGGGCAGACTGCATCCTCAAGTGGGTCCCTGACCCCTGACCCCCGAGCAGCCTAACTGGGAGGCACCCCCCAGCAGGGGCACACTGACACCTCACACGGCAGGGTATTCCAACAGACCTGCAGCTGAGGGTCCTGTCTGTTAGAAGGAAAACTAACAACCAGAAAGGACATCCACACCAAAAACCCATCTATACATCACCATCATCAAAGACCAAAAGTAGATAAAACAACAAAGATGGGGAAAAAACAGAACAGAAAAACTGGAAACTCTAAAACGCAGAGCGCCTCTCCTCCTCCAAAGGAACGCAGTTCCTCACCAGCAACGGAACAAAGCTGGATGGAGAATGATTTTGACGAGCTGAGAGAAGAAGGCTTCAGACGATCAAATTACTCTGAGCTACGGGAGGACATTCAAACCAAAGGCAAAGAAGTTGAAAACTTTGAAAAAAATTTAGAAGAATGTATAACTAGAATAACCAATACAGAGAAGTGCTTAAAGGAGCTGATGGAGCTGAAAACCAAGGCTCGAGAACTATGTGAAGAATGCAGAAGCCTCAGGAGCCGATGCGATCAACTGGAAGAAAGGGTATCAGCAATGGAAGATGAAATGAATGAAATGAAGTGAGAAGGGAAGTTTAGAGAAAAAAGAATAAACAGAAATGAGCAAAGCCTCCAAGAAATATGGGACTATGTGAAAAGACCAAATCTACGTCTGATTGGTGTACCTGAAAGTGATATGGAGAATGGAACCAAGTTGGAAAACACTCTGCAGGATATTATCCAGGAGAACTTCCCCAATCTAGCAAGGCAGGCCAACGTTCAGATTCAGGAAATACAGAGAACGCCACAAAGATACTCCTCGAGAAGAGCAACTCCAAGACACATAATTGTCAGATTCACCAAAGTTGAAATGAAGGAAAAAATGTTAAGGGCAGCCAGAGAGAAAGGTCGGGTTACCCTCAAAGGAAAGCCCATCAGACTAACAGCGGATCTCTCGGCAGAAACCCTACAAGCCAGAAGAGAGTGGGGGCCAATATTCAACATTCTTAAAGAAAAGAATTTTCAACCCAGAATTTCATATCCAGCCAAACTAAGCTTCATAAGTGAAGGAGAAATAAAATACTTTATAGACAAGCAAATGCTGAGAGATTTTGTCACCACGAGGCCTGCCCTAAAAGAGCTCCTGAAGGAAGCGCTAAACATGGAAAGGAACAACCGGTACCAGCCGCTGCAAAATCATGCCAAAATGTAAAGACCATCGAGACTAGGAAGAAACTGCATCAACTAACGAGCAAAATCACCAGCTAACATCATAATGACAGGATCAAATTCACACATAACAATATTAACTTTAAATATAAATGGACTAAATTCTGCAATTAAAAGACACAGACGGGCAAGTTGGATAAAGAGTCAAGACCCATCAGTGTGCTGTATTCAGGAAACCCATCTCACGTGCAGAGACACACATAGGCTCAAAATAAAAGGATGGAGGAAGATCTACCAAGCAAATGGAAAACAAAAAAAGGCAGGGGTTGCAATCCTAGTCTCTGATAAAACAGACTTTAAACCAACAAAGATCAAAAGAGACAAAGAAGGCCATTACATAATGGTAAAGGGATCAATTCAACAAGAGGAGCTAACTATCCTAAATATTTATGCACCCAATACAGGAGCACCCAGATTCATAAAGCAAGTCCTGAGTGACCTACAAAGAGACTTAGACTCCCACACATTAATAATGGGAGACTTTAACACCCCACTGTCAACATTAGACAGATCAACGAGACAGAAAGTCAACAAGGATACCCAGGAATTGAACTCAGCTCTGCACCAAGCGGACCTAATAGACATCTACAGAACTCTCCACCCCAAATCAACAGAATATACATTTTTTTTAGCACCACACCACACCTATTCCAAAATTGACCACATAGTTGGAAGTAAAGCTCTCCTCAGCAAATGTAAAAGAACAGAAATTATAACAAACTATCTCTCAGACCACAGTGCAATCAAACTAGAACTCAGGATTAAGAATCTCACTCAAAGCCGCTCAACTACATGGAAACTGAACAACCTGCTCCTGAATGACTACTGGGTACATAATGAAATGAAGGCAGAAATAAAGATGTTCTTTGAAACCAACGAGAACAAAGACACCACATACCAGAATCTCTGGGACGCATTCAAAGCAGTGTGTAGAGGGAAATTTATAGCACTAAATGCCTACAAGAGAAAGCAGGAAAGATCCAAAATTGACACCCTAACATCACAATTAAAAGAACTAGAAAAGCAAGAGCAAACACATTCAAAAGCTAGCAGAAGGCAAGAAATAACTAAAATCAGAGCAGAACTGAAGGAAATAGAGACACAAAAAACCCTTCAAAAAATCAATGAATCCAGGAGCTGGTTTTTTGAAAGGATCAACAAAATTGATAGACCACTAGCAAGACTAATAAAGAAAAAAAGAGAGAAGAATCAAATAGACACAATAAAAAATGATAAAGGGGATATCACCACCGATCCCACAGAAATACAAACTACCATCAGAGAATACTACAAACACCTCTATGCAAATAAACTAGAAAATCTAGAAGAAATGGATACATTCCTTGACACATACACTCTCCCAAGACTAAACCAGGAAGAAGTTGAATCTCTGAATAGACCAATAACAGGCTCTGAAATTGTGGCAATAATCAATAGTTTACCAACCAAAAAGAGTCCAGGACCAGATGGATTCACAGCCGAATTCTACCAGAGGTACAAGGAGGAACTGGTACCATTCCTTCTGAAACTATTCCAATCAATAGAAAAAGAGGGAATCCTCCCTAACTCATTTTATGAGGCCAGCATCATTCTGATACCAAAGCCGGGCAGAGACACAACCAAAAAAGAGAATTTTAGACCAATATCCTTGATGAACATTGATGCAAAAATCCTCAATAAAATACTGGCAAACCGAATCCAGCAGCACATCAAAAAGCTTATCCACCATGATCAAGTGGGCTTCATCCCTGGGATGCAAGGCTGGTTCAATATACGCAAATCAATAAATGTAATCCAGCATATAAACAGAGCCAAAGACAAAAACCACATGATTATCTCAATAGATGCAGAAAAAGCCTTTGACAAAATTCAACAACCCTTCATGCTAAAAACTCTCAATAAATTAGGTATTGATGGGACGTATTTCAAAATAATAAGAGCTATCTATGACAAACCAACAGCCAATATCAGACTGAATGGGCAAAAACTGGAAGCATTCCCTTTGAAAACTGGCACAAGACAGGGATGCCCTCTCTCACCGCTCCTATTCAACATAGTGTTGGAAGTTCTGGCCAGGGCAATCAGGCAGGAGAAGGAAATAAAGGGTATTCAATTAGGAAAAGAGGAAGTCAAATTGTCCCTGTTTGCAGACGACATGATTGTTTATCTAGAAAACCCCATCGTCTCAGCCCAAAATCTCCTTAAGCTGATAAGCAACTTCAGCAAAGTCTCAGGATACAAAATCAATGTACAAAAATCACAAGCATTCTTATACACCAACAACAGACAAACAGAGAGCCAAATCATGAGTGAACTCCCATTCACAATTGCTTCAAAGAGAATAAAATACCTAGGAATCCAACTTACAAGGGATGTGAAGGACCTCTTCAAGGAGAACTACAAACCACTGCTCAAGGAAATAAAAGAGGACACAAACAAATGGAAGAACATTCCATGCTCATGGGTAGGAAGAATCAATATCGTGAAAATGGCCATACTGCCCAAGGTAATTTACAGATTCAATGCCATCCCCATCAAGCTACCAATGACTTTCTTCACAGAATTGGAAAAAACTACTTTAAAGTTCATATGGAACCAAAAAAGAGCCTGCATCGCCAAGTCAATCCTAAGCCAAAAGAACAAAGCTGGAGGCATCACACTACCTGACTTCAAACTATACTACAAGGCTACAGTAACCAAAACAGCATGGTACTGGTACCAAAACAGAGATATAGATCAATGGAACAGAACAGAGCCCTCAGAAATAACGCCGCATATCTACAACTATCTGATCTTTGACAAACCTGAGAAAAACAAGCAATGGGGAAAGGATTCCCTATTTAATAAATGGTGCTGGGAAAACTGGCTAGCCATATGTAGAAAGCTGAAACTGGATCCCTTCCTTACACCTTATACAAAAATCAATTCAAGATGGATTAAAGATTTAAACGTTAGACCTAAAACCATAAAAACCCTAGAAGAAAACCTAGGCATTACCATTCAGGACATAGGCACGGGCAAGGACTTCATGTCCAAAACACCAAAAGCAATGGCAACAAAAGCCAAAATTGACAAATGGGATCTAATTAAACTCAAGAGCTTCTGCACAGCAAAAGAAACTACCATCAGAGTGAACAGGCAACCTACAACATGGGAGAAAATTTTCGCAACCTACTCATCTGACAAAGGGCTAATATCCAGAATCTACAATGAACTCAAACAAATTTACAAGAAAAAAACAAACAACCCCATCAAAAACTGGGCAAAGGACATGAACAGACACTTCTCAAAAGAAGACATTTATGCAGCCAAAAAACACATGAAAAAATGCTCATCATCACTGGCCATCAGAGAAATGCAAATCAAAACCACTATGAGATATCATCTCACACCAGTTAGAATGGCAATCATTAAAAAGTCAGGAAACAACAGGTGCTGGAGAGGATGTGGAGAAATAGGAACACTTTTACACTGTTGGTGGGACTGTAAACTAGTTCAACCATTGTGGAAGTCAGTGTGGCGATTCCTCAGGGATCTAGAACTAGAAATACCATTTGACCCAGCCATCCCATTACTGGGTATATACCCAAATGACTATAAATCATGCTGCTATAAAGACACATGCACACGTATGTTTATTGCGGCATTATTCACAATAGCAAAGACTTGGAACCAACCCAAATGTCCAACAATGATAGACTGGATTAAGAAAATGTGGCACATATACACCATGGAATACTATGCAGCCATAAAAAATGATGAGTTCATGTCCTTTGTAGGGACATGGATGAAATTGGAAACCATCATTGTCAGTAAACTATCGCAAGAACAAAAAACCAAACACCGCATATTCTCACTCATAGGTGGGAATTGAACAATGAGATCACATGGACACAGGAAGGGGAATATCACACTCTGGGGCCTGTGGTGGGGTTGGGGGAGGGGGGAGGGATAGCATTGGGAGATATACCTAATGCTAGATGACACATTAGTGGGTGCAGCACACCAGCATGGCACATGTATACATATGTAACTAACCTGCACAATGTGCACATGTACCCTAAAACTTAAAGTATAATTAAAAAAAAAAAAAAAAAAAAAAAAAAGAAGGGGCAGCATCAGTGAGTTCTTGGAGCTGTAAAACAGTGTGGCCTGTGCAGGAAACCTAGGTGACGGAGGGCGCATGCTCTTTGTAGTGTGCTGTCATGGCCTTCCTTTGCCAAACTCAAAGTTGGACACAAGGGGCTTGGAAAGCTGTAGCGATGGCTGGTGAGGACCAGACCTGTACCAGGCTCCACAGCACATGCTTCCGCTGCTGTCTCCAGACTGTGGCTTGCACTTCATCCAGATCATTACTAGCCGGGCCATCAATTCTCAGAACATGGGTTTCTGCCTGCTTTGACTGGCCTGGTTGAATTGATGAAGCAATGAACTGGTTCCTTCACTTACTTGAAATTTGAGAATTTAAGTTTTTGGTTTGTTTGTTTGTTTTTTGTTTTTAATAATGCCTCAATTTAGGGTTGCTTTGATGAATACATAGCCACAAAATAGTATCAGTGGTTACACAGGCACCAAGAAAAATGCAAATGCTGTGCCTTGTTCCCATCATGCCTGCCACTCTTTGCAATGTAATATAAAATGCAACTGCTGGGTGCCAGCAGTGGTTATTTCAAAAGGCTCATTCAGTTGCTTTTTAACTCCTAAGTCTTGTGGCTTTCACTAGCATAACCTAACCTAACCTAACCTTACATAACATAACAGCACTTCAGATGTGACCCACACAAAGTTCAATCATCCAATGGCAGAAATCAATAGAAAAAAAAAATGTGCTTAGGAGGATTGGCTTGGTTGCAGGATTGGGACTAAGGTGAGGTGAGTAAGTCACTTGCCTTACACACAAGATTTAAGGGGATAGTCAAGATAAATAATATTTCAATGCAAAATTTTAAAAATTCAAATTGACAAACTATGCCCAAGAAATGGGCAGCTTGTTTTTGTAAATGAGGTTTTATCAGACATAGGGCCAGGATTAGAGTGAGACAAATGAGGCATGGTTGTGCAAGTGCAGGGTTGGATTCTGTCTTGATTTTAAATTTTCATATTTTGCTCATGGAATTTTAGCATTAATTTTGAGTTTTATAATATTGCATCAAAATAGAATTTATTTTAATTACTGAGGTTTTGGGTGTCCCTTTAAATTTTGCAGCCAAGGTGAGTGTCTCCCCTACCCTACCCTAGTCCTGGCCCCACTTGATGAAACCAAACTGGAAGCTGCTCTCCAAAGGCTTCCGTTCTTCAAACCTGGGGACCTCGTCAGTTAAAGTCAAAGGCACAAATGAATTCCTCCTCAGAAACAGCTAAGGGGAGCAGAGTATCAGATTATGAATCTTGCCTGCATATGGTACTTTAATATCCATAAATTTTTCCTTTTTCCTTTGTTACAGTCAAGTCCCAGAAGAAGTTAAAATGTGGACCTTCGAACCAATAAATACAAAGATCAAAGTCTAATTTAATTATGATCAAAGTCTAATTTAATTATGACATACACATTAAACCTAACTTGAGAGATGGACAAATGGGACAATTTGGGTGGAACATGTGTATATACAGATATGTCCCCACCTAAGCTTTTTGGCATAAACTAGCTTACACTCAGGTGAAATCCCATCTCTATGTAAAAAGTTTTGAATTTATGGTATTTGATTATTTTCTAAAGAGATAGAGCCTCTTGAAATTATGGTTCTTCTTTGAGCACATAGGCATAATTGAGATATCATAATTGAATATGCATTCGAGACATGCATTTCATACATGAAAGAGCTGAACTGGGTCACCTAAGACATCTGGAGATATCTTTAAAGTGTGAAGCTGCTAATATTTGCAATGATGGACATACATCCTTTGCAGCATGGGTGCAACTGCTTTCTGGGCTCCAGTGACTTCCCTAGTGCTACTGTAATCTACTAAGTAAATGAGCATTTTTTAATAAAGAGCAATTTGTCTAATGAGCAGGGTTGGTTACTCACTGTGGAAACACAGCATGTGATTAAAATTACACTAGCAGAATAAAGCAGAGCAATTGAGTCGTTGACAGCCCCTTCCCATAACCTCATTTAAGTCTTTCTCCTTCCTCAGAATAGAGCTCTAACTACAAACTGCATACAGAAGCATCAGGCATTGTCATGCCTTGTGATGGCTCCCATCCAGTGCCAGCAGGACTAACTGAAGCTTCAGGCCCCAGAGAATAGGGCCAGCCCCAGAAACAGTTAGGAAGGTGGAACGCGGTACCAGGAAAACAGCAAGCCATCAGTACTGGGGAGTCAGACCTCAAGTGGTAGCCATACTGCCAAGTAGCCATGGCCCAGCCACAAGAAATTGAGGAACCAGCAAGCCTCAGGACACATTGATCAGATTTTCTTTAATAGTCATGTTTGCAGCTAAGATCTGTAAAAAGAGTTGGTGGGGAGAGGAAAAAAATAGATTAGGATTTGATATTATTATCTGAAACATCTGCCTTGAGTTTTAGAGGATGTCAAAACCAAAACTAATTGCCAGGTAGATCTAGAGGGCTGTTTAATATTTTAGTTGGTAGATTTAATTAAAGAGGTTAGGAAAATCAAAGTATAATTCATTTTGGACTAGTCAAATGGAATGCATCTGATTAATTTCTCAGCAGGTAGACGGGCCTCAGCCATCATGTTAGCTTTGAAGGAAGGACTCAGGCCATGGGGGAAGGCCTGACAAGAGCAGGGCATGGCTTCTGTCTTAGGAACCGGGCTGCATTTCAAGACAAGCCCATGGCCCTGGACACGAGATTCAGTTGTAATGACTGGGACATGAAGGGAGTCTTGCTCTCCACTGGTAGCGGACCTGAGTCTTGGGTATAAGGTAGGAGGAAGCAAGGAGGACTTGGTGTCACAGTCTTGTTGCCGCTGGCTCCTGCCTCAGGACACAGGGGTTCTGTTGCCTGGTGTGTGCCCAGGTGGGCCCAGCTCTTGCTGAGGCTGCCAGTTAGGCACCTACCCCTGTTGTTAGTTTCCTAGGGCTGCTGTAACAAAATATCAGAAACTTTGTGGCTTAAAACAACAGAACTTTACTCCTTCACCATTCTAGAAGTTTGAAATCTGAAATCAAGATGTTGGCAGGGCCACATTCCCTCTGAAGGCTCTAGGGGATAATCCTTCCTCGCCTCTTCCAGCTTCTGGTGACTCCAAGCATTCTTTTCTTGTGGCCACGTCACTCCAATCTCTGCCTCCATCTTTACATGGCCTTTTCTCCACTGTCTGTGTCTTCTCCTCTTCCGTCTCTTATGAGGACACTCTAAATCCAGGATGATCTCCACATTTCAAGATCCTTTGTTTAATTATATCTGCAAAGACCGCTTTTCCGAATAAGATTGCAATCACAGGTTCCAGGTGAACATATCTTTTGGAGGGACACTACTTGAGCCACTTCACCCTGAATTTTGAGTTTCCTATTCGTTCCACATCGCTCTGTGTGGAGACTACTTGTATTGGCACTGTTGGTGTGGCTGCCCAGCTCCTTTCAGAGTGTTCAGAAGCCTGATGGATATCCAGTGCTACTGCTCAGTGGGCCAAAATGTGGACAGGTCAAGGCCCAGACATTGAAGGCATAGTTCTGACACTCTCATCATGCTACAGCTGGGGTGTTTGCCATAATTGCTACTAATCATAGTGAAAGCTTTTAAAAATGGTTTTACAATCTTCTTCTGGAAAATTTTTTTCTCCATTCATAATAAAATGAGTGTTTTAATGAACAAGAGGGCATTCAGCTCCACACCTCCATTTCTGTTAATTTTAATTTTTTTTTCTTTTTTTTGAGATGGAGTTTCGCTCTTGTCGCCCAGGCTGGAGTGCAATGGCGCGATCTCGGCTCACTGCAACCTCTGTCTCCCGGGTTCAAGTGATTCTCCTGCCTCAGCCTCCCAAGTAACTGGGATTACAGGTGCCTGCCACTATGCCCAGCTATTTTTTTTTTTGTATTTTTAGTAGAGATGGGGTGGCACTGTGCTGCCCAGGCTGGTCTTGAACTCCTAACCTCAGGTGATCTGCTCACCTCGGCCTCCCAAAGTGCTGTGATTAAGGCGTGAGCCACCATGCCTGGCTTTGTGTTCCTTCTAAATTAGCAGGTACATACAGGGAAAAGAGGTTTGGCTTGGACATCAACAGATATGGGTTCTCATCTCAGCTCAGGCACTACCAAGGTGTGTGACCAAAGCATATGTACTTTCCCTCTCCGGGCTCGATATTCTTCAATTGTGAAATAAAGGATTAGGAAATGTGTTCTCTGAGGACCCTTCCACAATTGAGCCTCTTTACTTTTCCGTTGGTGGTGCTTCTGGAGAAACTGCTTTGCGCCGGTCAAAGCCAAGTTGAATTAAGACAACGATGTGAATTTCCATGTCTCCTACACCAGGAATTGCTGACCTCACTCCACTTCCCTACTCTAGCCCCCAGATGTAGTAACATTCATTTGGGATAATTATTCTCTCCAGTAGGCCTGCCTTGACTCACGTCTCAGCCCCAGGACTCCAATGGCCTTGTTTCCTAAGAGACCTGAACCCAATGGCCAGACCTCTCTTCCAAGAGAGGAGGGGAGACTGAGGCCAGAAGAACCATGTGCATGACTGCAGTGGCTCTCCCCATACACCCAGACACACACAACATGGTTTCTCAGGTGCCAACACCTGGAGCTAGTTTATAATTATTTCTCAAGTTCTCTGAGTTTGACTCACCTCTTTTCAAATAAATGGATGTTTTCCTGTGGCTCAGTTATTATTCTTTCCATATTGAAGTTAGTAATATATGCTCACTGAAGAGGGAAACAAGATTTAGTTTTACAAATTCCTACAAATTACGTCGACTAACACAGATGAAACAAAATCACTAACACAGATGAAACTAACACAGATGAAACAAAATTCTGTCAATATTTTCGATATAAGAAAACCACAACACGTTTCTCTTCAAAGCTACTTCGACAACTCCCTTCCCACAGGCCTTGGCATGTGAAGGCTGCACTTACTCCCACAAATTCAGAGGGCTCTTGGATGAGTAAAAAGTGGTACCCAGGTTCTGCATCCATCCCAATCACTTACTGGCTTCATAACCTTGGACAAGTCATTTCCCATCTATGAGCTTCGCATCTCTTCTCTGAAGACAGGGTCATGGCGTGCCTGGCCTGGCTACCTGCTTAATCCACAGTGCCACCATTACCATCAGAGGTTAAGGCCACCACTAGGAAATCACAACCAACTATCCGTTGCTGTTCACTTTATCCACTAGACAGGGCCTCCGAAGTACATGACCCAGGGCTACCACTCACATGGAGTGCACTGTGAACAGAGCTCCCTGGAGTGTGGCACTGGGAAGAGGACTGGCCTATATCACAATCTGAGGCAGAAAGAACTGCTTCTAGGTCTCCTTGTTGTATGGAGGAAAAAAATATTTGATTGGCCTATGGGGTCTCTAACTGACCCTCATGCTTAGATAACATTTGGTGATCTATAAAATGGTTTCAAATCAATTATTTTATCCATCTAGCCATCCTGTGAGGCAGAGCTTATTATCTTCATTTTCTAGAAAAGAAAAGTAAAGATCAGAGAGGTTGGCTGACTTTCCAAAAGTCTACAGCTCATAAATGATGGACCTGGAGCTTACACCCAAGAGTTCAGGCTTCCAGATGTTCTTCCCACAATTTAAATAAGCTCTGAGTTTGAGGATGTGGACATAAGCTTAGAGGAAATTTTATCTATATATTTATTAATTTATTTATCCATCTAATATTTATTGAGCAAATACTAACTAGAGGTTTTTGCTGTCCCAGGTGGGGCATTGGGCTCTTCATTTAAACTGAGGGTCAATCAAGTCAGATGTCAGGTTTGCTTTTTTTTCTCTTTCAGTCATAGATATAAGCATGTAGTCAGAAGATCAGAATTTTGTTTTAGAATAATTTCAACATCTGTTTGCAAGGGAGGATTGTCTTCTAATTTTCCATCTATTTTTCTTTGCTATCTGAAGTGGCTCTGTGCATCGTGGTTAAGAGTATAGACCATAGATTATGGACCTAAATTGTCTGAGTTCAAATCTTACCTCCACTACTTGCTAGCTGTATGACCCTAGGCAGGTTACATACCGTCTCTGTTTTCTAATAAGTAAAATAGGGATAATATCAGTAAGCTACCTTATAGGGTTGATGGGAGAATTGAATGAATTCGTATTTTCCAAGTGCTTAAAACACTGCCTTGCCCATGGTAAGTGCTATATAACTATTTGTCATTATAACCATCATTGTCCTTATGATAAGAAGATGGAAAAGAAATGAGGAAAGACTCAGGAAAATCACAGGGAAAGTGGCAAGTAGAGCGGCATGATATAACTAAACATAATCAGACAGACCTTATTAAATTATCTGCAGTATCTCACCCTCCACCACAGGCAGCAACAAATCCAATAGAAAAAGATGCCTTATGTCTGCCCTGCTTTCTATTGTTTGGTCATTGAAGATAAAACCCATCTGTTAGAGAGAAACACTCAGAAAGGGCTGTTTTTGACAAATGCAGTGCAGAGGGGTATATAACTACTTGTATGGAGGATTACGCCTGTAGCCACCATACCCAGGGCAATCCCTTGTCCTCCCTACCCATCTGAGATGTGTTGGTTCATGAGAATTCCCTTGGTTAAGGACACAAATTAATTAATCTAGGAAAACAAAGCTCTTTTCTTTCATCCAGATTTTTAAGTCCCAACAAAGTTCTCAGTATGGTTTCTTCTTCTGTGAATTCATCACCACTGTGGAAACGAGGTAAGAGCGCTGGACCACCCAGGAGTGAGATAATCTGGGATGGAGCCCTGGCTCCACCACTTGCTGGCTGTGCGACCTCTGGCAATTTGCCTCTGCTCTCTGCACCTCTACACCCCACCTTTGGTAGACTTTAGGGCTAAGGCTTAGCTCTGAAGTTAGGGAGTTTGATGATGAGATTATTTAAGTTACCTCTGGGAGGAAGATGTCTCTCATCCCAACTTACTCCAGGGTTTCCTGCCAGGCCGAAGCACCTTTCTCCATCCCTGTGTCAATATCACTCCTCAGGCATTGTCTCACCCTTGTGTTACAGCCATTTCCTCTAATAGCCAGGAAGTACCTAGATGGTGGGGGCTGTGTCTAATTTTTCTGCCTTCACCTTCTGCTAGACTACTTGATTAATATTCGTGACATATGAACAAATGAGCAAAGTGGAGCGTATATTACACAAGCCTAAACTGTGGTGTGGTGCAGGGATCCCGAGTTAAGAAGCAAAAGTTTAGCTAACATTGGTGCTTGCTGCCCATGGGTCTCTGAGCTGAGCCTGTCTCACACTTTGGACCTCAGTTTCCCCATTTGTGGCATCCCATGTCTCTAAGGCCACTTTTGAGAGCTTTCTGCTTTTTCTACCAATGTGTACCCATGTCTCCTCTTTGTACACACGCTGAGTGTCATCTGGAGGAGACCCAGACTCTCTTCTGAGGTTGTCATGGTTTTACTCTTCCAAAGAGAGCAGCTCCTACTTTGGGGTCCTGCACCCAACAACAGTTCCCAAATCTTTGAATGCACCAGCCCTGTAGGCTCAGGATGTATCCCTCTCCAAATCCATTCTTTTGCCCTGAACTCCACCCCTGACTCAAGTGGCAGAGTTGGGCGAGTTTGATAGATCAGTCAGTGGTTCCCCAAATTGGCTGCCTGTCAGAATCACCAGGAACACACATATAAAAATACAGAGAACTGAGCAAACCCCAGCCTCTGCCAAATTTAACCTTCTGGCATGTGCCCAGAGATCTGTATTCTTAAGTCCTATCAGCTCGACACTGGATCACCATTCACCATTGGAGACTCATTGGACCATATTACTCCGAACATTTTAGCATCCATGGTGACAGCTTCTTCACTCCTGTTGTTCTAGAACAGGGCAAAATATATTCTCCATTCTCTCCCATGCCATCCCCTCAGAGTTTACTGTTGCCAATATATAGCAATGGTATCAGTTCATCAGGGGAACCAGGCGGAAAAACCTTGAGCTATTCACAAATGTCTTATTTTGTGTCACGTAACAGCTTTCATCTTTATGCTGGTAGGTCTCAGGTTTCAAAGGGCTGCATTTTCACTATGCCCTGTGAGAAGTTTAATTAAAGTTTCCCAACAAAGACATTGTCTCCTGCTATAGCCCATGGACATATCTGCACTGGAAATTAATGTAAGGTTTAGAAAAACAAAAAGTGTTTATGAGAAATGCACCACCCTCCTGCTGTCAGGTTTTACATAATGATAATGCTTTCAGGGTGTCTAAGATGGGTGGGTGTTTTTTTTTTTTTTTTTTTTTTTGGGAGAAGAGGATATCCATACTACTCAAAAAGAGGAAGTTTGAATCTGAACATCACTGACCCCTTGCTGGAAGATAAGCTTGGGAGAGCATGGGCTTGGGAGTCAGCAAAGCTGAGTCATAATTCTAGCTCTGCAGCCAGTTTGCTGGAAGGTCCAGCCTTTGATGGTCCCATCGGTAAGTATCTCTTGCATGAAATCTAAAGGCAGCATCAATATGGGCAGAATAGTCATGGTCTATCCTATGCCTTCATCTACTCTGCAGCTTCCATCCCAGGACCGTGACCCTGCATGTCACTTTCACAGGGACAGTGTACATCCTCGGTTCAAAATCAGCATCCAGTAGCCTCTCTTGGGTCCTCAACTGAAGGCTTCTTGAAAGCTTGTGAGATACTGCAGGCCAACAGCAAAATGTGAACTCAAGCTCCCTGTTGCCAGCATTCCACAGAAAGGATGTTTCCCATACACAGCAAAGCACAGACAGAGAGTATCTGGCTTCTGTTTCCCCTCCACCCTGCAAAAGAAAACAAAACAAAACAAACAAAAAAGCCATCCACATACAGCCCCTTAAACCAAAAGCTATCCTAGAAGTTACTTCACCCAGAGGGAATACTTTTCACATTTCTGTTTGTTTGGTGGTCGGGGCGAGGTGGGAGAATTAATGCTATTAGGAGGCGGGGGACATTCTCAGAACACTCTTCTGTGATGAGCAGTAACAGTTCAAAATGTGAGCCGCCTGAAGGGCCCAACGATGGGACACAAGAGCTGGGGCCAGCCATTCATTAAGGAGCACCTTGGCTTGAATCATGTGCAGGAATCGCCTCAAACTTCTTGGTTTCCACTGGTAACCTGGCACCCAGAACTGCTGTGCACGGGCTCTGCAGGGGCCCCCATAGTAAGCACAGTGAGGCTGCCTTCCAAAGTGCAGCCATCAGCCTCACAAGCAGTCCCGAAAATGCCCGAAAGATCGTTCCATTTAGAGGGGTCAGCATGCCTTGCAAAGGACGCATGCTGAGCCACACAGCTCCTGGCATCTCTGTCTCAGACGCTCTCTCTCTGCTCCCCGTTTTGCCGTCTCTGCTCCTGGGATTAGATGAGCAGGGAAGGCGGTAAGGACAAAGTCATTATTCACAAAGAATTTACCTTCATCTATTTTATTCCGAAATCAGTTGAGAAAATGATAGCTCAAGTGCTACCTTTCTAGTTAGCCATAAGCGGTTCTTCTAGAAGTGCCCATTTTATTATTGAATAAACATTTGGGCTGTGTTGAAGTTGGCACAAACTGCAAGAAGACTACTCAGCTTGGAGGAATCTGTTAGTTTTTTCTTTTTCGGTTTTTTCTAATTGATCTATGGGTGACACCAAACCCACATGTTTATATTCCCTTTTCTTCAGTGTGAAGAATAAATAATAGATTGTGATTCCCTGATTAAAGTTGAGACCTAAGCAGGAGGAGAACGTGCTCAGGTCACTACTGTCGAGACCTGTAAGGAGGGAAAGATTCCAGACACTGCTCATACCTCAAAGAAGTGACCTTTCGCTATGAATTAATCGTTTGGAGATCGTATTTCTCATGTGCTTTACTCACAGGAGGAATTGATTAGAGGCTGAAATTAATTGCAAACTGGGATTAACCATTTCCTTTTATACTGTGGTTAAAATTTATTTTTTAGCTGTAGTTGCCTTAATGCCTTTATGCCAAGGTTTTTCTTTACTGTACTGCTAATTCCAGGAAACTCCCCACAGTGAATGGACATGTCTGCCCACTCAGTCACTCAAAAAAACATGAAGCCTGAAAGGCAATAAACTAAACATTGCTCTGGATTAGCAGAGCCTGGGCAGGGCAGAAAATGTTTAATTCTTAATCAGAAATGGATTTGATTGCTTCAGAAGTTTGAGGGCAAAGGCTGGAGCAGCTACAGTGAAGGTTATTCACGTGACTGAAAGGGGGGAAAATACTGAGTGTCCCAGTTCATAGCCGGTTTAACCTGAAATAACAAGGCAAGATGGTTACCCCAAAGTGAATGCACTTTTTGGCTGCCTTTTTATTGATGACATGGAGTGTCCAGTTAAGCAGAAGGTGGAGAGTCTTATGCCCTCTGCTCCGGGCAAACACCATTTAGAATGCTGTGGGGTGTTCTATCGATCACCCTTCAAGGGTAGGGGGCAGCGAGACTATAGCACAGCCCAAGAAAGTGTTACAGAGCATATCAGAAAGAACGCATGTTTCTGTGGGAAACCTTGTTTGAATTTCTATCCTTAAGAAGCTCACAGTTTTTGTGTAAGTTACAGTAAGAAAATGTACTCAATGGGAAGCAGCATAAGGGAGGCCCAGAGAAATGCTAAGTACCATTCAGAGGAGGAGTGCTCACTTCCACCTGGAGTAGCAGGGCTGGGGGCCTCTCCAGCTTTGTAGGGAAGGGGGCTTTGGTAATTGCTCTCTCCTCTGACCTCCCACAGCACACTGTTTACTCCTCTGTTAGAGTGTTCAGTATGCCGGACTGCAATTGTCTGTTTATGTGTCTGTCTCTCCAATTAGCCCTCAAGCCCTCACAGGGCAAGGGGCATGCTTTGTTCATCTCCCTATTCCCAGGGCCAGACACAGTTTCTGCACAGTGAAGGGCCTCAGGGAAGCTTTGCTGAACCTAGCAGGGAAAGCAAAACTTCTTCTGAAAGCAGCGCTTTGGTTTTCTCTATAAGGAAGGAGGTGATTCATTCCACCCAGAGCAGTGGGGGTTGGAGATAGATATCTGTGTATGGGTTTGTGTTGTCTCCCCAACTGGGCTGTGAGCTCTTTTCAGGAGGACTGTGTCCCTCTTGTCTCACTATTCCCTGAGCACCCACCCATCCCAGTGTCTGCCCAGGGACAGGGAACTCACTGGCAGGGAGTTCCAAGGTGATGGGATCCCTTCTCTTCCGACAAATTCATAGAAACATGGATAAAACACAATTCCAAATTCCTTTTAATACTTGGTGCACACCTCAGAAATTACTTGCTTGTTAGTTACAAGGTGTGTGTGTGGGGGAAATGTAACTTTACAGTAGAGAGATTAGGCTGTCATCACCTTAACCCAGGCAGCAATCTTGGCACCCTTAATAATGGGACAACCAGATCTCCTAATGTGATGCAACAGGAGACACACAGCATCCCCTATGAAATATTCTTGCAAGAAGTCAAGCCATTAAACCTGATTTTCAATTTACAGAAAATATAGAGACAGAGGATCAAGTTAAACAATCACAAAGAAATAATCAGTCAAAGCTAGAACACTGGAGAACGTTCAACACGGCTGGTCTGGTTTCTACAAAAAGTCAGTGTCATAGGGATGGTTCTAGATTAAAATGGAATAAGAAGACATAACAAAAAGTGTCTTTCTTCATTGGTGTGTAATTCTTTGGATCCTGATTTTTTCAAAAGCAGCTATACAATGTAGTTTGGAAACAATTTATGAAATTTGAATACTACTTGATAATAGGTTGATTTTCTTAAGTATAATATTGGTATTATGGTTATATAGGAGAATGTCCTTATTTTTAGGAAATACAAATTAAACTAATTGGAGGCCACATGCCATGGTGGCTACAACTTATTTTGAAATGTTTCAGAAAACTAATAGATAAAGTAAATGTGGCAAGAAAAAAATACTTTTAAATATCGAATATGAGTGTTTGGGTATTTATTACACTATTCTTTCTGCCTTTCTAAAAAAGAATTCTTATAAAAAATAAAATATATTGCAAAATTTGAAGAAAAAAATGTAAAAATTTCTAATCACCTCAAATACAGAGAAACAATAAATGCAGAGCAATAAGTATAAGTAAATCTTGGAGTAGTACTTAGAAAATGTGAACCTGATATAAGTGCCAGGTGCTGGGCATTGGGTCCCAGGCATAGAGAGGACATATGTTTGGAAGACATGTCCATGTTACGTAGAGGAGTTAGAATCACTTCTTTGCATAAAGGCCAGAACCTTGAAGAGTCCTTCTTCTCATAGACTGGAAAAAAGTCAATCACCCAGAGAAGGAGTAAGGAAGCTTCATGCCCACCCAGGCTTTGGAGGGACCCCATGAGAAATGTCTCTTATGAGAAATCTCACACTTCCCATAGAAATGGGGTCAGAATTTATAAAACTTGCATGGGACAGGAATCACAAGTCAGGCCATCATTGTGAAAGCTGGTCTAAAACCAATGAAACTTCTGGGATTCTTGGCAAAAGGAAGCACCAAGACTGTAGAGACTCACAAACCAGGGCACACTGTCCTCTAACATAATAAGTAACCCTCACTAAATATGCCCTCACCCTAAAATAAAAATTGCAAACTACACAAGAAAATGAACCTTTATGAGAGAGACTCAGCAGACACAGCAGAAGAACTATCTAGCTAAAATCTTAGAATAATAGAACAATCTGAAAGAAACTGTAAAGCACATATATTTAAAATAATGACGGAGATAAAAATAAGCCACAATGAAAGAACAGGACAAGGTGATAAAATAAGAGTTGAAAAAGAATCCTGGTTCTTCTCAAAATGAAACATAGTTTTAAATTGAAAAACTCAGTGGATGAGATAGCAGATGGGACACTGCTAAAGAAAGAAACAGTGAACTGAAAGATAGAGCTAAGAAAATCACCTGGAATGCAAGAAAGAGATACAAAGAAATGGGGAATTTGAAAGTGTCATTAGGAAATTTAGAGAATAGAATAAGAAGAGCCAACATATCTAGTAGGTGATCCAGGAGGAGAAGATATGAACAGAGAGAGGGAGAGGGAGAGGGAGAGAGAGAGAGAGAGAGAGAGAGAGAGAGAGGATATATTTGAAGGAATAAAGACCAATTATTGAAAATATGATACAAGTGCTCAGATGAAATAATCATACTGAGTCTTAAGCAGAATAAGTAAAAACAAATCTATCCCCTAGACACATTATGATGAAACTTCAGGACATTGAAGAAAAAAATCTTAAAAGCCTCCAGGGAGAAAAAAATAAATATTACCCTTGAAGAAATGACAACTAGACTGAATATAGACTTTTCATCAAAAAACAGATGCTAAAAGACAGATGAATATCTTCAAAGTACTCAGGGAAAAAACCGTCAACCTTGAATTCTATGCTCAATTTAATTATCATTTAGAAGTAGAGCAAAATACATTGTCAAGTGAATAACATTTCAGTAAAATTAGCAAATCAAATCCAGCAATATATAAAAATGATAATACCTCATGACCAAAGGAGGGCTTATCCCAGGAATGGAAGGCTGGTTTAATACTCAAAAATCAATCTGTGTAATTTACCATATTAACTAAATAAAAAAGAAAAATAATATGATCATCTCAATAAGTTCAGAAAAAGCATCTGGAAAATTCAATGTCTATTTATTATTAACAAACAAGCCCCAAAGCCTCAGTGGATCATGAATAGAAAGAACTTCCCCAACCTGATAAAGGCTGAATATTCAGAACTGACAACAAATACCATACTTGATAGTAAAACCCTGGATGCTTTGCCCCTAAGATCAGGAGCAAGACAAAGATGTCCATTCTCACCATTTTATACAGTATTGCACTGGAGGTCCTAGACAGTGCAAAATGGCAAAAAAAGAAAAGCATACAAAATAAAAAAGTAAAACCGTTTTTATCTGCAAAGAGTATGACTGTATTCACAACATTTCTAAGACATCTAAAAACTTATTAGAAGTAATAAATGAATTTAGCAAAGTCACAAATATAAGATCAACATGCAAAATTTTAGCAACAGATAATACACATACATACTTGCAACAAACAATCGGAAATAAAACTTTTAAAAATACCATTTACAATAGCATCAAAAACCATAAAATACTTAGGAATGAATTTAACGAAGAAATATGCCATTCTTCCATGTTGAAGCTACAAAACATTGCAGAGAAAAATTAAAGAGAATCTAAATAAATGTAGAAATATGCCATGCTCAGGTATTGGAAGACTCAATATTAAGATATTGTTTCTCCTCAAATTGATCTATAGATTCAACACCAACCTAGTCAAAATCTAAGCAGACTTTTTTTTGATAGAATTAAACAAACATATTCTAAAACGTACATGGAAATACAAAGAACCTAGAACAGTCAGACAAAGACTGAGCTTACTCTTTATTCTTTCATTTAATGTTCATTTATTTATTGAGCACACACTATTGTCAGGCTGTTCCATACCTTGGGCATAAAACATTGAGACAAAGACATAGATATTTGCCTAAAGATCTACTAAAATATGAACTCAAGCACAGAAATTAAACTGAGAAATGAGTGGAATGCAAGAAGCAATGATGGACAAGAAGCTGGTAAACATATTGGTACAAGTACAGGCTACACAATGTAATATCAAATGAAAACTAATTGTGTTGCTTTGATATGTTGGATGCTACATTGGGCATGTTCAGAAATAGATTGGTTAGATTCAAGGATGGAAGCCCACAAAGGACTTCTGGTCTAGTAGGGGAGACGAAGTAAACAGAGAAGTCCGATGGAGGGGCAACATCTACATAGGGCACAGAGAATACATAAGAGGAGAATGTCTGTGCTATCTGGAAGCGTACATCCTGGAAGAACTTCATGGAGAAGATGATGGTTCAGTACACTTAGGGAACCGTCAGGTTTGACAGTGGTGGGGGCGGGACAAGAAATGAGTTTTCTGTACCAGGGCAAGGGGTTTGGACTTTAGCATTTATCCTAAAAAGGCTGCCTGCTGCCTGCTTTGTGAATTTCAGATAAGGGTTGTGATTATTATTTTAAACTCTAGAATTAAAAATAATAATTAAAAGCCACACGTGGCTTTGCAGATACAAAGCATTACGTATATAGTCTCTTACTTGGTCTTCACAGCAACCCTATGATGTATAGAGTCCTAAATAAACAGGGGTTCAACAAAGTTAGAGAATTTGATCAAGGACATGTCATTGGTAAGTAGATGATTTGGCTCTAGAATCTGGCATTTTGGACCTCCAGTGCAGTGCATTGTCCCTAAATTAGGCTGCCCCATCAAGCACTACACTTGCTCCAGGACAGTGACAGGCTGAACTAGCAAGAATGTGTGAAGGTCTGTTTCTGTTGTGAAGATATCCATGGCTGAATAATCCATAACTTATTTAGTGAAACTCTTTAGTGTTCCTGATGGTCAGAAAGTCCTCCCTTATGTCTTATCAAAACAAGAACTGTTTCAGTGAAAGCTTGTTTCCTCTTATTTGACTTTTCACTAACAAAAGGGACTACCTTCATCAGATTCCTTTTTCTAATGTCCCATTCCATCCATATGATTGCAAGAAAAATGGAATGTAGATGATTTCAAGGAGATAGTTTATCTTGCTATATCACTGTCCTTCTTCCTTTCTAACCTGTTCTTTTTTTACTGATCCAGGCATTCTTTCCTATTGTCATTTTTCTCTAAGTTTTGGATTTGACATGTTCTTTCTGGAGCAATTTCTGCCTATTAATCAATCATTAAATATTTCTGAAACACCTACACTGTGCTTAACACTTCACATACCTAAAAGCAGCAATTTTGACTTGATGTTAAGTAGCATTAAGTTTTAGAATAGTGATGGCTGACACCCCACCACACACTCTACATCAATTCCATGTAGACTGAGTGGGTGAAAACCTCTTGTCAAATTGGAGTTTTTAAACTGGACAAATTTGAATCCCATGTAAATGGACAGCAATCCATGCTGTATTATTTTCCTGTTGTATAATCAAGGGATCACAGTCATTTCTACTTGTAAACTGGCATTCTTTTAATTTCTTACAAAAGTCAGAAGTATTTCATCTTACAGAAAAAGTGACCACTTCCCCCTCTTCCCACCCACATTAGTTTTTTTTTTCTTAGCTTCCCTGTTTAGGGGGGAAGGATGGGTACTACTCTTCTGCCAATTCAAGAGATTTATAATTCTCAGGTCATCCTTTTTTCCTTCTTTTCATCTTTCTTTCCTTTCCTCACTCCCTGCTTCTGTTTTCTTCTTTGCTTCCATCCTTCCCTCCTTCCTTCCTTTGGTTCATTCATCCATTATACACTCATTAGGCACTATATTCCAGGTGCTAAGGGCACAGAGGTGAATCAGACAAGGCCCTTACCCTTAATTTGCTCTTAGCCCATAGGATAAGCAAACAAGTAAATAGACAATGATGATATGATACAGTAATGCTGTGAATGGGGAAAGCAGAAGGAGCTTGTGGAGAGCAGAGTAAGGGTAAGGAAGAGATGATGGCTTGGGTCCCCACAAATCAGGACAACCTTCCATAGACTCCTCTGAGGAACAGCAAGCACTATAGCCATCAACATTTTGCCTTACTTCAACATTCCTTAGTGCTTCTTTCACTCACCACACCATGTGAGGGGCACAGTGATAGCTTCTGTGGGAGCTACCAAGGTGAATAAGACAGAGTTCTGCCATCTTGGGGTTCATAATCTATTAAGGGAGACCACCAAGGACTCAAATAACTGGAATCCCTGGTAGACTGTGAGAAGAGCCATCAATGGAGATAAAAGCAGTGTGCCTTGGGAACCCAGGGAAAGCAGAAGTTCATTCCTACTGGAGGGATATGAGAAGTCCATAACCCAAAAAATATTTCAACTTTCCCTTTTTGATATTGAGTTGCATTTTCCATAATTCAGCAAAGATTTGAAGACATGGAAAATTGTACTCAATTTGAGAAAGTCTCTGTGGTTCACTTCAGTGCAACAATCTTCTTCGCTTTATCTCCTGTTGTCACCTACTCACTCTGGCCTGTACATAGAAGTCAGCTAAACTGTGGAAATCAAGAGAGACTGAGAGTCATCTTTCTATAGTGGTCCATGTGTGAGAGGGGGTTAGGGGAGCCTGGAAGTGACTCTCAGGGTAGTTGAAACTTAGTTACAGGGCTTAGAATGTATGGAACTTCTTGCTCTGTTACTCATCCATCAGGTAGCACCTATAGATTTCTTAGTTTATTGTCATTGTCTTACCCCTGAGGTGGACTCCAGTGACAGAGGCTTGCCCAGGTCAGATGCAATAATAATATATTTAACATGGCAATAGGCAACTGGCATGTATGTCACAGTTGTCAAGGGATGGACTTTGAAATTCCACAGAACTGGGTTCAAATTTTATCTCCATCCTTTGCTGGCCGTGTGACCTTGGGTAAGTTACTTGACCTCTTTGTGACTCAATTTCCTCATCCACCAAATGGGGATGTTAGTATCTGCCTTAGGCAGTAGGTGGAGAATTTTGCTGAGATATACATGAAACATTCTTAGCAGAGTGCCTAATACATAGTATACACAAGCTAGTGTTATCATTATTAGAATCATCCAAGATTTTAGGTGTAGCTGTCTGAGTTTTTACTTACTCAATTCTCACATTGTCCTGAGATAAGGAACAGACCTTTTCTGCACTATGAATTCAACTTTTACATGACACATAGTCCTCTTCTTGGTCTACATACTCTCCTTGGGCAACCTCTCTCATCTACTCTCATGGTTTCAATTGCCACCTATATGCTGGTGATTTTTAGATATTTGTTTTTAATCTAAACCTCTCTCCTGAGAACCCAGATCCACATACCCCGCTGTCTTTTGCTCATCTTAACTCATATGTTTCTTAAGCACCTCAACCCCATGTGTCCAAAACTGAACGCTCCTCCAGGAGTTGTCAGTCACTAGAGGAAATCTCACTGGAGGGAGCGACATATGAGTTGATCCTTCAAATAAGGGTGATTGATTTTAACTTAAACTTGGTAAAAGGAGAGGGAAATCATTCAAGTGAAGGACAAGTGCATGGAGGCAGGAAAGCTTCAGGGTATACAGTGGAGAGCCAGGTTTGATTATGTATCTTCAAATCTTCCTTCTTAATGTTCTATTTCACCCCTTAGCAAATACCTGGCTCCTGATGTGTTTTTCCATATCTGGATGTCTGAAAGCTGCAGAAAATCATACACTGCTGCTGGGATGTCTGGGGTCAGACTGAAATGAACTAGTTCCTCGCCACTAAGGTTCACAGTCTAAGGACCCCATGGGATGCTTCATGTTCAAACATGAGCCACACTGTCATCACCTCCTTCCCTGGTCTAATGGTATCAAAGTGAAAATAGAAAGATCTTGCCTCCGTTGAGAGTCTCTGAATGCCCTGGATTATCATCAGGGCCCATAAAATGATTGAATGACTGTGCAATACCATCCACTAACAGCATTCAATAATCCTTACTAATGTGAGGACCCCATTTTAGAAGAACTAAACATGGATACCAGGTTCTATTTCAATGGAACAACCTCATCTCTAAAGTGAAGAATGGACAATCTGAGTAGTAACCACAATTATGTACCACTTGCTAAATAAGTGCCAAAGCTGCATAATCTTTTATGGTGACAGTTATGGTTTCAGGCACAATAAATGGCAAGCCTTTGATCCTAAGAATACATGTATAAGCCAGTTGTAAGTATCTATCAACTGTTTGAATTCAATCATACCATCTATTATTTCACAAAGCACGACTTTTTGTTACCTAAGACTGCACAGTTATGTGAATGTATTAGTTTCTAACGAGCAATTATTCATTTGTGAAAATCTTTTAATTATTCTCCTAGGCAGCAAAGAAGACATGCCTCTTCTATGTGCCATAGAAAGAACTGACTTGAGACCAGCCTGGAACTGATTGCTGATCGGCTGGTTGGTGACACAGACTGGCAATGCTTTGGGGGTACATTGCTGTTACACATACAAATAAGATGCAGAGACCAAGAAAGTCCATGGCATTTCTCCCAAGAGAAAAAGAAAAAAGAGAAAAAACTGACCTTTCACTGTTGGATGAACACATGACTCCAATCCTCCCCCTGCACCTCTTCATACCAATAATCCCCAGAGGCTACAGTTACCTTGGTTAGCTACTCCAGGGGGTGGCAAGCTCCCTTGAAGAATTCAAGCCCAGGCTGGATAACCACATAAGATTTTTAGGAGAGGACTCAAGCAACTGAACATTCAAAAAGCATGACTTTTTGTTACCTAAGACTGCACAGTTGTGTGAATGCATTAGTTTCTAATGAGCAATTATTCATTTGTGAAAATCTTTAAACTATTCTCCTAGGCAGCAAAGAAGACATGCCTCTTCTAAACAGGGCCACCTGTACAGTGATTAATAGTTAGTTTTCTTCAGGTCCAGACACAAATTGAAACAGGGCTTCTGAGAGCAATTAGACAAATGGAGGTATTCTTGTGTGGCTTAGGCCTTAAATCCTTTGGGATCTCACTTCTCGGGTCTTTCCTTTTTAATGTTATGTGCTTGATTGTGTCCCTTTTATTTGGCTAAAGATGGAAGCAAGTGGGGGCCAGAAAGGCAGTTTATCCCTCAGGAGCAGGAAATTAGAAGATTGGGTACCGCCTTTAGGATTAACTGTTCCTTGAGGCCCAGGCTCCCCAACTACTCATCAATCCTCTGGACATGTTTCTGGCCTTCTGCCCAGGATGCTGTTCAGGGGAAAAATCTAACTATCTGATCAGAACAACTGGAGAGCTGTGCCACAAGTTTTCCATCTGTAAAGTGGGTATATCCCCTCTAGCTCTGTCATTCTGTGGTTCTATATTTAGAAATATTTTGCAGGGTTTCAAGTTCCCAGCAGCTGTATAGTTATGCCTGGTGACAGTACAAATCTTAAAATGTGCCTATGTTGGACCTAGAACCACAAATACCATTTGACCTGGCAATCCCATTACTGGGTATATACCCAAAGGAATATAAATCATTCTACTATAAAGACACATGCACACATATGTTTATTGCAGCACTATTTACAATAGCAAAGACACGGAACCGACCCAAATCCCCATCAATGATAGACTGGATAAAGAAAATGGGGTACATATACTCCATGGAATACTATGCAGTCATAAAAAAGAATGAGATCGTGTCCTTTGCAGGGACATGGATGAAGCTGGAAGCCATCATCCTCAGCAAACTAACACAGGAACAGAAAACCAAACACCACATGTTCTCACCCATAAGTGGGAGTTGAACAATGAAAACACTTGGACACAGGGAGGGGAACAACACACACTGGGGCCTGTCGGGGGATGGGAGGCAAGGGGAGGGAGAGCATTAGGACAAATACCTTATGTATGTGGGGCTTAAAACTTATATGACGGGTTGTCAGGTGCAGCAAACCACCATGGCACATGTATACCGATGTAACAAACCTGCACAGTCTGCACATGTATCCCAGAACTTATGAAAAAAAAAAAGTGCCTGTGTCTTGTGTTCCAGCTGGTAGATGCTGTACTGCAGCAGATGGGTTTGCTTATTTCCTCCCTTCCTCCCATTTTCTCCCACCCTCCCTTCCTCCCATTTTCTCCCACCCTCCCTTCCTCCCAGCTTCTCTTCCTTCTTTTCTCCCTTTCTCCTTTGTCCCTTCCTCTCTTTTTTCTTTTATTTCTCATTCCCTCTTCCCTCCGTCCCTTCCTTTCTTCCTTCCTTCCTTCTTTCTTCTTTTCTTTCAAGATTATTATTTCCACTTGATGTCAATACTTGCTTCCAATTTTAATTCCGTGCATGCAGACTGCAATCCTCTTACACCATGGAATGACGGAATTATCATAGGAGTTCATTGACGACAATTTCCCTTAAGACAGTACATAGGAAGGAGAGTCTTGAATTCTTCAAGGAATTTCCCACAATTAATTAAGAGGTGAGTGAATGCAGGCTATCCACCTGACATAAGCCAATATACATAACTTTTAACTGTCGCCCATGTGTCTTTTATACACCTCTCTGTACTTTTCAGCCTCTTCTTGCCCATGTTTCGGTATGATTTTTTTCTTTTAACTTATCTTCCAGCTTATTGACCTTCCTTCAGCTATGTCTAATCTGCTGCTAAACTCATATATCAAACAGTTTTTTCAGTTACTTTATCTTTCAGTACTGGAATTTCCATTTAATTTTTCTATATGACTCCTAGTTCTCTCCTGATAATCTTTAATTAGCCATGTGATTTCTGGAACCTACTAATCATAGTTATTTTAAAGCCCATGTCTGACAAGTCTAAAAGCTGTATCTTGTATGGATAAGATTTTATCATTTATTTTTTTCTCTTGGTTTTGGGACATGTGATTTTGTTTCCTGGTATGCTTGATAATTTTTAATTAAATACTAGACTTTGTTTATGCATATATCAAAAGATAATCTGAGGAGCCAGACGATGTCTTCTTGAAGAGAATTTACTCTGCCTTCTCACAGGTAATAAGGGTAGGAGCAGATCACCTAAATCTAAGGAAATCGTGAGCTTATTCAAGGCTGGGCTTCAATCTTTGCAAGAATTAGTAACTTTCTTCTTCACTCCTAATCCTAGTTGTAGCCCTTTAAGGGATCCCAACCTAAAACCTGTTTACAAGATCTGCTCCTTGGTGGGCCCTAATTGCCAATGTTCGTCCCTCCAACCTCAAAAGACTGTGGAAATCTACTCAGCCCCCTGGCCTCTTAGCCACTGCTTGGAATTGGCAAAAGCTTTTAGTAGAAAAGTTGTGTCAAATGTCAGGCTCACCTCTCTGTCTCCCTTCTTTTCTGGCATCTTGGTCTCTTTAGTCCTTGCTGCATTGGTAGCTCCCTACTGTCTTCAAATGTATTTTTTCCCCCCAAATCTTGTTTAGCTATTCTAGTTGTTCTCAGCAAAAAAGGTCTGTCTGCAAAAAGGAATTCTGGCTTTATCAGTAAATTTCCTCCTATGTCATTTAGCCTTGACTCTAGTAATATTTGGTAATTTTAGGCAGCACAATAGATCTTCAGCTCATCTTGCATATTTTCTTCCAGAGACCTGGAATAAACCATTTTCAAGGAGCTCTGGCGTGTTTCAATGAGAAATAGTATTTAAAGACCACTAGCTGGGCATTAGGAATGTTCTTTATTACTGGCTTGCATTATATCTTTGTCTTTTCAGTGGACAGAGCTAGAAAAATTACACCTTTTGGAGAGCAAAAACTAAGGAGTTCATACTGAAAATTTCAATTAATGAAAAAGACTATAGTGCATTTTACTTAATATCTTTTATCTGTAATGGATATCATTTTTCTCTTATGCTGAAAATCATTTTTCCTAATGGCATTAACATATATATCATTTGTTTTATTCTAATATTATGTGTGCTGAAATAACAATACCATCATAACTACTAACAAAAAACTAAATGTAATTTAACATTTCTTTCTGTTTGTCTTCAATATATATTCCACCAGGGATATACAGTCAAAACACTATGTTTCAAAAGTCTTCAAATTATTCTGTTTTGTATGATTATGCCATCAACTTGATATACAGAAAGATTCATTTATTTGAATTTGTTTTCAGCTTTATGGGATTGTTTTTTTCTCTTTGATTTGATTTTGTTTTTAAATTGTATGAAATATTAAATGGCTGTAAGTTCCAAAGTATAAAACAAAAGAAATTTAGCTTCCATCTCTGTTTCCTCTCCCCATTCTCTATTCTCTCTTTCTCTTCACCTACAGGCAGCACATTTTTGTTACTTTTTGATTTATTCTTTCACATTAAAATATACGTATTTTACTATTTTACACATATACTTATATGGAGACAGAGAGAGAGAGAGAGAGAGAGAGAGAGAGAGAGAGAGATTGCCACATTTGGGACAAAATCTAGATTCCATCCTTAATGCTTCTCTTTTCCTTACCCTACAAATTCTATCAATCAATAAATCCTAGGGCTACCTCCAAAGTATATCTCAAGTCCAAGGAGAGCTACCTTCATCTCCTGCCTGGAGGGCAGCAACAGCCTCCAGCTGCTCTTACCCCTGCACCTCCCGCCTCCCAACACACTTTCCCTGCTGCAGCCAGAGGCAACCTTTCAAAGCATTTTGCAAAGAGAGGACTAATCTGCTCTTTCCTGCTGTCAGCCCTTACTGGGACCTGAAGGCGGAGCAAGCCCCTGAACCCTGCATCCAGCATGGATCAGACTCCCGCCTTCTTCTCCTAGCCTGCTTCCCACCCCTTGCTAACATGCACCCTAGACTGCCAGCCACACTGAAACCTGTGCCTGGATACACTCCTGAGAACATGCTAGATCTTCCCAACTGGAATGCTTTTCCCTGAGCCTCAGTTGGATGCACTCACAGCACAATCCTGTTTTTAAATCCTCATATTTGGCATGACTTTATAGTTGTCCGGTAAGAAAAGACAGTATCAGAGAGGGACAGAAACTTGCTTAAGTTCCTACAAGAGTTTTTCCCACTTGTTCGTTGAACAAACTGTTCTTGAGCTGTGTACCAAGGTCTCTCCTTAGACATGTAGAAAATGGAGATGATTTTGCTTGGAGCTGCCTTACCCCCAGGCGGTCCTGGCTGTGAAAGACCTTATCTAACACAAATTGTGAAGACAGAGGCACTGCCTTGAGCACCTGAAAGAGCATCTGCTGAGTGTCCTTACCAATCCCAGCCCTTTCCGGCGCCCCGCCCTTCGCCTGTCTGGCCTAGTTCTCAAGGTCAGCTGGCAGGCGAACTAGCCAGCGAACTGTCCTTCCTGCTGCTGTTGGGGTGATTTATAAAGAGCCTCGGCTGTGACTCCTTCATGATGGCCTTGTCCGTGGAGCCTCAGCCACACCTGCCCTTTTAAAGAAGGCGGCGTGTAGTTCCGTGCCAAGGACTGCGGCGAAACCAAGCTGGTGTCCTCACCACCAGCAACCTCTCCCTGCATCCCATTGCCCAGGTTCCTGGAGCCCCACGACGACCAGGGTGCCCAAAGAGCCCCGGAGCGTATCCCAGCCTGTGCCCTCCAGGCGGCACAGAACGGCTCCGCAGTGCCACCTAGAGGCTTCCAGCGCCAGCCAGAGGAGAGAGTTTTTGTCTCTGCGGGCTTTGGGGGCTAGCTGGGCAATGGCTAGCACTTTGGAGGTTTGGTACCAGGGTGAGCTACATTTGGAGAAGTTCATTTCTGGATGTATGGCTGTACATTCAACCCCCTCGGAGCCTGTCTCCTGTAGCTACCTCTCCACCCCTAGTGCACACACTTAGGGCCAGTGTGACTCACAGCTCTGGAGAAACCCAAGAGCTGCCTCCAAACCTCTAGTCTTAACCAAATGGCAGAAACAGGAGAGCAAGTCCTGCAACATACCCCAGTGCAAGAGTTGTTCAGTAGATGAGATAAAGATAGCATTCCCAACAGAACCGAAGTGAAGGGACCATCAGTGAGATTGTTGGGACAGCTAGCTAGCCATTTCTAAAAAGGACATTGAAACTTCCACCTTGCACCATGCCCTCAAATTACATCCTGGTGGATTGAAGAGTGCAATGTCATACTAGAAGAAAATATTGGTACCTATTTGTATAGGCTTGGAGTGGGGAGGATATTCCAAATATAATACCAAGCACAGAAACTATAAAGGAAAAAGACTGATAAATTTGACTCAAAATTTAAAATCTTTTGTGCATTAAAAAAAAAAACTATTGATAAACTTAAAAGCCAAAATAATGTACTTGGAAAATGACCACACATCTGAAAGACAGTGACTAATATCCTTAATATATAGGGAGCTTTTACAAATCAATAGGAAAAAGACAAACGCTCCAGTGGGAAGATAGGAAAAATGCATGAACAAGCAATTCATGAAAAGACAAACAGATTACTAGGAACATTAAGAAATGTTCGGCCTTAGTAGTAATCAAGGGAATGCTAATTAAAACCACACAGAGATTATATTGTTTTCAACTACCAAATGAACAAAAATTTCAACGAGAACTAACTCATGGAGGGGACAGATAAAGCAGAGATCAGGCCTGCCGACACACGGCTATGGGAGGGAGCGGTGGCAAGGCTTTTCTGGAAGGCAACTTGGTGTCATGGAGTAAAAGCCTTAACAAATATTGCACATCTCTGTGCTCAGCAGTGTCACTTTAAAAAACTTATCCTAAAGACACAATGTGTGGAAAGATATAACTGGTCAGGGATGTTTGCAGTAGTCTTGTTTTTAATAAGGGTATAAAAAGGAAACAACCTAAGTAAATATACATTTATTTAAAATAATAAGATAGGTGTCTTCTCATCAACTTGGAAAGGTGTTCATGAGATATCACTAGGTGAGAAACACAAGTTACAAGAAAATTGTATGTATAATATAATTTATTTTATGTAAATAAAAATGATGTATATATTACATGGATAAAAACAGATTGAGTCATGCAGCACAATATTAACAATGATTGCCTTGAGAGGGAATAGAGATTATGCATTGCCTTTTTTACTTTTTTTGGCTTATTGATATTTTTATTTCAACATAGAAATATCCATACTGGCTCTTTTCTTGCCTTTACTTTTTCTTTTACTTTCTTAGAATTTTTTTTTAATTATAAGAATAATACAGGCTTGTCGTAAAAATTCAAACCCAACAAAAGTATATAGAGGCTTTCCCTCTGACCACCCCATTCCCCAGAGAGGACCATTGTGAACAGGTTGGTATATATATTTTCCAGACATTTGTATGCACATATAAACATATATGCATGTGTATATTTTAATATAAATAGGATCACACTGTATACACTGTGCTGTAACCTGCTTTTTTCACTAAATAGTATGTCATGAACATCTTTCTATGTCAATACACATAGATCTGCCTTATGTTTTTTAAAAAAATATGCTTTTCAACAGCTGCATATTATTACCTTGTACAGATATATTCAAATCTTTACTTTCTGATTTATCTACATTGATACGTACCATTTGTGTAATGAAAATATAAAAAAATGTTTTGTTGGAAAAAACAAAAAAAGAAAGAGGGAGAAAAGAAGGAAGAGAGTGAAATGATATTGTTTGTTCACCTTCACTTTCATGTGGATTTGGGGCTTTTTCTACTTGGGAGATAGATTTGATTCTAGAAAGCTGTCAGGGTTTGATGAGATGCAGAAAAAGTCTCACTTGCTCCATGATTAAACAAAAAAATCCCGGGGATCTTGGGACTTCTGACGGGCTTTTCCAGTCCAGGTCACCAGGCTTGGAGAGGAGGCCATGTCAGAGCAGAAGTTCTATCTGGGACTCTAATGACATTTACACAAGAAAACAGTAAAACTTAGAAGCAAAATCAATCATAACAACAATTATGGAAGTGAAACAAACCACTTCTTTCTTTTGCTTTTCACCTATATTTATTAACCATTTGTATTTATTCTTTGTTTTTTCCATTTTTCCAGCTTTATTGAGTGTAATCGCCAACTAAAATTGTATAAATTTAAGATGTACAACATGATGATTTGATATACATATATATTGTAAAATGATTACTACAATAAAAGTGGTTAACGCACCCATTACCTCACATTTTGTGTGTGTGTGTGTGTGTGTGTGTGTGTGTGTGTGTGTGTGTGTGTGTGGTGAGAACTTTTAAGATCCATTCTCTGGCCAGGCATGGTGGCTCGCGCCTGTAATCCCAGCACTTTGGGAGGCTGAGGCGAGTGGATCACGAGGTCAGAGTTCGAGACCAGCCTGACCAACATGGTGAAACCCCGTCTCTACTAAAATTACAAAAATTAGCCAGGCGTAGTGGTGCGTGCCTGTAATCTCAGCTACTCAGGAGGCTGAGGCAGGAGAATCACTTGAATCCGGGAGGCAGAGGTTGCAGTGAGCCGAGATTGCGCCACTGCACTTCAGCCCGGGCGACAGAGCAAGACTCCATTTCAAAAAAAAAAAAAAAAAAAAAAGATCTATTCTCTAATCAAATTTCAAGTATATAATATAATATTAGTAACTATAGTCACCAAGATGTACATTAGATCCCCAGAAGTTAATCCACCTTCAAACTGAAAGTTTGTACCCTTTGACCAACATCTGTTCAATTCCCCCACCAGCCAGCCCCCATCACCACCATTCTACTCTCAGTTTCTATGAATCTGGCTTTTTTAGATTCCACATATGAGTGAGATTACACAATAGTTATATTTCTCTGTCTGACTTATTGCACTTAGCATAACGCGGTCAAGTTTCATCCATATTGTTCCAAATAACAGGATTTCCTTTTTTAATGTCTGAACAATATTCTCTCTGTGTGTGTGTATGGTGTGTGTATGTGTGTGTTTCACATTTTTTTAAATCCATTCTTCTGTCGACAGAAATTTTGTTTTTTCCCTCCTTGGCTACTGTGAATAATGCTGAAACAAACATGGGAGTGCAGATATCTCTTTGAGGTACTGAATTCATTCCTTTGGATCTATACCCAGAAGTAGAAGTGTTCGATCATATGATTCTATTTTTAATTTAAGAAACTTCGATACTATTTTCCATAGTGGCTGTACCAATTTACATTCCGACCAACAGTGCAGAAGGGTTCCCTTTTCTCCACATCCTTGACAACACTTATTATCTCTTGTCTTTTTGAGAATATCATCGTAACACGTATGAGGTGATATTTCATTTTAGCTTTGATTTGCATTTTCCTTATGATTACTGATGTTGAGCACCTTTTCATGCACCTATGGGGCATGTGTAAGTCTTCTTTGGAAAAATATCTATTCAAGTTTTTTTTAACTCATTTTAAAATCAGATTATTTATGAGAGTATTTATTTTTGCTATTGAGTTGTATGTGTTCCATATATATTTTGGATATTAATCCATTATCAGATATATGGTTTGCAAATATTTTCTCCCATTCCATAGGTTGCCTGTACATTTTGTTGTTCCCTTTGCTGTGCAGAAGCTTTTCAGCTTAATGTACTCCCACTTGTCTATTTTTGCTTTTGTTGTTTGTGCTTTTGATGTCATATCCAAAAAAAAAAAAAAATCACTGGCAAGACCAGTGTGAAAGAGCTTTTCTCTTATGTTTTATTCTGGGAATTTTATAGTGTCAGGTCTTACATTGAGGTCTTTAATCCATTTTGAATTCAGTTTTGTGAGTGATGTAAATCGTGGTCCAGTTTTTTTCTCTGCATGTGGACATTCAGTTTTTTCAACACCATTTATTGACGAGACTATCCTTTCCTCATTGTGTATTCTTGGCACTCTTGTCAAATACTAGTTGACTGTCTATGGGTGGATTTATTTCTGGGCTCTCAATTCATGAATAGTCTATGTCTGTTTTTGTGCCAGGACCATGCTGTTTTGATTTCTATAGCTTTTAGTATACTTTGAAATTAGGGAGTGTGGTGCCTCCAGCTTTGTTCATCTTTCCCAGGATTGCTTTGCCTATTCAGGTTTTTTTTGTGGTTCCATAGGGATTTTAGAATTGCTTTTTCTAGTCTGTGAAAAATGCTGTTAGGATTTTGATAGAGATTGCATTGAATCTGTGGATCACTTTGGGTAGTATGGACAGTCTAACAATATTAATTCTTTCAACTCATGAACATGGGCTATCTTTCCACTTATTTGTGTTTTCCTCAATTTCTTTCATCAATGTCTTATAGTTTTCAGTATAAAAAACTTTTCACCCCCTTGGTTAAATTTACTCTTAAGTATTTTCAAACCACCTTCTAATCTCTTGCTCAGACACAGGACAAAACCTCCCCATAACTCCCTCCTCCCACACCCAGGTGATCTGAACTCTGAGTAAGACCTTACTCTAAAGATGGTCCAGTTTGCCTGCCTTCTTTTACAGATGAGAAAATGGAGGCCCCAAGACAGGCAGGGCTAAGGTCAAGCCTAGCAGGGAGTCTGGGGCAATCTGGCCTAGTACCCAGCAAGTCTGACTTCTGATTTGCTCTTTTCCTTTCCTTCCCCTTCTCCTTCCCCTTCCCCTTTCCCTTCCCTTCCTTCCCTTCCCTTTCCTTTCCCGAAGCCTATTTCAGGAATAAAACTTATTTTTTCATCATAAAACATACACATACTAATTATGCAAAACTTGGACAGTAAACATAAAAGCTAGAGGAAGAAAAGTACTCAATCCACCACTTTTCTTGGCAGAATTTCCCCACATCTCTCTTGCTCCTGTCTGTTTTCTATATTTTTGTATTTCAGTTATTTTTCACAGTTTCAGGTCCACTGAGAGTTTCTCTTCTTACTTCCAGCATACCTTTGTGTGTATATATGTACTTTTCTTTTTGTTCTCTCACATTTGTGGATTTAGAGCAAGGTGTGCAGCTATCATCTTTATGCCAGAAGTTTGTCTTGCATCCTTTCCACTGCAGCCTCCAGGGCCAGGTTTCATCTTGGTTACCACATACTTTGTCATAAAGAGATTTGTGGTTTAACTTTGGCACCAAGTGTAACATTGAAGCCTTGAGCACTTTATCTTTATCACTCAGGTCCTACTTAATTCTCGGAGTTAATTCTGTGGATATGAGCTGAAGAAGAGGAAAGCTCCCCGCAAAGGAGTTACAAGTGCATCTTCAATGAAGGGAGAGCTCCCCACCATTGTGGGTGTCCGGGGTTCTCCTGCAATTACATGGAGTCTTTTTGCCCAGTGGGCAGGGTAGGCACTCCAATTTCAGCAATTAGGAAAACTCAGATTAAATGGGTGGGTCATGTCTGTAAGGCACCCAGAAGAGTCTGCTGATAGTAAATTGCTACATCAAATAGGTGTTACCATCCAATGTGCCCAAGGTTTGAGACACCAAGTTCCAAAACAAACAAGCAGTATCCTATTATTTTGCTTTCTGCCAAGTCAGACTCCCATGCAATCATTTATCTTGTTGAAATAGTTGTAGATAACTCTTAGCAGCCAAAAGTGGAGGCTTGGGGACTGCCTGTCTTCCTGTGATGGCTCCACCCAGAAAATAAATAGCCAGACTCAGTTCATTTCCCCCCATTTGCAATTGCCTCTCTTGTGGAGAGGTCCTCACGTAGCCCGGGCTGTGCATCTGCTATAGGAAGTGCAGATTGTTGGAAAAGTGACACCCTACGATTCTGTGCCCTGTTATACATCACTCAGGTGGTCTCTGCGAGTGGGATACCTTCCTATTTTATAATAGCAAAGCCACTTTATTTACATGGGAAATATGCCAGACATAAATCCCAGATAAAAGAAGAGGCCCCTTTGGAAAAAGAAAGAGGCCGAGAAAGAAAGCTTGAACTGTTGGCCCCAAGATTTCACTAAAGAAAAATGCCTTCAAAGGAAGCTGTCCATAGTGAATTTCTTTTTAAGGAGATGGCAGTTAAACTATAGAACATAAAGGACAATAGGAGTGGTGAGAGAGAGCATCCCTGTCTTGTGCCAGTTTTCAAAGGGAATGCTTCCAGTTTTTGCCCATTCAGTATGATATTGGCTGTGGGTTTGTCATAAATAGCTCTTATTATTTTGAGATACATCTCATCAATACCTAGTTTATTGAGAGTTTTTAGCATGAAATGCTGTTGAATTTTGTCGAAGGCCTTTTCTGCATCTATTGAGATAATCACGTGGTTTTTGTTTTGGTTCTGTTTATATGACGGTTTACATTTTTTGATTTGCGTATGTTGAACCAGCCTTACATCCCAGGGATGAAGCCAACTTGATCATGGTGGATAAGCTTTTTGATGTGCTGCTGGATTCAGTTTGCCAGTATTTTATTGAGGATTTTTGCATCAATGTTCATCAGGGATATTGGTCTAAAATTCTCTTTTTTTGTTGTGTCTCTGCCAGGCTTTGGTATCAGGATGATGCTGGCCTCTTAAAATGAGTTAGGGAGGATTCCCTCTTTTTCTATCGATTGGAATAGTTTCAGAAGGAATGGTACCAGCTCCTCCTTGTACCTCTGGTAGAATTCGGCTGTGAATCCATCTTGTCCTCGACTTTTTTTGGTTGGTAGGCTATTAATTATTGCCTCAATTTCAGCTCCTGTTATTGGTCTATTCAGGGATTCAACTTCTTCCTGGTTTAGTCTTGGGAGGGTGTATGTGTCAAGGAATGTATCCATTTCTTCTAGATTTTCTAGTTTATTTGCATAGAGGTGTTTATAGTATTCTCTGATGGTAGTTTGTATTTCCGTGGGATCAGTGGTGATATCCCCTTTATCATTTTTTAATGCGTCTATTTGATTCTTCTCTCTTTTCTTCCTTATTAGTCTTGCTAGCGGTCTATCAATTTTGTTGATCCTTTCAAAAAACCAGCTCCTGGATTCATTGATTTTTTGAAGGGTTTTTTGTTTCTCTATCTCCTTCAGTTCAGCTCTGATCTTAGTTATTTCTTGCCTTCTGCTAGCTTTTGAATGTGTTTGCTCTTACTTCTCTAGTTCTTTTAATTGTGATGTTAGGGTGTCAATTTTAGATCTTTCCTGCTTTCTCTTGTGGGCATTTAGTGCTATAAATTTCCGTCTACACACTGCTTTAAATATGTCCCAGAGATTCTGGTATGTTGTGTCTTTGCTCTCATTGGTTTCAAAGAACATCTTTATTTCTGCCTTCATTTCGTTATTTAACCTGTAGTCATTCAGGAGCAGGTTGTTCAGTTTCCATGTAGTTGTGCAGTTTTGAGTGAGTTTCTTAATCCTGAGTTCTGGTTTGATTGCACTGTGGTCTGAGAGACCGTTTGTTATAATTTCTGTTCTTTTACATTTGCTGAGGAGTGCTTTACTTCCAACTATGTGGTCGATTTTGGAATAAGTGCGACGTGGTGCTGAGAAGAAATGTATCTTCTGTTGATCTGGGGTGGAGAGTTCTGTAGATGTCTATTAGGTCTGCTTGGTGCAGAGCTGAGTTCAATTCCTGGATATGCTTGTTAATTTTCTGTCTGTTGATCTCTCTAATGTTGACAGTGGGGTGTTAAAGTCTCCCATTATTATTGTGTGGCAGTCTAAGTCTCTTTGTAGGTCTCTAATGACTTGCTTTATGAATCTGGGTGCTCCTGTATTGGGTGCATATATACTTAGGATAGTTAGCTCTTCTTGTTGAATTGATCCCTTTGCCATTATGTAATGGCCTTCTTTGTCTCTTTTGATCTTTATTGGTTTAAAGTCTGTTTTATCAGAGACTAGGGTTGCAACCCCTGCTTTTTTTTGTTTGTTTGTTTTCCATGTGCTTGTTAGATCTTCCTCCATTCCTTTATTTTGAGCCTATATGTGTCTCTGCACGTGAGATGGGTCTCCTGAATACAGCACACTGATGGGTCTTGAGTCTTTATCCAATTTGCCAGTCTGTGTCTTTTAACTGGAGCATTTAGCCCACTTACATTTAAGGTTAATATTGTTATGTGTGAATTTGATCCTGTCATTATGATGTTAGCTGGTTATTTTGCTCATTAGTTGATGCAATTTCTTCCTAGCATCGATGGTCTTTACAATTTGGCATGTTTTTGCAGTGGCTGGTACCGCTTGTTCCTTTCCATATTTGGTGTTGGAAGTTCTGGCCAGGGCAATCAGGCAGGAGAAAGAAATAAAACGTATTCACTTAGGAAAAGAGGAAGTCAAATTGTCCCTGTTTGCAGATGACATGATTGCATATTTAGAAAACCCCATCGTCTCAGCCCAAAATCTCCTTAAGCTGATAGGCAACTTCAGCAAAGTCTCAGGATACAAAATCAATGTGCAAAACTCACAAGCATTCCTCTACACCAATAACAGAAAAACAGAGAGCTAAATCATGAGTGAACTCCCATTCACAATTGCTTCAAAGAGAATAAAATACTTAGGTATCCAACTTATAAGGGATATGAAGGGCCTCTTCAAGGAGAACTACAAATCACTGCTCAACAAAATAAAAGAGGACACAAATAAATGGAAGAACATTCTATGCTCATAGATAGGAAGAATCAAAATCGTGAAAATGTCCATACTGCCCAAGGTAATTTATAGATTCAATGCCATCCCCATCAAGCTACCAATGACTTTCTTCACAGAATTGGAAAAAAATACTTTAAAGTTCATATGGAACCAAAAAAGAGCCCACATTGCCAAGACAATCCTAAGCCAAAAGAACAAAGCTGGAGGCATCATGTTACCTGACTTCAAACTATACTACAAGGCTACAGTAACCAAAACAGCATGGTACTGATACCAAAACAGAGATATAGACCAATGGAACAGAACAGAGCCCTCAGAAATAATACCACACATCTACAACCATCTGATCTTTGACAAACCTGACAAAAACAAGAAATGGGGAAAGGATTCCCTATTTAATAAATGGTGCTGGGAAAACTGGCTAGCCATATGTAGAAAGCTGAAACTGGATCCCTTACTTACACCTTATACTAAAATTAATTCAAGATGAATTAAAGACTTAAATGTCACACCTAAAACCATAAAAACCCTAGAAGAAAACTTAGGCAATACCATTCAAGACATAGGCATGGGCAAGGACTTCACGACTAAAACACCAAAAGCAATGGCAACAAAAGCCAAAATTGACAAATGGGATCTAATTAAACTAAAGAGCTTCTGCACAGCAAAAGAAAGTACCATCAGAGTGAACAGGCAACCTATAGAATGGGAGAAAATTTTTACAATCTACCCATCTGACAAAGGGCTAATATCCAGAAGCTACAAAGAACTTCCAGCAAGTCTACCTCTTGAGCCCCCAGAGTTCACATCTGAGATGGGCGTGCTTCCAATAAGAAGCACTGGGATGAAGGTGCTGGGAACTCACTGTGGGTGGTGGGGAGGAAGAGAGCACTTTGTCCCAGAGCAAGCAGACCCCACTGATTGCCCCCTACCCCAGGGCTGACCCTGCCCTAGCATTGTATGATGGGCAGAAGCGCATGTCACTCTTATATCAACGTCAGTGGTAGGTAGACTCTATTATCTGCCCATTTCACAGAATAGAATGCAGAAGCAGATAGGTTAGGTGTCTGGCCTAATGTCACACAGCTACCAAGTTGAGAAGATGTGAACCAAGCTGCTCTGATTCCAGAATGTCCTGTACAAATCTCTTTGTTCTGTTCCCTGCTGGCTAGACTTGCTCTGTACTGATGAAATCACAAAGAAGTTAACTTTTCCATTACAATCCCCTCATTTGAGACTGACCATTATTCCAACCCACCCATTGATTGTAGGGAAATTGCTCCTTGGGTCAGTCGAATATGAACTCCTCCAATTGGTTTCCTCTGAGAGAGTATCACGAGGATTAAAATAAGAGGACCCTAAGGAAGAGTTGCCTTTTTTATATTTCCCTAAAGCATCATATAGATTAGGAAAGGGAATTGTCTCATTAATCCTCTTCACCACACTATGATGAAGGCGTGATTAGCCCCATTTTGCAGATGAGGAAAGTGGGCAAGGGAGATGTCACCCAGGCAGCTGCCCCAGTCCAGGCGTTTGTTCCTCCCAAGACCTGTCTGCCCTATGCCCCAGGGAGGGTATTCTATTTCTATCAAGGGGACTAGTTCTTATAGAGAAGATCTAGCGATAGGATTGTTGCATGGATGGATTTTGTCCACTTTTTTTCTCGGTGCACTTCGCAAGGAGTTCCTAGGGCAAGACACAGATACCTTGTTCCCAAATAAATAAGACGGTTGTGTTGCCGTTTAGTTTTTCCCCCTTCTTACCGCATCGAAAGAACTCAGAGGAGAGGGGGCGGGGCCGAGCCGGGCCTGTTGCATGCAGTCCCGCCCCTCACCACCTCTCCTCGCTTGCGCCCAGCGCAGGCTGGTACTCCACACTCGGCTTCCCTGGAGTCGGAGACCTAGCCTGGGCCTGCTGAAAAGCACAGCATTCTTCCTGATGTGTGAATGTGCAGAGTGGCCCCATCGGCTCCCAGGCGACTCACTTAGGCTCGGGGAGATTAAGGCGGGCTTGGAGCCAGGTTAAACAAATCAGCGCCCACTGCCTCCAGGGCCGCAGTTGCTCTCCGGGACACTGCCCTCGAAGAGCACCTGACAGAACCAGGCGTGGTGGCTCACACCTGTAGTCCCAGCTCCTCGGGAGGCTGAGGTGGGAGGATCCTTGAACCCAGGGCTTAAAGGCTGAAGTGAGCTGTGATTGTGCCACTGCACTCCAGCCTGGGCAACAGAGCAAGACCCTGAAAAAAAAAGAAAGGAAGAAAGGAAGAAAGAAAGGAAGAAAAAGAAAAGAAAGAAAGAAAGAAAGAAAGAAAGAAAGAAAGAAAGAAAGAAAGAAAGAAAGAAAGAAAGAAGAAAGAAAGGAAGGAAAGAAAGGAAAGAAAGGAAGAAAATCTGCCTTCCAGGATGTCCTTACCCTCTCCACGACCAGGGCCACAGACAGGGAAGACAGGTTAGGGACAGAAGAGACTTCTTAAATGACCTTTTACTGCTTGTAAGAGTAAGTATACACATTCCAGACACTTGGTAAAACCACGAGAAAGGGTAAATATGAAACAAAAATTACCTCACTCTCCAACCACTGTAACTGTCAACTTTTTGTTGCATATGTTTTATATATATATATTTTTTTATATATATTATACACACTTATATATATCATATATACATACATACATATCTATGTAAATATAGTGGGATTTTTACAAAATTGGGGTTACCCTCACTATCCAGTTTGGATCTTGATGTTTTAAACTTAATATATTTTGGAAATTTCCCAACACCATTCAATAGTGGTTTAAAACATGAATTAAAAGAGCTCCATTATATGAATATGCCAAATTAATGTAACTAGTCCCATATTTCTGTACATTTAGTTTTCAAATTGTCACCCGTATGAATATCACTGTATTAAATGCCCTTGAACACAGTAATATATAATATTTAATGATCAAATGCCAGACATTTTGCTAAAAACTTTACATGGATTCAGGGTCATCGTATATGTGTCCTTAGCAAAGGTGCTAGCCAGGGTGCGAAGTGGGCGCTTAAATCAAGCCTACTCTTCACTCTACAGGCAGAGTAGCCTGGAGGAAGAGGCACAGCCTTTTTCTTTGCACAAACGCCCTGTGCATTTGCCAAGCCCCTGGACATTTGCCTGGAAAAGAAGCAATTTATCAGCAGAGTGAGGGTGACTTTTTTGTATTTCCCTAAAGCATCATATAGATTAGCAGCCCTAAAGGAATTGTCTCATTAATGCTCATTATTACACTATGATGAATGCACGATTAGCCCCATTTTGCAGATGAGAAAAGTGAGACGTGCTAGTCTGATGACTTCCTTAGAACAAGTGTCCTGAAATAGAATTGACTGGTATACACAGCCAAGTGTCCTATGGAAACATGCACATTTATACCCCCATCAGCAGTATAAGAGGTAGATGTTTCCTCTCCCTTGGCAACACCGTGAAGCAAAAAGCAAGTATTTGCCAGACTTATGGGTGAAAAAGTCTTGTTATTTTATTCTCTTGCCTTGCTAGTGAGACTGAAGTTTTTGTGATTTATTATTCATTTCTATTACTTCTTGTGTGATTATTCTATTCCAACCTTTTATTCACTTTCCTCTTGGGAGGTCTGTGCTGTCCTTATTAACTTGTGATACTGTTTTATCTTAAGGATATTATTCCTTGGTCTGTAATGTTGGCTGCAAGTGCTTACTGCCAATTATATCTCTCAGGTTAGGTTCATTACTGGGTATTTTATATTGTGATGTGAAGGGGAGCTTTTATTTTCCATTTTGTGTTCAAACTAATTATTGCCAAATTATATTATCAGCAAGCTTTGGATTTTTGTGTATTTTAGTCTGTGCCCAGTCACTTTACAGAGCTCTTGCATTGATGCCAATAATTCTTCAATGGGCTCTTTTAATGGGCTCATGAAAAATTTAAAGCAAGTAAGAATAAATCAAACAAGAGATGTGCAAGAGTATTAAAGAAAGCCTAAATAAATTAAGAAATATAACATGTTAATGGATTGGAAATCTCAACAATGTAAAGATGTTCATTCTCTTCCAAACTGATTTGCAGATTCAATGCAGATTTAATACTGCATAAAAATGCAGATTTTTATTTCTAATAAAAATCCCAACATATTTTTTCATTGTACTTGACAAGCAGAATCATAAGTTTATATGGGAGAACAAATGTCCACAGGAAATGCCAAGGTATTTCTGAGGGAGAATAAGGTGAGGGGCCTGACCTTACCAGGTATCAGAGCTGTTTTTTTAGATCATTGGGGTGGGAGAGGGAATGAACTACTTGCAAACTGGCAATGAAACAACTGATTTTACATATATTATTAATTATATATTATATATTATATTTTATATTATATAATATATATATATTATATATTATATAATATATAATATAATATATAATATAATATATAATATACAATATATAATATAATATAATTATTATAATTATATAATTATATATTATTATATATTATTATATTATATTATATATTGTATAATATACATTATAATTACATAATAATGTAATTATATAATATACATATAATATATAATATACATTATATATACTATATTATATATACATTATATATACTATATTATATACATTATATATACTATATTATATACATTATATATACTATATTATATACATTATATAATGCATGTAATGTATACATTATATAATGCATGTAATGTGTACATTATATAATGCATGTAATGTGTACATTATATAATGCATGTAATGTGTACATTATATAATGCACGTAATGTGTACATTTTATATAATGCACGTAATGTGTACATTTTATATAATGCACGTAATGTGTACATTTTATATAATGCATGTAATGTGTACATTATATCTAATGCATGTAATGTGTACATTATATCAAATGCATGTAATGTGTACATTATATCAAATGTATACTATATATATAGAAAAGTAAAATTGGATCCCTAACCCTCACTATACAGAAAAATAAATTCCTTGTGAATTAAAGTATTAAATATGAGTTTTCAGGTACAGACAAAACAGAGGAAATGCATTCCTCCCACTAATTACAATGGAAAACCCTGGACAAAATATTTAATTATCTGAAGACTCTGAAAGATGGAGAAAAGAGGGTGTACTGGTTACCTCGGGACTAAGGGAAGACCAAGCTGTGAGTTCTTTTTGTTTTTGTTTTTGTTTTTGTTTTTTTGTTTTGCCTCATAGCGTAGGTACTAGAACAGCTCACAACCTAGAAACATAAAGTCCTAAGAAAATCCTATACTCTCTGGCCAATCCTCTCTAGAACGGTGAAAAGGGCAGCCCTACAGGACAAAACCCTTTAATTAATCTCTGTGCTCCAGGTAAACAACACAAAAGGAACCTGCAATACTAGCCCACCTGGTATTGCTGAGACTGGGAGGTAGAGCCCTGTCAGCACTCCCTGTCCTGCGCTAGTGAGCTGGTGCCTTGCCCCCTCCTCACCTGGCCCCATCTTATTCAAAAATTAACTCAAAGTGAATCACAGGTCTAAATGTAAAGCATAAAACCATAAACTGTTTAGAAGAAAACATAGGGGAAAATCTTCTTGCCCTAGGATTCTTAGACATGAAACCAAAAGCGTATCCATTAAAAATGTGATAAACTGGCCTTCCTCAAAATTAAAAAGATTTGCTCTGCAAAAGACACTGCTAAAAAGAATAAAAAGACAAGCCACGGACTAGGAGAAAATATTGGCAAGTCACATATCTGACAAAGGACTTCTATCCAGAATATATAAAGAGCTCTCGAAACTGCAGTAAGAAAGCAATCAATTCAATTGGACAAAAAGACTTAAACTGACACTTCACCTAAGAGGAAATCATGATGGCAAATAAGCACATGAAAAGATGTTGACTAGCATTACTCATTAGGAAAACGTAAAACCACAGTAAGACATCAGTACACACTCACTTGAATGGCTAAAACAGAAATAATGAATAAATAATAAAATACATAAAATATTGTGATAATATTAAGTGCTGAGGATTTGGAGAAACTGAATCATTCATACATACCTGGTGGGAACGTAAAACGCTACCACCACTTTGGAAAACAATTTGGCAGTTTCTTAGGTTTGGCAGTTTCTTATAAAGTTAAATATACAATTATCATATGACCTAGCAATCCTACTCCTGTATATGTATCCCAGAGAGATACATCTTATGTTCATTCATAGACCTGTATATAAATGTTTCTAGTAGGTTTATTTGTGATAGGCAAAAGCTGGAAACAACCAAGATGCTACTCAATGGGTGCTATAGCTTGAACGTTTGTCCCATCCAAACCTCATGTTGAAATTTCATCCCAATGTGGGAGTATTGAAAGACAGGGCCCTTAAAATGTGACTGGGTCATGAGGGCTCTGCCCTCATAAATGAACTAATCCATTCATGGGTTAATGGGTTATCCTAGAAGTGGGACTGGTGGCTTTATAAGCAGAGGAAGGGAGATCTAAGCTAGCATACTGAGTCCCCTCACCATGTGAGACCCTGCACTGCTTTGGGATTCAACAGAGGGTTCCCACCAACAAGAAGGTCCTCACCGGATGTGGCACATCAACCTTGGACTTCTCAACTTCCATAACTTTAATACATGAATTCCTTTTTTTAAAAAAAAATAAATTACCCATTTTCTGGCATTCTGTTATAAGCAACAGAAACACAGACTAAGACAATGGGTGAATGGATAAAGAAAATATGGTCCACCCATATAATGGAATACTACTGAGCAATAGAAAGGAACAAACTATTGATAAATGCAACAACATTGATGGATCTCAAGGGCATTATGCTGAGTGAAAAAAAGCCCAGTGTTAAAAAGGTCACATACTGTATTATCCCATTTGTATAACAACCTTGAAATGATAAAACCATAATGAACACATCAACGATTGCCAGGGGTTAGGGTTGAGGGGAGGATAGTACAATGGAGTATACTGATTGTGCTGGTGGTTAAACAAATGTATACATAGGTTAAGTTGCATAGAACTATGCACTGAAGTTAAAAAGTATGTATGTAAAAACTGGTGAAATTCGAATAAGATCTAAAGGTAATAGTATCATACCAATGTCAAGTTCCCAGTTTTGATCATTATATTATAGTTGGGTAGACATTATCATTCAGGGAAGCCTGGTGAAGAGTGTAAGAATTCGATGTACTATGTTTTTTTTCAATTTTTATGAGTCTAAAATTACTTCAAAATAAAAAAACATTAAATCACAAAAGTGAAAGGCAAAGCTATAGGTTTTTTGTTCGGCAATACAAGACCATGTCTTTGTAACTTTGAGTTAGGAAAAGATTTCTTAAACAAGATTAAAAAAAAACCCACAAAAACACAAACCATAAGGGAAAAGATTGATAATGTAAAGTATGCTGCTATTAGGAACTTCTGTTAATCAAAATAACCCCATATGTTGTTTCCCAAAACAGCATATGGCATGGGGCATTTTTAATAAAGTTAATAAAACAAGCAAAAACTAAAAACTATATGATTCAGGCATACATAAATATGTAATAATTTTTAAACAGTAATTAAACAGTAATTAAATTTTTTAACAGTAATTAAAGAATTTTTAAACAGTAATTAATTTTTTTAACAGTAACTAAACACAGCAAAATTTTGGGTTGAGAAACACAAAATTTAATATAGTGATTAACAATGAGCAGCACAGTAAAATGGTTAAGGAGCAGACTGCCTGGCTTCAATCAAATTCTGGCTTTGTCACCACATGCTTGTGTGACCTTGGCAAGTAACTTAACCTCTCTGTGCTTCTGTGACTTGTGTGTATAACATAGCTAACTCACAGGGTTATGGTGAAGTTTAAGTGAGTTAGTAAACAGAAAGTGCATAAAACAGCACTGGGCACCTAGGGAGAGCCAGAAAAATGTTAGCTACTAGTATTATTTTGAGGAAATGAATGGCAGAGGGATGGAATAGATGAGAAAGCTGTTAAGTGAATTTATTACTAATGCTTTAGCTCTTGGATTGGCAGTGGGTTCACAAGTATTTATTATGTTATTAAAATAAAAAAGTAAATAAGACATGAGATATTCTAGCATGGACCAGTGAGAAAAGTGAAAAATTAAGAGAGTGAAAGGACAAGCCACACAATGGAGAATATATAGGTTGCAATACATTAAAGTCTAGAATATATAGAGAAAAGTGGTAAACAAACAAGGAAAAGACAAATAACCCCACAATAACAATAACAACAAATGGGCAAATGGCATGACCAAGCACTTTATGGAGGGGGAAGCCCAAGTAGTCCATAAACATCTAAAAGGATGCTCAAATTAAATAAATGCAAATTAAGATCACAGCAAAATACCCACATTTTGCTAGTTTGCTAGGGCTTCCATAACAAAATAGCACAGACTGGGTGCCTTAAACAATGGAAATTTATTTTGTCATAGTTCTGGAGGCCAGAAGTCCAAGATCAAGATGGCAGCAGGTTTAGTCTCTTCTGAGGCCTCTCTTTTTGAGTTGCAGATGGTCAGCACCCGGTCTGTGTGTTATCTGTGTGCAAATCTCTTTTTGTAAGGACACCGACACATTGGGTTAGAGCTGACCCGTATGATCTTATTTTACCTTAATTACCTCTTTAAAGGTTCTATCTCCAAATATAATCACATTCTGAGGTACTGGGGGTTAAAACTTCACCATGTGAATTTTGAAGGGACACGATTCAGCCCCTAACCCACCAGAATGGCAATGTCTGTCTTCAGGAGAAACTTACGCACCTAGGCACCTGGAGCTATGTATATGTACAGGAACATTCATAACTGGGGCTGGACACAGTGGCTCACGTCTGTAATCCTAGCACTTTGGGAAGCCAAGGCAAAAGGGTTGCTTGAGCCCAGGAGTTCGAGGCCAGCCTGGGCAACATAGCCAGAGCCTGTATCAACAAAAATAAAAAATAAAATATTTAGCCAGGTACGGTGGTGTACACCTGTAGTCCCAGCTACTCAGGAAGATGAAGTGGAAGATTCACTTGAACCTGGAAGGTTGAGGCTGCAGTGAGCCGTGATTGCACCGTTGCAGTGAGCCATGATTGCACCACTGCACTCTGGCTTGGGGAACAGAGTGAGAACCTGCTTCAAGAAAAAAAAATATTCATAACTGCATGTTTGTTATAACAAATGTCTGCCACTGTTGAAAGTGTTAACAAATTATAGTAGATGCATACAATGTGATCCTGTCTAGCAGATACAACAAATGAAAGACAGTTATATGCAACAACATAAATTAATCTCAGGAGTATCACTTTTGGCCAAAAATAAATCAAGTCAGAATGATACATGCAATGCAAGATAAAGTTCAAAATCAAATGAAACTAAGCAATATAATGTTTAAAAATACATATGTGTGTTAAACTTAAAGAAAATCAAAGGAATATCAAACATAAAAATAGAATAGTGATTAGTCCTGGGAGAGAGAGGAAAGGGATATATTTTTTAAAAATAAACTTGAGTGGTAATAATGTGAGTGATGTTATTCTTTTTATCTTACACATACTTTATAAATATTTTCTATTTACTATTTTATTTAAAAATGATCATCAAAAAAACTAGATATTTGAGGAACAGTAAAAGAGAGTTTTGAGTTGAAATAATAATCACAATTCTTTACAAACAATGAAAGGATTCTACATGCTCTCCCAACCAACATTCCTTGCCAGACAGCTTCTAAAATACCCTCCAAAGATCCTCACCTGCTCAGATCTGTGTCCTTATGCAATCCCCTCTCCTAGAATGTGGGCTAGACCTAGTGATTCATTTCTAATAAATGGAATATGGCAAAAGTGATGGGATGCCACTTCGAAGGTGAGGTTATAGAAAGACCACGACTTCTATCTTGCTTACCCTGTCTTGGTCTCTCAATTCCTTGCTTGCTCTGATGGAAGCCAGCTGCCATGTTGTGAGCTGCCCTACAGAGAAGCTCATGTGGTAAGGAACTGAGCCACAACTGGGCAGTGAGGACCTGAGGCCCTCACCTCACTGGCCTGGGAGGAAGTGAATCCTGCCAACAATCATGTAAGTAAGTATAGAAGTAGATTCTCCACAAGTAAGGCCTTGAGATGACTGTAGCTCCAGCCAACACATTGATTGCAGCCTTGTGAGAGACCCTGAGATAGAGGATCCACTCGAGCAATGCCTAGAATCCAGACCCACACAAACTGTGAGATAAGACACCTTTGTTGTTTTCAATCACGAAGTTTTGGGGGTAATCATTATGGAACAATAGATAACAAGCATAAAGCCCACTTCTAGAAATGTATCTGAAGGAAGTAGACATCTCTACAAAACATGTGTTTACATGTATGTTCATCACACAGGTATTTATAATGGTGAAAAACAAAAATAACCTAAATGTTCAACAATAACAGAATGGTTAAATAGATTATGATACATTTATATAATGTCATATCCGGCAACCATTAAAAATGATACTATGTCACAGACATTAATAGATAATAAGGGACTACAAACAACACTATGCCTACACATTTCAAAACTTAGGTGAAATAGACTTATGCATTGAAAGACACAAACTACCAACATTCATTCAAGAAGAAATAGATAACTGGAAGTCTTACATCTTTTAAATGAATTGAACAGAATTCGAGTTAGAAATCTTCCCACAAATTAAGCTCCAGGCCCACATGGCTTCATTTGCAACTTCTATCAAACATTTAAGGAATATGTAATGCCTACTCTACAAAAACTTCCAGAAAACAGAAGGTGAGAGGATACTTCTTAAATTATTTTGTGATGCTAGCATTACTCCAATGTCAAAACTACACAAAGACAATATAAGAACAAAATCCCCCAAAGCAAAAAACCAATATGCCTGATGAATATAGTGGAAAAATCTTTAACAAAATATTAGCAAATTTATCAAGTAATATATAAAAATAATAATATATCATGAGCAGGTGATATTTATCCTGAAAATGCAGTTGGTTCAATATTTAAAAAGCGAATCAATGTAATCCACCCTATGAGCTATGAACAGTCTAAAGAAGGAAAAACCACATGGTCACACATCCATTCATAATGAAACTCTCAGCACACTAGGAATAAAAGAGAACCTTATCTTCTTGACTAAGGGCATCAACAACAACAAAATATGCTCCTAAGAATGTAATTTGTAATGAAAGACTAAATGCTTCCCCGTAAGATTTGGAGTAAATCAAGGACGTCCACTCACATCACTCCTAGTCAACATCATCCTGAGGGTCCTGGTCAATGCAATAAGGCAAGGAAAATATGTAGTACCTTCAGATTGGAATGGAAAAAATAAGGCTGTCTATATAAACAGACAACATGACTGTCTATGTAAAAACTCCCAAGAAATCTGCAAGAAAGCTACTAGAACAGTATACAAGGCCAATTTACAATATACAACAAAATCAATTGTATTTCTATATACTAGCAAAACAGCCACTGAAAATTGAAATTTTTAAAAACTATCAATTTTTAAAAAGAGGAACAAAGTTGGAGGACTGAGACTATCAAATTTCAAGACTTACTATAAAGCTACAGTAAATAAGACAATGTAGTATTTGTGAATGGACTGACATATAAATCAATCAGACATAACAAAGTCCAGAAATAAACAAACATAGTCTACTGGTTTTTGACAAGATGCAAAAGCAATTGAACAGAGAAAGTATAGTATTTTTAACAGATGGTGCAAAGTAATGAACTTGAACCCATATCTTACACCATTTACAAAAATTACCTCAAAATTGTTCCTAGGCTTAAATGTAAAACCTAAAACCATAACATTTCTGAAAGTAAATATAGGAGAAAATCTTTATGATCTTGTTTAGATAGGGCACACTAAGTACAAACCATAATAGAAAAAAAATTGATAAAATGTACAACTTGGACTTCATCAAAATAAGAATTTTAATTTTCAAATTTGTGCTCTTCAAGATACACTGTTAAGAAAATAAAAAAGACAAGCCACAGAAAAGGAGACAACATTTGCAAAGCATATATCTGATAAAGAACTGGTAACCAAAATCCATAAAGAACTCTCTAAACTTATGTGGTAGGCTGAATAAAGTCCCCAAAGTTATCCAGGTCCTAACCCCTGAAACCTGTGAATGTTACCTCATGTGCCAAAATCAGACATTGCAAATGTGATTCAATTAAGAGTCTTGGCTGGGCGCGGTGGCTCATGCCTGTAATCCCAGCACTTTGGGAGGCCGAGGTGGATGGTCAGGAGATTGAGACCATCCTGGCTAACACGGTGAAACCCTGTCTCTACTAAAAATACAAAAAGTTAGCCAGGCATGGTGGCCGGCACCTGGAGTCCCAGCTACTCAGGAGGCTGGGCAGGAGAATGGCATGAACCCGGGAGGCAGAGGTTGCAGTGAACCGAGATCACGCCACTGCACTCCAGCCTGGGCGACAGAGTGAGAGTCTGTCTCAAAAAAAAAAAAAGAAAGAAAGAAAGAAAAAAAAAAAGAAATTAAGAGTCTTGAGACAGGGAGATTGTCCTGGATTATCCAGGTAGGCCCTAAATGTAATCACAAGTGTCCTGACAAGAGGGAGGCAGAAGAAGATTTGACTACAGAAAAGAACACAATGTGACCACAGAGGCCGAGTTTGGGGGTGATGAGGACACAAGCCATGCAATACCAGCAAGCCATGGAATGCCAGCAAGCTGGAAGAGATAAGGAATGAATTCTACGCTAGGACTTCCAAAAGGAACCAGCTCTGCTGACATCTTGACACTCCAGAAGACTCAGTTCTCACTTTTGGCTTCCAGAACTGTAAGGAGGATATATTTGCGTTATTTTAAGCTGCTAAATTTGTGGTAATTTGTTACAACAGCTCTAGCAAGCCATATAGCTCAGCAGTGAGCAAATAGTCTAACTAGAAAATGAGCAGCAAAAAACTTGAATTGACACTTCACCAAAGAGGAGATAAGAGAGATATGAATGGCAAGCCCAGGGCAGTGGCTCACGCCTGTAGTCCCAGCACTTTGGGAGGCCAAAGTGGGAGGATCGCTTGAACCCAGGAGTTTGAGACCAGCCTGGCTAACATGGTGAAAAACTAGTCTCTACAAAAAATACAAAAATTAGCCAGGCATGGTGATGCACGCCTGTAGTCCCAGCTACTCAGCAGGCTGAGGTGGGAGAATCGCTTGGGCCTGGAAGGTGGAGGCTGCAGTGAGCCAAGACTGTACCATTGCACCCCATGCTAGATGACAGAGTGAGACTCTGTCTCAAAAAAAAAAGAAAAAAGAAAAAGAAAAAGGCAAAAAAGCACATGAAAAGGTGCTCCACATCATTGGTCATTAGGGAAAAGCAAATTTAAACTACAGTGAGATACTACTACACCCTTACAAGAATGGCTAAAATTAAAACAATATGTATCACAAAGTGGAACAACTAGAATTCTCATACTTTGCTTGTGGCAATGCAAAATGGTGCAGCCACATTGGACATCAGTTTGGCAGTTTGTTATAAAGTTCAACACACATTTCCAATACAACCTAGCAATCCCCCTGCTAGATATTTACCCAAGAAAAATAAAGGCATGGCCATAAAACAAACAAATAAAACAAACAAACAAACAACAAACAACAACAACAGCAACAACAAAACCCTGTCTGTGATGATTATAATGATTTTTTCATGATCACTAAAATCTGGCAACAATCCAGTGTCCCTCAACTGGTGAATAAATAAACACATTGCAATATATCCATAAAATGGAGAGCTATTCAGCAATAAAAAGAATAAATTACTGATATGCAACAATGTAAACTAGTCCCAAAAGGCATTATTCTAAATAAATAAGGTAGACACAAAAGTCTACACACTACATGCTTCCATTTATATGACATTCTGGAAAAATTAAAATTACTGGGACAGGAATCAGATCGTTGGTTGCCAAGGATCTGATATGGAGGTGGGAGAAGGCAATTGCCTACAAAGGGGCATGAGGAACTACTTGGAATAATCAGAAAATTCACTCCCTTGATTATAGTGATAAATGGCTGTATACATTTGTCAAAATTCATAGAACTGTACACCTAAAAAGGATGAATTTTTCTGTAAGTAAATTTTAGCTCAATAAAGAAAAATTAAAAATTGGTACAAACACTAACTTGAAAAAAATAATGTAGATCAATGTGTATTGACATTGGAAATTGAATATGGCTAAGTGAAAAAAAAGTTTGCAACACAGCAATTGAGGGGAAAATAATGGTATGTGTGTGTGCTATGGCCTGAATGTTTGTGTTCCCCTCAAATTCCTATGTTGAAATCCTAATCCTCAGTGTGATGGTATGAGGAGGTGGGGCCTTTAGGAGGTGATTTGGTCAAGAGGGCAGAGGCCTGGTGAATAGGATCAGTGCCTTTTAAAGAAGAGACATAAGACAGACGATTTCTTTCTCCATCACTTGAGCAAACGATAAGACAGCTGTCTGTAAACTAGGAGGAGAGCCCTCACCAAGAACCTGACCATGCTGGCACCCTAATCTAAGACATGCAGCCTCCAGAGCTGTGAGAAATACATGTTTGTTGTTTAAGCCACCCAGTGTATGGTATTCTGTTCTAGCAACCAGGACTGACTAAAGCAGTGTCTATTGACATGCACACATACACACACGATACACACGCATGTGCATGTTTATATATCTGGAAGGAAATACATAAAATATGAACAGAGGTCATACGTGGTTGTCAGACTCTCATTCGCTCACTCGCTCCTCAATGTGTGGTCCTGGAAAAGACACTTTATCTCTTTTGACCTTAATTCCTACATGAGTGAAGTGACAGAACTGTACCAACCTTCCCTGTCTACCCCAAATGAAATGGTCCCCCATCACTCTAAGTCCCCTTACTCTGCTCTATTTTTTTCATGGCCAGCTTTGCTGCCTGACACTGTCTTATATATGTGTTATATTTATAGCCTGTTTGTCCCACTAGAATAGGGAACTCTATGAGGAAAGAACTTTGGTCTGTTTTGTTCATTACTGCTGTTTCCCAAATGCTGAGAACAATGCGTGGCGCTTAGTAGGTGCTTAATAAATATTTATTGAATAAATGATTGAATATATCTTCCTGAGTGGTCCTTGTAGAATTTGTCACCTTCTCAAAAACTTTCATGATCTTGAGGACCTTATGATCAAATTGCAGGGACACAATCCAAAAATGAAATAGCACCTTAGTCACTACAAACAGCATTGGAACAGAATGCGGGGCAGGAGATAGGTGTTGAGGCAGGAAGCAAAAGGAGGGGTTGGGATTGGCAAAGTGACTTTTGAGTATACTTCTGTATAACTGGAGCTGTGGGGTTGCCTTGATCTTTCTTACAGCTCTCACATCCCTGCAGAATATGACTATCCTATAGCTCTTTCTAGAGTCATTGCCCAAGAAACTCAGAAAAGTCTCTCTCTGAATGCCCCACAGCAAAACCCTCTGTACTTTATGCATCATTAAAAATCCAGGGCACTCCCAGTCTGTTCCACCAGCCTTCCCAGGTAAGAAGAAGCCCAGCTTAGGAAAAAAGTGATGTGCTCCCATCTAACGGAAAGGTGGGAGCCAAGCTTCATACTGCAGGCCCTCATTAGCTAAGATCGCCAAAGGGTTTTGGCTCCCCTAGCTGCCTCTGTGCCAGCTGCAAGGGTCGTGTTTGCTCCGCAGAGGCTCAGCTGCTGCCAGACTTGGCCACAAGTGTTTACCCTGCTGTGCTGGCAAAGGACCCAGTTCCTCAGCAGCTTCTGTGCCTTTTCTAACTCAACAGCAAACAGCTTTTCACTCACAAGGCACCTGGCCTCTAAGAGCTCTCTTTCGAAGGATGTCCTCCTGTCCCCAAAGGACGCTCATGAGCGCATGCAACCTTGGGTGCCCTAGCAAAGTTGGAGAGATGGTGAGCTGGCCAGTCCCATGCTGCAGGTCCCAGCTGAGGCAGTCAACACACAGGTCTTCTCTCTGTGAGAAACATTCCGACCATCTTATCTATAATTGAGACTCCCACCTTCCTATTCCGAACTTCCCTTTACCTGCTCTGCTTCCGGACATCATTTCTCACCTCCTAACATGATTTCCTTTGTTGCTGTTAATTGTCGGTCTCCCTCCACTAGAATTTAAGTTCAATAGGGGCAAAATTTTGGTTGGCTTTGTTCACTGATGTGAGCAGAATATATATTCACAGTGCGTAAAATAATCGCCAGGGCTTATATAAAGCACACTATGTGCCAAACACTGTTTTACACACTTCGTATCAATTAAATTATTTAATCTTCACAAGAGCCTATAAGGAAGGCACTATTAGGATACCCACTTTATAGATAAAGAAACTGAGGCACAGAGAATGAAGTAATTTGTCTAAGATCACATAGCTAGTGAATGACAGAATTGGGATTTGAACACAGTCTTACCCTTCCTTAACCACTAGGATATACCACCACAAAACAAAACAAAACAAAACAGTGCCTTGCACATAGTAGGCACTCAGCAAATGAATGTAAGAGTAAATCCATGCATGAAACTATGAAGTGCCTGCCTTGTGTGGGGAATCTGGTCTGCTAGTCCACCACCACAGCCACCCTCCCCAACTACCTCTCCCTAGGATACTCTTGTTTTCTCACCTGTCCTTCCTTCCTCCCTCCCTTCCTTCCTCTCCTTCCTTTCCTTCTTTGCTCCCTTCACTTCTCCCTCCGTTTCCTCTCCTTCTCTACCTCCCTTCCCTCCTTTCCTGGGTGATGTTGGAGAGGGAGTGCTGCTTTATGAAGTGCTATAGCCGGGCAGCCAGCCCCTGTCCAGCCATTCTTTCCTTTGGGCCACAAATGCCCTCTGAGCACCTGTAATGCAGGCACTAAAGGAACCAGGAATATACATGAAACCAGTTCTCTGAGTGCAATAAAGGAGTGATCTGAAGGGAGGTTTGGGCTGGGAGGGACACACTTCCCAAGAACTCTGATATAAAGCACACTGAGATGATTGTTGAAGAAGGCGGACAACTGGGGTCCATGGGGACGATGAGTTAGGACTTGGACATTAAAAATTACTCCATGCAAGAAGTGGCATTTTAGCTGAACTGTTAAGTATGAACAGGAGTTTGAAAAATATCGATGGGATGTGCATTCCAAATGATGGGAAAATCGAGGCACCTGAAGGCTGTTGGAATTGTGAATTTGGGGCAGTGCATCCCCAGGAGAGATGGTCCCCATGGAGGATATAGACTAGGATTGTGGGCAATGCTTGTTGGCCAAAGAAGGTGTTCCCAAGGTGTGCCCCAAGTTGCAGATCTGTGCCACCTGTTCAGTATTTCCCAGCACCCTCCCTACAGAGAAGATGTTTTTCCTTAAGCTTCCATATCACACCTGATCCAGGTATAGGCTACTGGGCATCTCACTGTTCCTCTTGGTTATGTTACGTCACTGGAACCCAACTGGGTCCTCTACCCTCTTTTCGTTTACTCCTTCCTCCCTCCCTCCCTCTCTCTTTCTCCTTCCTTCCTTCTTTCCTTCCTTCCTTCTTTCCTTCCTTCCTTCTTTCCTTCCTTCTTCCCTCCCTCCCTCCCTCTCTCCACATGGTCTCATTTCCAGCTCCTGTTTATATTGATTTCTTACCTCCAGCCACTCCTAGGTCTAATTTGGGCCCTGCTGCCTTGCCTGGTTAGTGGCTGGTTTCTCACCCCACTGTTATGGCCTAACTTGGCACACTGTCAAGCAGGCAGGCATGCAGCAGCAAGCCTCTGGTATGTTCCTACTATGAGCCAGGCTTCGGGCCAGGGAAGGCACCCCTCTCCTCACCCCCTGCAGCTGGTGCTTCACCATCTGGGAAGTGAAGGGGCGGGATTCTGTGATCTTGAAAGTTCCTTCCAGCTGCAACCTTCTAGGGGAGTATCTGAATGCCCTCCTTTTGAAGCTCTGAGTTCTGTAGGAAAATGATTACCATAAAAATGTTTCCAGGTTGGTGCACTGGCTTCTGTCAGGGCCTCACTGTTTGACAACTGCTGTGCAGACTTAAGTGATATTTACACACAAAAATGTTTTACCGTGGGATGCCATCATTACCCTAGTGTCAGGGGCCAAGGATAACAGCCCATTACAGGCCTTCCCTGTTATATGAAGAAAGAAAGATTCATTCATTCATTCAGCTAAGCCCAACTGTGTACACAAGTCTGTACTAGGTGCTATAAAAAATATGCGTGATCTCACCACAGGCTCAGAGAACACAAAATCATCCACTTTGTGGAGGAAGGGACTAGTCATCTAGAGTAATCCATCCCCTCCTCCACCCTAGGGCAAGAACCCCTCTGCTCCACCCACTGCCCACAAAGGGGACAAATGCCATTAAACCACAGCTCGAAAAGTCTAATAGTTAGAGTCCCTCTAGTCCCACCCTCATCTAGTTCTGACACTTGATGAGGTCACACCGGAGCCCAGAGACACACTTGCTCTCAGATCTTTTTACCTCCAGTCCAGTTATTTTCTCCTATGGCCAAGCTGCTGCTTTCATCAGGTCTTTGCAGTTGATCAGGTGACTACTGCACCCATTAGGTCATCAGATCCTCATAATAAACCATTTCCAGATAAGATAAACAAATGTTCAGAAAGAGATAGTGTCTTGTCCATGATCCCACAGCTAGAAAATGGTGGGGGAACCCAGATTCAAGTGCAGGCCTTCAACTCCAAGTCTAGTTCGTTGCACTGCAACCTGGCTGCTTTCCCACTGGGTCCTGTGTGTCTTCCTTGTGGACTTATAGGTGAGATGCACCAAGGATCAATGTGGGGACACACATTTGGGTCTAAAAAATCCACTGGGGGCAGGTCAGAGAAGACTTGGCAGTGCTTGCATAGATATTTGGGGGGCTTGTTGACAGTCAGGTCAAGGCAGTGTGATGTGGTCACCGACAAGTCTCGGGCAAGGTTAACAGAGGTGAGCATCCTGAATGGGGACAGAGGACACTTATGCTGACCTCTGCCACCAATGGACTACTCATGGAGGCAAGACATGCTAGTACACTATCTTGAAAGACACTGAGCTCCTTGTTCCTGGAGGGCAGGGGGGATATAGAGGCTGGATTACCAGTTGGCAGTCTGCAATTCTAGAAAGGATTTTTGTGTGTGTGTGGTAGTGTGTGCTTCTATGGCCCCATGCATTCCTAGAGGCAACACCTGCTCTAATTTGTCTTGCAGCTCTCGGGGCCTTTTTGAGAGGTGAGGTAGGGAATTCTGGCTGTCTGGGCCCAGCCCTGAGACCTATGGAAAGCCCAGTGCCAGTGTCATATGTCTAAATGGAACATGAGGCACCAAAGTGGAGGTGACACTCCCAAGGTAATGTGCATTTTAAGTGCACTAGATCAGATATGTACCCTAAGGAATCTGATGGGGAATTACACTGGGAACACATTTTGTAAATTCTCCTTCTTCTGGCTTCAATATATTCCTCAACCCTTCCTTAACCACTAGGTTATAAGAGTTCTTATAACAGCAGAGTTTAGTGGGCAGAGGAGCAGAAACAGGGTGGGTGAGGGTTGGAGGTGAGGGATGGGAGCCAGAAAGGTGGCCCTAGTAAGATTCTCACTGCAACTCAATGTCACAACTTTGATTGAGGATACGTGTTCAAAACCTGTGCTGTGGGTAGCACAGAGATAAAAAAGCCACCAGCCATGTCCTCCTCTCCCCAACTAGTGTACAGTCTAGTGGGAGAGACTAGAAGTCCCAACTAGTTGTAATAGGAGTTAGAAGAGATCAAGTTCTAACTTGTAGGCCCAAATGCCATAGGAGATGCTGAAAAAAGAGATGGCACTTGGGAGGTGGCAGAAATGGGGGCAGCAGCAGCACTTCAGAGGCAGACACAGCACAAGCCCACTGAGGATCAGCATGTTTTGGTTTTCCTAGAAAGTCATCCAAGCTGTGTGTGTGGTGAAGGGACAGTATGGAGGGTGCAGGGACGGGAGGAACTGTGTGTGGGAGAGCACCCTGGAGAGGTGGGTATGGTGGGGCCACATTTTGGGTAGGACACACACACACATACACACACACCCACACACTTCTTGGCTTTTAGCACATCTATGTTGTAAAGGCAAATACAAATTAAGATACTTAATTCTTCCTGTTGAAAAATAAGTGACTCCTCCTGCTCCATTTTATTAAAGCATTTCTTTTTCTGTTGTTTTCAAATGTATATAAATCTTCTCGGTGATTACATAACCCTCTTGCCACTATCATAAGTTAAGAATGTTTCCTCGGGGACCTGGGAGCCATCTTTTTGTAATGTGATTATCAAGAAAGATAATGTCTGATCTCCCAGTTTCCTGGAAGAAGATGGGCCTAACCTCCACTGTTACCTGACTTCAAAGCTTCAAAGGATAGGCCGACTCTCTTATTAGAGGTAATGCAGCTAGTGACTTTAAGTTGAAGCCAATGCTTATTTACCATTCCAAAAATCCTGGGGCCTTTAAAAACTATGCTAAATCTACTCTGCCTGTGCTCTATAAATGGAAGGACAGAACTTGGATGACAGCACATCTGTTTACAGTATGGTTTACTGACTATTTTAAGCCCACTGTTGAGACTTTCTGCTCAGAAACCAGAGAGATTCCTTTCAAAATATTACTGCTCATTAACAATGCATCTAGTCACCCGAGAGCTCTGATGGAAATGTACAAGGATATTAATGTTGTTTTCATGCCTGTCAACACGTCCATTCTGCTGCCTATGAATCAAGGAGTAATTCTGACTTTCTAGTACATTATCTAAGAAATACATTTTGTGAGGCTACAGCTGCCATAGATACTGATTCCTATGATGGATCTGGGTAAAGTAAATTGAAAACCTTCTGAAAAGGACTCATCATTCTAGATGTTGTTGAGAACATACATGATTCATAAGAAGTCAAAACATCAACAATAATAGGAGAGTAAAAGAAGTTGATTCCAACCCTCGTGGATGACTCTGAAGGGTTCAAGACTTCAGTGGGGGAAGTCACTGCAGGTGTGGAGGATATAGCAAGAGAACTGGAATTAAAAGTGGAGCCTGAAGATGTGACTGAATTGCTGCAATCTCATGATCAAACTTAAACAGATGAGGCGTTGCTTCTTATGGATGAACAAAGGAAGGGGTTTCTTGAAATGGAATCTACTCCTGGTGAAGATGTTGTGAATATTGTTAAAATGACAGCAAAGTACTTAGAATATTTTATAAACAGCTGATAAAGTGGCAACAGTGTTTGAGAGGACTGACTCCAGTTTTGAAAGAAGTTCCGTGGATAAAATGCTATCAAACAGCATTGCAAACTACAGAAAAATCTTTCATGAAATGAAGAGTCAGTCGATGCAGCAAACTTCATAGTCATCTTATTTTAAGAAATTACCACAGCCACTCCAACCTTCAGCAAGTACCACCCTGATCAGTCAGCAGCCATCCACATGGAGGCAAGACCCTACACCAGCAAAAAAATTACCACTAGATGAAGCCTCAGATGATCATTAGCATTTTCTAGCAATAAAGTATTTTTAAATTAAGGTATGTACGTTACTTTTAGACATAATGTTACTGTACACCTAACAGACTATACTATAGTATAAACGTAACTTTCATATGAACTGAGAAACCAAAAAAATTACGTGACTTGCTTTATTGCAATATTCGCTTTATTGTGCTGGTCTGCAACCAAACTGCAATACCTCTGAGGTATGCCTAGTGTGAGGTTTCTTTCTGTCCTTGCAATACTTTTAGCTGGCTGCCTGTGATTCATATCACATTCTGATTTAATGTTTATTCAAGAAAATTGTTTTCTTTCTCTTCTACCTTTATGGAGAGGTTATCTGGGCTGGGAGAAGATTTTGTTTTTAATTATATTTCCCCCAATGATGTAGACAAACTCACATGCGTGCGCGCGTACACACACACAGTCACACATACCCTCACACACACAGTGAAGCACACTCACATACTCAAATGCACACACACTCATACACACAGCCCCACACGCTAGCACATACACTCCCTTCACTCCGCCCCTCTTGTAAGGCGATTTCTTCTTCCCAGGACAGGAGCTAGAGGTGCAGCCTGGGACCACTCAGCCAAGAAGCCAAGGGCCAGGCATGCCCGGGCCTGGAGCACTTTATTCATCTTTTACGTCTTTTTATTACACATTCTCGAATCACCAGCTCCTCCTTGCCTTGCTTCTCCTGGGTTTCATTTGCCTCTTGCAGTTTCTTCCTCTCTCGAGTGTTTCTAACTTTTTCCACCCAATTATGGAAAAAGTAAGAACCGAGAACAGCGAAAACAACCAAAACAAAATCTATAGCTATTTCTCATTGAAATCCTGGAAGAATTTTGGGTTTTCCCTTCGATTTCTCTCACCCACTCACGCATTCACCAATTATGTATTTGTTTACTCAATGAGTGCAGCTCAGGCCGAGGGTGCCAGCCTCCACGGGATGAGGGGCTAGACACTCTGATTTCACCCCGACACCTGCTGGGTGCAAGGCGCTCAGTCTGCAGCCAGCTCTAGGTCCCGCCCCTTTGCGTTGGGCTGCGGGTGGGCGGGGCTGCTTGGCCTGCCCAGACTCGCCAGGAAAGACATGCTGCTGCGGACCAATCAGAGTGGCCCAAGCTGGGAGGAGGCCTTGCCCCGCCCTCCCCTGCCCCGCCCACTTGGCGCTGGGAATAACCACGTGGAAACCCAACTCCGAGGTCTCTGGCGCTCGAGCCTCGTGCTCCACCGTGAACAGTGTTTTCAGAACCCTCGGGCTCTATGTCTTGGTGAGCCCGGGCCTAGCTCTCTCCGTGCCGACACTTGCTCTTTTATTCAGCCCACTGGTTGCGATCGCCTCCTCAAAGCCTGGGCCTTTCAAGGAAAAAACGCGTGTATATCTTGGGGTGTGCCCTTGTCCAGTTCCTCTTCTGGTAGCGTAGCCTCTGGGTGCAGGCCAATCAGGAAAGACTTGATCCAGGATCTTTCACTTGGGGGTTGGTAACTGGAGCGCTGCCGCCCCTCATGGGCAGGAGATCCTCTGGTTATATCAAACCACTGGTGTGCCAGGGGACATGGGATCCTAGGCTGAGCTGGCACCACGCTGGACAGGCAGTGGGGGCCATTTCCTGACCCCCATTGCCTACTTCTGTTTGCCGGAAGGCCCACGGGCTCCACTAGAGCCCCAAAGGTGAGTCAAGTTGGTGAGAACAGTCCTGAGGCATGAACCCTGAGCATTCCTTGACTCCATGGGCAAGTCCCTTCACCAGCTCAGAGATCCCAGCTTAGCTATCTGGCAGATAGAGCTGGAAGAGGTAGCCTGATGTAAATTTTAGGGCATTCAAGAGTCAGGAGGCAAGGGGCATTGTGAGGTCCTCACCAGACTGAAATTTCCCTTAGTTTCACTATTTCTACCTGGAAATGAAATGGGGATGGTATAAATTGTAGGGATTGTGAATATGCTATTTAAAATGAAGCACAAGACACATGCTTTAGGGCAGCAGTGCTGGCCAGAGGTTGATGTGAGGTAAGGAAGACCCTTGAGTAAAACCCAATTCATTGCCTGGGGCGAAGGGCAGCGTTGACAATGGAGGTTTTAACTATAATAACCCCTTAGTTATTTTTTTTTCTATAAATGGAACTATGCTTTTTCACCAGGGGGCATATTTTACCAATTTTTTTTTTTAAGACATCACAGCCTACATTACAAAGAAGCCAGAGTTTCTCTCTCTCTTTTTTAATATGAGTTTTGTTGATTGTACAGTGGAGCTTATTTCTATTTTCCTTATGTCTTAGTTTTAAAAACACCGTGCTGTTCAGGTATAGGCCTTGGCAAGTATCAGTTGGTGTTTCAATATGGTTGTTCCATCCAATCCCACAGCCAGCCACCCAAAAGGAAACTTCAAGAAACGAAGTTTTTTCGGGTAAGTAAAGCAATTTGGGGTTGCAAAACGTGTCTTTGGGTGTATACTTTTCACGTCACTGGGTTAATAGTACAGAAGTTTATAACAATATGGTGGAGAAAACGTGTCTTACAAGTAGTACAGAAGTTTACAACAATATGGTGGAGAAAACATGAGACAGAATTAGGAACTATACATTCTCTAATTCTATCACTGACCTAGGGAATTTGGGGCAAATCACTTCCCATCTTTAGCTGTCAGTTTTCTCAACTAAAATTAAAGTGCCAAACTGGGGCTCTTTCAGTTTGAGAATCAGTTTCTGACTTTAAGGGGCATTGGGAAGCCTTCACCAGACTCTGAAATTTTCCCTGGCCTCAGTTTTTCCACTTATGAAGTGGGGATGGTATAAATTGTAGGGACTGTGAATATGCTCAGTAAAATGAAGCACAAGACACATGCTTTAGGGCAGCAGTGGTAGGAAACCACTATTATGGTTTCCTCTGTAGTGGCCACACCCCCTAACACACCATTTCATTCCCATGGCAACGGCTCTGTGTGGGCTCCACTTGCCTCTAATTCTTTTGTAGCACTGCAGGTAGGAGGTTTCAGGGCTCTGTTGAGAGGGCTGACTGCTGGCTAGATTCTTTCCTTCTAGTACAGATTCTGAGTTTATTTTTAAAGTTCTGTGTCTACCTCAGTAAGCTCACAGTAAATGTTGGTAGAGTGTATAAGTCAGCATAAAAAAGAGATATGGCAGGGCGTGGTGGCTCACGCCTGTAATCCCAGCACTTTGGGAGGCCGAGGCGGGCGGATCACGAGGTCAGGAGATCGAGACCATCCTGGCTAACACGGTGAAACCCCCGTCTCTATTAAAAAAAATACAAAAAATTAGCCGGGCGTGGTGGCAGGCGCCTGTAGTCCCAGCTACTCGGGAGGCTGAGGCAGGAGAATGGCGTGAACCCGGGAGGCAGAGCTTGCAGTGAGCGGAGATCGCGCCACTGCATTCCAGCCTGGGCGAAAGAGCGAGACTCTGTCTCGAAATAAATAAATAAATAAATAAATAAATAAATAAATAAATAAATAAGAGATATGAGAGCTTTTGTTTATATTTAAAAACACTACTATGTAAATTACATGAGAAGTTTTTCCCACAGCAAATCTCATTTATGAATGGTTCCTGTTTAAGTTATCACACAAGTGCAACTTAGGCTGTTAATGTGGGAGTGTAAAAGTGCCAGCCTGGGAGTCAGGAGTCAAGCTACATCCCACTAGATAAATGTGTGACTTCCCACAAGTCCCGTCCCCTCTCTGGGCCGCAGTTTTCTCATCTGTACAAGGAAGTGTTTAGACTACTGTTATGGGTTGAATTGCTGGCCCGGTCACCCACACCATCCCCAAATTCATATGCTGAAATCCTAGCCCCCAGTACCCCAGAGTGAAACAGCGTCGCTGCAGATGTAAATAATTAAGTTCATACAGGTGTAGGGTGGGCCCCTAATGCATTATGACTGGTGTCCTTATAAAAAGGGAAAATTTGGACAGAAACACAGACGCAGGGAGAAGGCCGTTTGAAGAAAAATGCAGAGATCAGGGTGATGCTTCTACAAGCCAAGAAATGCCAAAGATTGTCAGCAAACCACCAGAAAACAGAAGAGGGGCCTGGAACAGTCCTTCCTTCACAACCTTCAGAAGGAACCAGCCTCGCCAACATCTCCATCTCAGACTTCTAACCTCCTGAACTGGGAGATGATTAACTTCTGTTGTTGGAGCCACTTAGTTTGTGGCATTTGTTATGGCAGCTCCGGCAAACTACAACAACAGTGGTTCCCAGTTTTTTTGGGGGGGGGTGGACAGAGTCTTACTCTGTCACCCAGGCTGGAGTGCAGTGCAGTGGCACGATCTTGGCTCACTGCAACCTCCGCCTCCTGAGTTCAAGCGATTTTCTGCCTCAGCCTCCTGAGTAGCTGGGATTACAGGCATGTGCCACCACGCCAAGCTGGTTCCCAATTTTTTCACCATCAAGAACTATTTTGCTCTTTTTCCTTTTGTGGACCCAATTTATTTATTTAACAAATATTTATTAGTTCCTACTATATACCAGGCCCTACTCTAGGTATTGGGGAACAATAAGTCACAATTCCGTTCCCCCACTTGTGTTCATTCTATGTTTTAAAAGATTTATTCTATTAAGTATACTGTGGCTTATTTTCATAATAATCTGTGAACAGTCTTTTCTTATGGGATAACTAGGATAACCTCATCATGATATAGTAAGTGTCAAAAATCAAAGAACGGTGATATTTTAAGTAGCTTTGGATGCCTAACAGTAAATAGATTCATTAGGTTTTTAAAAATATTAAAAACTGCCTTCAGAACCACCATTACTACATTTATGGGTCCCTAGGGATTGAAGGACCTCACTGCAGGCTGATTAGCTAGAGCAGGGGTCAGCAAACTCTTCTGTAAAAGGGTCAGATGGTAAGAATTTTGGGCATTGCAGATCATTTTGGGCGTTGCAGATCATACCGTCTCTGTCACAACTACTCAACATTGCTGTTGTAGATAATACAAACAAATGAGAATGGCTGAGCTCCAATAAAATTTTATCAATAGACGCTGAAATTTGAATTTCATATAAATTTCACGTGTCATGTTATTCTTTTGACGTTTTCAACAATTTAAAAAGGAAAAACCATTCTTACCTCAGGGCTGTAGAAAAACAGGTGGTAGGCTCCATGTATTAGGTCGGCTGGCTCAGTTTGCCTACCCCAGAGCTAGATTCTCTTTGTACCCCAAGTTCTTACATTAGGTGGTTCTTACTCACCTAAAGGTCTAGATGAGGCCCAGATAGAGATTACTATTATTTTTATTAAATATTTTACAGTTTGTTTTTTAGAGACGGAGTCTTGCTATGCTGCCCAAGCTGCTCTGGAACTACTGGCCTCACGCAATCCTCCTGCCTCAGCTTCCCAAAGTGTTGAGATTACAGGCGTGAGCCAGCACAGTCAGCCCTAGAGGGGGATTATTCAGTTTGAACTAAAACCTGGACTTCCTGCTGCCCAGTCCATTGCCCTTTCCACCACTCTAAGCTGCTGGTTTAGTCATGATTTCAGATGTGGTCTTTGTATCCATGTGGTGCAGAAAATAGCTGTGTGGTCAGCGGCCCTTTCCAGGCGCTGACCATGTTAAGGGCTGTCCTCTTATTAGCAGCCAGTGGCAACTTAATTTTGTCAAGCCTGACTCCAGACTTACCCACCCTTTCGTTTTTACCTCTCTCGGGTTGCGCAGGCCCGGGAGGCCCATCTGTTCTTACTATTTGAGTCCCTGTTGTCTCATTGGCGGCTTTCTGAGCAGCTGCAAAATATGTTTTTAACTTTTAAGTGGAAGTTGGGGGTCACTGGCATCGAGTCTGGAACAGTCATTCTCAGCAAGAGCTCTTTGAACTCTGACATTCTCTAGTTTTACGGACTCGGGTGAGTGTTTTAACTCCTCCCAGCTGCCAAGGGCTTGACTTCCTACCACTGCGGGCAGTAATTAATGAGGCATTTATTTGCTCAAGTAGTGGCGAAATAATGCGCACTGCTTTTTTGTGTTGTCGTCGGCGGAATACGCTCAGTTGCCTAGCACCACAGCCCTCTGGCTGGTAGTCCCTCTTCGCGGCTCATATGCTCGGGTCTCCTTGCGGCCCCCAGCTCAGCGACCGAGACGCAGACGAGGACCAGTGTTCACGCGAGTTCAGGGGGCGGCGTAGCCGCCGCCCGCCCAGGAGGACCATGTTGCGCGGCAAGTCCCGGCTCAACGTGGAGTGGCTGGGCTACTCGCCAGGCCTGCTCCTCGAGCACAGGCCCCTCCTGGCAGGGCGCACGCCGCGGAGCCACCGCCGGTAAGTCATGTGAGCGCCCGCCCCCGCGCCGGCAACAGCCCTGCGTCGCTGCGGCGCGCCGCGCCGCGCCGCGCCTGCGTACTGTGGCCCGCCGCCCGGCGCGAACGGGCACTTCCGGCGCGAACGGGCACTTCCGGCGCGAACCGCTACTTCCGGTGCGAACCGCCTCGGCCGTTCCCTCGCGGAGCTTACTGAGCGCGGCCGCCGAGCCCAGCTCCGCCGCCGAGCGCCTGTGCCGGCACGGCTACACCATGGAGCGCCCGGATAAGGCGGCGCTGAACGCACTGCAGCCTCCTGAGTTCAGGTAGCCCTGAGCGGGGCCTGGACCGCGAGGCGGACTGGCCCCAGCCTGGAGCAGGGCTTGAGGGAAGGCCCTAGCTGAATGGGTGGGCGTGAGGTCTGGACCCCGGGGACCTGGCCTCAGGGAAGGGGGCGGGGAAAGCAGGTTGGAGCCTGAGACGTCTAAACTCCCGGCCCCGAACTTTCGCTCGGGAACAAGGGATCCGGGGTCATGGGGAATAGGTCAGTGGGCCTTCAGCTCATGCTCCTATCCTAGCACTTTCTCTCGCTGTGTCTATATTGCAGTCTCTTTCATTACCGCAGGGTCAGCCTTCTGAGGACAGGAATGCAGTCTCCTTCATCTCCGTGTTCCCTAGGGGGCCTGCATAGTCGGGGCTTAATAAATGTTTGCTGTATGAATGAAGGAGTAGAAGGGAATAGTCCCCTGGTGTGAGATTGCTTCACTTGGGGAATCAGTAAGATAGAGGCTGGTGACTGAGTTGAAGGAATGTATGAGAGAGCAGGTGGTTCTGGCCCACCCCAGTAGGCAAGGGAGTGGTGAGGGAGTTAGCTATCATTCGTTAAGACCTACTGTATGCCAGGCTCAGTGCACGTGCTTTACATACATTGTCAGAATTCTTAATTTCTCTAACTGCTTGATTTCCCAATTTTGAAGAGGATGCAGTTGAGGGTAAGTGACTTGAAACTGAGGGTGAGTGATTACAGAATTAGGCGACAAAGTTAGTATGTAATTGAAGCTAACGTTTGACCAAGCTCACTGACTCCAAAGCCCACGATCTTTGGAGCTCTGTGATGCCTTCTCTTTCCGACAGGGTCATTGTGAGTTTTTTTTTTTTTTTTTTAACTTTTATTTTAGGTTCATGAGTACATGCGCAGGTTTGTTATATAGGTAAACTGCATGTCACGGGGGCTTGGCGTACAGGTAATTTTGTCACCCAGGTAATAAGCATAGTACCCGATAGGCGTTTTTTCTGATTCTCTCCCTCCTCCCAGCCTCCACCCTCAAGTAGACCGCACTGTCTGTTGTTCCTCTCCTAGTGTCCATCTGTTCTTGTTGTTTAGTTCCCACTTATGAGAACGTGCAGTATTTGGTTTTCTTTTCCTGTCTTAATTTGCTTAGAATAATGGCTTCCAGCTCCAGTCATGTTGCTGCAAAGGACATGATCTCATTCTTTTTTATGGCTGCATAGTGTTCCATGGTGTATATGTACCGCATTTTCTTTATCCAGCCTCAATGTGGGTTTTTTTTTAATTATTCATTTATGAGAATACCAACATATTTTTATTAGATACACTTACAGCATAGTCCTTCTAGACTGATTCTGGTTTCCTAATGGAATTTGCAGTGAAATCTTGACTGTGGGAGAAAGAATTCCTGTTGTCTTACTTGCTACAAAAGGGAATGTGGTAGGCTCTGTCTGCTCAATGTTGGCTGCAGAAGTTTGTATGAAGTGGGAAAACTAGGTGGTGTTATAAATGGAGGCAGATTAAGGTTCATCCTGAACTTTTTCCTTTGTGTGAGGACAACTTTAATTCCAGCCTTTCTCATTCCTCACTTCTAACAAATCTCTGCTCAGTAACACCCAAAGATACATAGGATAAATCAATTGAATAGCATCAGTTGCTTTGTCTTGGATAAGCCACTGATTTTACCCAAGGTGGCTTGCATCAGCAAAACCAACAGCTCTTGTGGCTGGAATCCAGGGAGAAAATGTCCTATAAACAGTAGAGGAAGTTTGCTAGTTTTCAAAAGTTTGTATGTACACTTTGACTTAATGCTTAGTCCCATATTAGTGAGGTCACAACACAGAAAAGTAGTCACATTTTTGAAGTTTGAGGTAAAGAGAGAAGTGAGAAGGAATTAGCCATAAATTATTAAGGTATGCTGTGTATAGATTGTGTGGGGGCTAGAAATTAATATGTAGAAAGGTTATATTTGGGTGGTGGGATTATAGGTGATTTTGTTTACTTTAAAACATTTTTATGGTGTTATATCATCTTTTCAATAATAAACTTTTTAAAAGCCAGACCAGATAATAGATACTCAAGAGAGGTCATGTAAAGAACAAAACAATCAGTTAACACTTCCTTTCTGTTCCTTTAACAAGTTAGATAATCTGAAAGTTGCATTCCTAAAACATACTTTTTTACTCACCATAGAAACACCAAAGTCAAGTGCTTTTTTTAGGGTGCACAAAAGAATTGGCCAATTAGTGACTCTTTGTATTTTTTGTAGATTCTCCACTGCAGACACTCATACTCTTCATGAGGATTACACAATAAATTTCTCTAAAAATTTACTAGTAGGAAACAGTTTAAGGGAGCTTATGTATATTAAATGAGAGTTGTATAGCTCAGTAATAACCAAAATGAGGCCTGCTAAAAGATGATCCATTTAAGTACCAAAAGAAAATATTAGAACTTTTTTTTTTACAGCAGTAAGCATTTAATTTCTCACACATGTGCAGAGCATGTGATCAAGAAATAGGCATGAGGTTAGTTATATTTAATATATATTTTACTCAATGTTTTTGTGGGTTTTTTGTTCAGGTTCTTTTTAAATAAATTTCATTGTGTATATTTGAGGTTCATAACATGATGTTATGGCATACATATAGTAAAATGATTACTATGGTGAAGCAGATTAATATATCTGTCATCTCACATACTTTTGTGTGTGTGTGACCAGAGGCAGCTAAAATCTTATTTACAAAAGTCCCTAATACCATGCAACTTTATTGCCTATAGTCCTCTTGTACATTAGATATCTCACTTGTTAATCCATATATCTACTGCTTTGTGTCCTTTGATGTATATCTTCCTATTTCCTCCCCTCCAGCCTCCCACCCCCACCGCCATGGTAACTACTGTTTTATTCTCTGTCCCTGTGTAGTTGACCGTTGACCTTTTTTTTTTTTTTTTAAAGATTCCACATATAAGTGAGCTCATGTAGTATTCGTCTTTCTGCGTTTGGCTTATTTTACTTAACATGTCTTCCAGGTCCATCCATGTTGTGGCAAATGGCAGATGTCCTCTTTTAAGGCTGAATAAAATATTCCCTTGTATATATACACTACGGTTTCTTTATTTTGTCTGTCTACATACACGTAGGTTGTTTTCAAATCTTGGCTATTGTGAATAATGCTGCAATGAACATGGAAGTGCAGATATTTTTACGAGGTAGTGATTTCATCTCCTTTGCTTATATTCCAGAAGAGAGATTGCTGGGCTGTGTGGTAGTTCTATTTTTAATTTCTTTAGGAACTGTTTTCCATAATGGCTGTACCAGTCTACATTTCCAGTCACAATGTAGTAGGGTTTCTTTTTCTCCACACTTTTACAAACATTTGTTATCACTTGCCTTTTTGATAATAGCTGTCCTTAGAAGTGTGAGGTTATATCTCATAGTGGTTTTGATTTGCATTTCCCTGATGATTTAGTGATGTTGAGCACATTTTCATTTATCTCTTGGCCATTTTTATGTCTTTGGAGAAATGTCTGTCCAGCTGTTGTCCATATTTTAATCAGGTGGTTTTTCTGCTGAGTTGTAAGAGTTCTTTATAAATTTTGGGGTATTAACCCCTTACAAGATAGGTGGTTCGCAAATATGTTTTCCTAGTCTGTAAGCTGCCTTTTCATTTTGTTGATTGTTTCCTTTGCAGTACAGAAGCTTTTTAGTTTGATGCAAGCCGCTTTATTTTTTCTTTTGTAGCCTGAGCTTTTGGTGTGATATCCAAAAAATCATTACTGAGGCCAATGTTAAGGACCTTTCCCTCTGTGTTCTTTTATGTCTTAAAACTTTATATCTTTATGTTTTAGTTATTTTATCCATTTTGGGTTGATTTTTGTTTATGGTGTAAGAGTCCAGTTTTTTTCTTTGCATGTAGAAATCCTGTTTTCCCAGTACCACTTATTGAAGGGACTGTCCTTTCCCCATTGTGTTCCTCTTAACACCCCTGTCGAAGATTAGTTGGCCATATATGTTTGGATTTATTTCTGGGCTCTATTCTGTTTCATTGTTATATGTTTCTGTTTTTATGCCAATACCATATTGTTTTGATTACTATAACTGTAATATTTTAAATCAGAAAGTGTGATGCTTACAACTTTTTCAATGTTGCTTTGGCTATTTGGGGCTTTTTGTGGTTCTGTATGATGAATTTTAGGATTGTTTTTCTATTTTAATGAAGAATGCTACTGTAATTTTGATAGAGATTGTGTTATATCTGTATGTTGCTTTGGGTGCTGTAGACATTTCAACAGTATTAATTCTTCCAATCCATGAACACAGGATATCTTTACATTTATTTGTGTCATCTTCAATTTCTTTCATCAGTGTTTTATACTTTTCAGTGTACAAGTCACTCATCGCCTTGGTTAAATTTATTCCTAAGTTTCTTTTTTTTTGAAATAGAGTCTTGCTCTGTCACCCAGGCCAGAGTAAAGTGCCCCAATCACTGCTCACTGCAGCCTTGACCTCTGGGGCTCAAACAATCCTCCCACTTCAGCCTCTTGAGTAGCTGAGATTACAGGCACGTGCCACCATGCCCAGCGAATTATCAAAATTTTTTTTTGTAGAGGTGGGGTTTTGCTGTGTTACCTAGGCTTGCGTCAAACTCCCGGCCTCAAGCCTCAGCCTTCCCAAAGTGCTGGGATTACAGGCATGAGCCACTGAGCCTGGCCCCTAAGTATTTTTTTTTAATGCTATTATAAATGAGATTGTTTTCTTGATTTCTTTTTCAGCTCAGTAAAGGATGCGGAAGTTTGTCAAGTGCTTTTTCTGCATCAACTGAGATGATCCTACTTGGTCATAATATATAATCTTTTTGATGTATTGGTTTTGTTTGTTTGTGACAGAGTCTTGCTCTGTTGCCCAGACTGGAGTGTGATTTTGGCTCATTGCAACCTCTGCCTCCCAGGATCAAGGGATTCTTGTGCCTTGGCCTCCCAAGTAGCTGGGACTATAGGCACACGCCACCACTCTCAGCTAATTTTTGTATTTTTAGTAGAGACTGGGTTTTGCCATGTTGGCCAGGCTGATCTCGAACTCCTGGCCTCAAGTGATCCGCCTGCCTCGGCCTCCCAAAGTGCTGGGATTACAGGTGTGAGCCACCACACCTGGCCTGATTATTGTTGAATTTGGTTTGAAAATATGTTATTGAGGAATTTTGCACCAGTGTTCATCAGTGATGTTGTCCTGTAGTTTTCTTGCTGTGTCTGTCTGGCTTAGGTATCAAGGTGATTGGAGCCTCTTAAAACGTGTTTGGAAGTATTCCCTCTAGCTCGATTTTTCACCCATAACAGAAGTTCCTATTCCAGCTGGGGAGGGCGCACTGGTCCGTTCGCCCTGCCTACCTCCTTCAGTGGTCTGGTGTCTGGTGCTGGTGGTCAGGGTTGCTGCACGGGCTCAGGGACTGGTGTGGCAGTGGCTTCCCTGGGCCAAAGCTCTGATCCCAGTGGGGGAGGGCACGCTGGTGCGTCGGCTCCACCTGGTTAGTTTGCTGGTCCACTGTCTGGTGCTGGAGGACAGGAGGCTGGCAGCTTTCCCAGATGCAAGCTCCGATTCCAGCGGGAGAGGGCACACTGCTCCACCTGTGGTGCCTGCCGAGTTCCCTGGTCTGGTGTCCGGTGCTGGTGGTCAGGGTTGCTGCGTGGGCTCAGGGACCAGTGTGACAGTGGCTTCCCTGGGCAAAAGCTCTGATTCCAGTGTGGGAGGGTGCACAGGTGTGTCTGCCTCGTTAGTTCCCTGGTCCACTGTCTCATGCTGGAGGACAGCAAGCTGGTCGCTTCCCGTGACGGAAGCTCTGATTCCAGCAAAAGAGGGCGCGCTGATCCACCCATGGTGCCTGCTGCGTTCCCAGCTCTGGTGTCTGGTGCTGGTGGACACGGTTGCCGCATGGGTTGGGCACTGGTGCCGCTGTCCGCCGTGGCTTCCCTGGGTAAAAGCTCCAGTTCCAGAGGCAGGGGCACTGAGTTTCTTCACTTAGTTTGTTCACCCAGCTTGTTGGCAGTTGATCTGAGGTGCCCTGACGCTTCGTCTTACACTGGATATGAATGACAGTCCCTAAAGGTGGTGTATAATCTTCATGTTCCAGCTCAAGAAATTCCCACTACCCACAGCTGGTTCTCTAGGATCTTCGGATTACGAGTCCCTGCCTGTGATCTTCCTCCTGCATAGCATCTCATTTGTGGATGTTTATAGTTTCAGGGACATAAGAGCGTTTGGATATGACTGTGCAGGTTCTGATTTTCTCTTTGTTTACTTTATTCCAGAAATGAAAGCTCATTAGCATCTACACTGAAGACGCTCCTGTTCTTCACAGCTTTAATGATCACTGTTCCTATTGGGTTATATTTCACAACTAAATCTTACATATTTGAAGGTAATCTTAGACCCATTAAAACAAGATGTTTTCCCCCAATTTAAGATTCTGTGCTTTTATGACCTCTTTATATCTTTAAACTGGGTATTCTTATTTTTTTCTTGTTTAGCTTTTCAAAAAATCATATTGCTCATAATGAGTCTTTATGAAATAACTTATTGTTTCAGCTTGACAGTTTTCCTATGGTTTTCTGTGAAATAGCTTGCAAATCCTTTCTCTTAGTACCTTTTAAAGAATAGGGGTTGGCTGACATGGGAGGAGGAATTTTGGGGGAATGGACTTTAGTGTCAGATAACGGAAGGAAGAGAGAATGAAGTCCCCTTTTTGATGTTGAAATTTTTTTTTTTTTTTTGAGACAGTTTCACTCTTGTTGCACAGGCTGGAGTGCAATGGCGCGATCTCGGCTCACCGCAACCCCCGCCTCCCATGTTCAAGCGATTCTCCTGTCTCAGCCTCCTGAGTATCTGGGATTACAGGCACCCGCCACTACACCCGACTGATTTTTGGTATTTTTAGTAGAGACGGGGTTTCGCCATGTTGGCCAGGCTGGTCTCGAACTCGTGACCTCAGGTGATCCACCCGCCTCGGCCTCCCAGAGTGCTGGGATTACAAGCGTGAGCCACCGCACCCGGCCTGAAGTCTTTATAATTATGGTTTTGTTTAAAACAATGTTTGTTTGTTTGTTTGTTTGTTTTTGAGACGGAGTCTCGCTCAGTCACCCAGGCTGGAGTGCAGTGGTGCGATCTCGGCTCGCGTCAAGCTCTGCCTCCCAGGTTCACGCCATTCTGCTGCCTCAGCCTCCCGAGTAGCTGGGACTACAGGCGCCTGCCACTACGCCTGGCTAATTTTTTTTGTATTTTTAGTAGAGACGGGGTTTCACGGTGCTAGCCAGGATGGTTTCCATCTCCTGACCTCGTGATCTGCCCGTCTTGGCCTCCCAAAGTGCTGGGATTACAGGCGTGAGCCACTGCACCCGGCCAACATAATGTTCTTAATATATAGAAGGTACTCATATCTTTTAGTGAATACTTTATTCATTACCACCCAAAATATTACTTTTTAATTGCCTGACTAGTTAAATAAATACATCATAAAAATTAGGATGCTTTGTTTTTTTTTTTTGTACTTTGGTAAATTTTGCAATAAAATGGAAACTGTTTTTTTTCTCTTGATAGGCGCCCTTGGGATGTCCAATAGGGACAGCTATTTTTACGCTGCTATTGTTGCAGTGGTCGCCGTCCATGTGGTGCTGGCCCTCTTTGTGTATGTGGCCTGGAATGAAGGCTCACGACAGTGGCGTGAAGGCAAACAGGATTAAAGTGAACATCACCTTTTTATAGCATTAAATTCATTTTTTAAAATGATAAATGCTGGAGGGGGCCATCTGATTTGAATAAAGTTGAAAGAACATGTTAAAGTCAGTCTTAAGGAGTCACGTTTGAGTATGTAAATTTTGATCTTTCTAATATGTTGGTTTGTATATTCAGTTTTAACTGTATGAATCTGATTTGCAAATGAGAATTTGGAAAAGTTAGTTACAAAGAAATATGTTAATTTAATTAGACAATACTCTGGAAGGAATTTTATCTTCTTTCAACAAAACATGTTTTATAGTATTCTGACTTACGGTTGCTTTTGAGTTTTACTCATTTGGATATATTAAGATGCACACAGTGAAGCAAATTAAACTCCACTTTACGCTGGAATGCTTTCTTTAGCATGAAAATACCAGGTCCTTGGATTTGGGATTTTAATTTCCTATGGAAAGTTGCTTAAATTGTGGACACTGGAATTAATCTGAATGTCACTGAGGAATTTCACATGAAGTGTAATCCCTAGTCAATAAGAATTATCCATTACATTATTTTATGGGAAAACTAGGCTAAATTACATCCATTCAGGTAAAAGGACCTTAGCTTACTGAAGGATCTAAAGAGCAAAGCAAAGATCTCACTACTCAAACACTCAGCCTGCTTCCTTCAAGTCCCCTTGCAGGCCAGCTTTGTGCTTTGCAGACCAACTTTTTAATGAGATACTTTGCTTCCTCATTCAACATTGAAGCTAGGCTTCAATTAAAAGGTTCGAGGAAGCTCCATTTAAAATTGTTTTTTTTACTATTTTTTAAAATTGTAGTGTATATGATAGGAATTTGCATTTAAATATGTTCATTTTTGCATATGTTAGGAGTGGAAACAATCTGGAAAACATTTTTTTTTCATCCAAAAAGTATTCTCCTTGGGCATATCTGATGGAAAAAAACCTTGATTTTATTTTCGTATCTTTAGTCTGTGTTCTTTCTAGTTATTTGGTACTAATTATGTGCAATCTAAAAACACTCCCACAAGTATTTGTTTTTTAATTATAAAATCATAGTATATGTTCTTTGTAGAAAACTGGAAAAATACATATTCAAACAGGAAAAAAAATCAAAATTCCCCATAATGTTGCCATCTAAAAATAACCTCTATTTTAGTTGATATCCCGTATTCATTTTTGAAAGCCATTCCTTAATGCTAGTTTGATACACACTAAAAGTTTAGCTTACAAGTTCAAATTCTGCCAGCTTTTCCTGACAGCTATTTGCATTTTTTTCAGATGAGTGATTATTGGCCATTTTCTTTTTCTTTTTCTTTATTTTATTTATTTATTTTTTTGAGACAGAGTTTTGCTCTGTTGCCCAGGCTGGAGTGCAGTGGTGCAATCTCGGCTCACTGCAACCTCTGCCTCCTGGGTTCAAGTGATTCTCCACCTCAGCCTCCCAAGTAGCTGGGACTACGGATGCCTGCCACCACGCCTGGCTAATTTTTTTTTGTATTTTTTTGTAGAGACGGGGTTTCACCATGTTGTCCAGGCTAATCTTGAACTTGTGACCTCAGGTGATCCACCCGCCTCGGCCTCCGAAAGTGCTGGGATTACAGGCGTGAGCTACCACGCCCGGCCTTATTGACCATTTTCTAAATAAGCACATTCTATCTTTATTCTCTTAAAATTCAAATTTTCTGTTACTGATAATCCTAATACTAGGATTCTTGCTTAAGTATGTGAAACCATTACCGATTTGTTGTTCACATTTATTTTTTATGTTGTGAAACTGGACTAAAGGAATAGAGGGATGATTAGTCATAAAAGTCAAATAGCATTTGTGTTTAACTGTTGAGAAAAGTGAAAGATCAGTATGATTATTATGGAACTGTTTTTAATTCTTGCTTAAAGACTACAATTTTAGTATAATGACATTTGAGTCTAGGGTAGTATGTGGTAGATTTCTAGATGGTCCCTAATTAAGAAGTATTGTTGTATTTAGAATTGTCCACCTAATTTCTTTTTATATAATGCCAAGGTATTTCTTGTGCTTTTGGGATCTTATGCTGTTTGTAAAATGTTACTGTCCAATGTTGGATTATTGTTTTGGTTTCAGGCATTTGCTGAATAGGTGATGATACATGGGTATTTTTCTGCAAGTATTTAAACCAGGGGCATATGCAAAGGCAGTTGTAATTTCCTCTTGGAAAAAGCGCCAAATGTTTGAAGGTTAAAATCAAATGCTAGGGTTGATATTTAGGCTTATAACAAAATAGGCTTGTTTTCAAAGCAGTTTTTTCCTAGAGTTTTAACTGTTAACTCACTAGTTTGCTGCTGTTTTTAACTATGTTAAATAACATATGGTATTTGGCAAATAGATTTATTTTTCAAAATGTCTCACTAGTTTCCTTTTACACAATGTATATACTTCAAGATGTATAGAAAGGAAAGCTACAGTTGAGCCCTTATACATGTTTTAAGGTAGAAATATGTTCCCTATTGTTTGAAAACTGATTGTAAGAATAACCTCAGTTAGGAGATATAACTTGAAGTGTCAGTCCAAACTACTGATTTAACCCTATTTACGGTAACACATTACCTTCCTCACCTCCTGTTTGGCCCTGGAGAATGTAGTCCTTTTTCTCATTTGTGTTGAGAAATGAAAAGTCTGCTGTAGAATGTATCTGATGTCATTAGTTCTTCAAATGGATACCATTGTACATATAACAGTAGAATTTGGTTTGGGGTTGTTAGTGAAAAAAAATTTAAACCTGCCATTAAAAATCCCCATGTTTCATGGAAATCTAACAGAAATACATTGTAATAATTAGAACATTTTGTTTTCTTTTTTCTTTTTTTTTTTTTCGAGACGGAGTTTTGCCCTTCTTGCCCAGGCTGGAGTGCAAGGGCGCAATCTCGGCTCGCTGCAACCTCCGCCTCCCGGGTTCAAGCAGTTCTCCTGCCTCAGCCCCCTGAGTACCTCAGATGACAGGTGCGTGCCACCACACCCGGCTAATTTTTGTATTTTTAGTAGAGACGGGGTTTCACCATGTTAGCCAGGCTAGTCTCGAACTCCTGACCTCAGGTGATCCACCCGCCTCCGCCTCCCAAAGTGCTGGGATTACAGGTATCAGCCACCGTGCCTGGCCTAATAATTGGAACATTTTCATCATGAAAATGTCATCAGCTTTGCCAAAAGAAACAACCAATTGACTTGTTTGGCGTTTGTTTTCCATTTTCATGTCAATTTTATGTATACAGTTAGAATACCCAAGGAGACCACTAAAATCAGTTAAACAAGTAGGGTATATACAAAGAAAGATGAAACCCGAAAGTACATAAAAAGGATTTAAATCCGATTTTAGATGTACCTAGTGTGTATTTCTTATCTCTAGACAAGTTCATGTTTATTGTTTAATTTATGCCCAAGTGAAGTTGTAAACTTATGGTTCAACTCTGACACAGAATTTGTCACTTGTCTGAGGTCAGTGGCAGGTTTCTCTGCTGTCAAGCACTCTGTGTCACCCACCAGATTAGTATAACTATTAATTCAGACTGTACTCCTATGTTTAAGATAATTTTTACAAGAGCTGGCTGAAGCAGCACATTAGTAACCTGACAAGATTTCTTTTTCCCTTTTCAGGGGGAAAGGGTCACCTTAAAAATAAATTATTTTCAGGGACTTTGGGAATCTAATGATAAATATTACACATAATCTATGAATAGCTTAATCCTTTATATATTCCTTAAAATAGGAATTCCTCGACATCACTCCTGGCCACACTTTCCTTGCCTGTGTTGTTGCTATGTGTATTTGAAAGTAATATCTGCATTCCTTTTAAGATGTTCTGTAAGTCATATTTGTCAGTTATACAGAGTAGTCTTCCTTTTCCCCACGTTCAGTGTAATCTCACTGAACAGTAATAATAGCAATAGCTAACAACATCTGCACAGCACCTTACAGTTTGCAAAGAACGTTCACACATTCTCATTTGAGTTTTGCATAGTGAACCTGTTACGAGATGTCTCTTGACGTCGATGCTAAAAGTGTTAGAATCTTTACATCACTAGAGTCATTGAATATGCTGTAGTATTGAATAGTGCCCTGACTAGGGGGAGGATTTGGATGTGCTGCATTTCAAGCCGTGTATAATCATCAAAATGGGGGGCTTGAGTTCTTTAGCTACTTGAATCCGATTTACTTCTGTTAAGTGATGCTTTTCTAACCGTTTTCTGGATGGATTTTGTATTCACTATATTGTAGCTTGTAATTTGTATAAATGTACCATCTGATGTCATTAAAAAAAGTGTTTGTAGTGCTACTTTGCTGTGTCCTGATTCAATTAATGTTTTATTAACCGCTGTGTTTTTAAAAATTTGTTTGCCTGCTTCTCATTTTATAACATGTAGAATATGTACAGAGCTCACTTTAAAAAATTTGTTCGTTGGCCTCTGTTTGTGCTATGTAGATTATATAGAGAGCTGTCAAGGATAAGTTTTTATGCAGTAAATGTCAACCAGAAATGCTCAAACTGATTGGGAGTGTGGGGGAGGGGTGTTGAGCTGTAAAGGGCTGGTTATACTTCGTCTGGGGTGGGCTTCAAATGCCCCTAAAGGAGAGTTGAGAAATGTGGAAATAGATAATTCCTGACGACGTCCACATGCCACCCCCTCATGACCAATGTCCTGTGTCCTCTGTCCTCTAATCACCCGTTGATTGCACTCCAGCTCCTTCCTGTGCTTCTGAGGACTCCAGCTAATTCTTACTAATAAATGTTAATATCCCCTTCCCAAACACATTTGAGACGTCTTAGTATTAACAAATTTTATAGGTTATGAGATGTCCAGGGAACTCAGGAAACAGGTAATGGCATTGCAGAAACTACAGGACAGCAGTTCTGAAAGTTTACTGCAATCACCTTGTAGGATTTATTAAAAATAACTGATTGCCCAAATGTAACCCAGACCTTCTGAATCGGACTCTCTGGGGGTGGGGGCCTAGAAAGCTCTTTGGGGCAGGGCGTGGTGGCTCATGCCTGTAATCCCAGCACTTTGGGAGGCCGAGGCGGCGGACCACGAGGTCAAGAGATAGAGACCATCCTGGCCAATGTGGTGAAATCCTATCTCTACTAAAAATACAAAAATTAGCTGGGCACAGTGGTGCGTGCCTGTAGTTCCAGCTACTCAGGAGGCTGTGGCAGGAGAATCACTTGAACCTGGGAGGTGGAGGTTGCAGTGAGCCGAGAGCCTGGTGACAGAGCAATACTCTGTCTCAAAAAAAAAAAAAAAAAATTTTGGAACAGGCAGTGATCAACATGAAGCTGGATTGAGAACTACTGCTGGAGATTTAGAATTGTGCCTCCCAGTGTATGTGTTTAATGATGGACTTGAAGATGTTTGTATAAAGCCTGAAGTAAGCACACACCTTATTAGGCAAAGGTAGAATGTTGATAATGCTATATCGAAGGTGCAATTTAAAATAAGGAGACCTTTACTGGGTTCCTGACAATCCATATTGACTTTGCTTCAGTGCTAATGAATGATGTTGAATGAAAATTTTAGTACGGGGAACAGCCAACTTAAGACACAACTGAGGCGTGCGTAGATAGACATGGCCACTGCTGTGCCTGTGATGCCTTTTTCTTATTTGGAATCCTCACTGCTGTGGACTTTGGAGAGAAGGAAAACCAATAGGAGTATGTGAATTTGAGGTTTCTAAACCAGAGAGGTAATGGAGAAAAGCAGAAATGGTTTCTAGGCACATTTGTGCTATTAACCCTCTGGCTTCCCTGCCCCCCATTACCTTTCACTGCTTACGTGCCTGCACTTCCTTTCACATACGCCCTGCTCTTGCGTCCATTAAAGATGCATTGAGGTTAGCCCTTTTGGTAAATACAGGATGAAGGTGGAGAACATTAGTTCGCAACCTGGCAACCCAGGGATGCTTTCCTCCAAAAGAGGATCCAGCAGCCCTGAGGGAAGGGATACTACAAATGGCACACCCTGCATCTGTGTGCATCTCACCACCTTCAATGCTCCCACTTCGGGCCAGCCCAGATTTACTCCTCGCCTGGAGCCTCAAATTGGTTTCTTCTGCCCTTCTTGCACCTGTGGTCACTTTGCCACAAAGCAACTAGAAGTTTCCTTTAAAGATAATAGATCAGGCATACCATGCCTCTGCTCAAAATCCTCCCAATAGCTCCCCATCTCACTCAGGAAGATTTAGACTCCATATGTGGCCTACAAGCCAGGCCACTTCCTTTCACTTCATTCCCACCCCACTTGCTCACCATTTGCCAGCCTCCTGGACTTCTTGGTGTTCCCCGAACCTCCCATACTCAGTCCCATTAGCTGTTCCCTCTGCCTGGTACCCTCTTCCCAGATCTTCTCACAGCTGGCTCTTCCTCACCCTTCAGGTCACAATGCTCATGCCACCTCAGAGAGGTTTCCCCTGACAACCTAAAGCGGTGAGACTCCCATTGCTATCACAACACTTAATACTGGATGAAATTACTTTATTAGCCACCTCCTTCCACTAAAATGTAAGTGCAGGAAGGTAGGCACTTTGTTTTATTCACCACTGAATCCCTAGGACCTCAGAGTTGCATGAGAGTTTGGCCAGCCCCTACTAAATGGGAAGATAACAACACAGGCCCCCTGTGCCAAATTGTCTGCTCTGCCTCAGGAAGAAGACCAAAATGGCTGGAGGGGCATCAGATTTTTTCCTCCCATCTGTATCTGTAGCACTCTGTTCCCAGGACTCTGCATTTTGCTCTGAAGCCCTAAAACACACCCCCCTTTCTCAACCAGCCCCAACCCCATCCCTCACCACTACATCTGTGGTTTTTTGCACGCAAGCAAAGCAGCAGGGAAGCTGGGTATGCTGTTCATGGATGTGGGGGCGGGGCTTTCCCATTTAGTATGGTTTCATAGAATGCTCTTGATGTGTCCTGCTGACACAGGTCTGGGAAGACCCACCAGTTCTCTTTCTCTTGCTCTGTTGCTGCAATTCTGCAATTATCAGCAATGTTATCATGTTTAGCTCTGGCCTGTGAACATGCACATAAACAGAATGAATTAGAGTAGAAACAGAATCTGATTTTCCCAGCTATGTGTAAATTATAAAAATATACATTTTAAAGAAAAATGTACGTTGGATAGCCAGATTTTGTTGCTTTAAAAATATTCACAATAGAAAATGAAACTGGGGGCTGTGAAAAATGAAGTCTATTCACATGTCTACCATTTATTTCATAAGAATTGTATGTAGGACAGGCCAAGGGCACCATGCATTTTTTCCTCTACCATTTCTGCTGCTGCTAGCTAGAGACACAGTCCTCTTCCACCCTTTACTCACCCTCCTTCCAAACTCACCTCAGACCAATTAGAATTAAGATAAAAATTTGAGTGGGAAATGAATAGAAAGCCCAGGAAAATGGAATAAGCAAGAAAAGTTAGACAATTTCTTCCAAATGACTTGGACAGTCTGGTGGGGACTGTCACCTGTGGTAGGCTGAATTTTAAGATGCTCCAAGATTCCCACTCCCTGTCTGTTCCCTTCCCTTATAGCTTCCTTGGTTAGATGACTTTATGAGTTTCCTGTGACTGCTGTAAAAGAGTACCATGGACTAGGGGGCTTCAACAACAGAAATGCATTGTCTCCCAGTTCTGGAGGCTGGAAGTCCAAGATCAAGGTGTAGGCAGGGCTGGTTCCTTCTGAGGTATCTCTCCTTGGCTTGTAGATGACCGTCTTCTCCCTGTGTCTTCTCTTGATCTTCCCTCTGTGTGGCATTTGTGTCCTAATCACTTCTTACAAGGACCCCAGTCACACTGGATTAGGGCCCATCCTAATGACCTTGTTTTACCTTAGTTACCTCTTTAAAGAGCCTATCTCCATATATAGTCACATTCTCAGGTACTAGTGGTTAGGACTTCAACATATGAATTTTTTAGAGGGGACACAATTTGTTATATAACAGTTGTTACATGGTGTGCTAGGCAGAATAATGACCCATCAGATATGCTCATCTGAATGCTTAGAACCTGTAAATATGTTACTTGATCTGGCAGGGGAGAATTAAGGTTGTAGATGGAATTAAGTCTGCCTCTCAGCTGACTTTAAGACAGGGAGAATATTATCAATTTTTTTGGGTGGGCCCAGTGTTATTTGTCACAGGCTCTTGTGGTTGGCTAAAAATATGGTACCCCAAAGATATATTCACTTATTATTTCCTAGAACCTGTGGATATTACCTTATGTAGGAAAAGAGTGAGTATTACCTTATACGGGAAAAGTGATGAAGGATGTTGAGAGGAACTGTTTATCCTGGATTATCTGGATGGGATAATTCTTGATAATTTTTGAAATCCTAAGTGCTATCACATGCATACATATAAGAGAGAGCAGAGGGAATTTGAGACATACCCATGCAGAGGAGACAGCCATGTGAAGATGGAGGCAGAGATGGGAGTGAGTCTGCCACAAGCCAAGGAAGCCTGGGGCCACCAAAAGCTGGAAGGAAGAGGCCCCAGAGCCTCTCGGAGGAGTGTGGCTCTCTTGATGCCTTGATTTAGGATTTCTGACCTCTAGAACTATGAGAGAATACATTTCTACTGTTTTAACCCATTATGCTGGAGGTTGCAGATTTTTTTGTGTGAAAAATCAGACCTTGGTGATGACCTCGAGCAGTAGGATAGAAATAATTCCCACAAGCTTAGCGTTCCAATAGTGAAACACTAGGCATAAATGGATTAAACCACCAAATGTGTGATAATCTGTTATGGCTGCCACAAGGAACTAATACAGGTCCTTAAAAGTGGAAGAGGGAAGTTCAGGAGGAAGTCAGAGTGATGTGATATCAGAAGCACTCAACCTGCTGTTCCTGGCTTGGCTGATGGAGGAGGAGAGCTGCAAACCAGGGGCTGTGGGCAGCCTCTAAAAGCTGGAATCCCATGATCACAGTTCTCTGGCTAGGTCACCAGCTTCTCAAAACACCAATGACACAATGGTGCGCTGAAGAGTTTGAGAGGGAACCTTATGAAACGGTTCTCAACCCCTACTCCCATTTCTGCCTGGGTGAATTCTAGAGGTCCATGCATTTCCATGCAGTTAGGCACCATGTCAATACATCTTTCTCCCACTCTGCCCAATGCCTGGCACAGAATAGGTGTCTAAGGCATGTGGTGAATGAATGGATGTCATTCCGTATTATGTCCCTTTTTAGAAATCTTTCTATTTAGTTTCATATTAATATGTGTTCTGTTCTCTTAAGCCTCTGAGGCAGCTGGGCCTGACACGTAGGGGACTACTAGCGGTGAATGACCTCCAGAACTAGACCCCATCTCTGTCCTCAACGCAATGTTTTCTACATAATGCACATTCTTCATAACTAATGTCATTTGATCACACAGTTATTTATATCTCAGAAGTCGATATAGTTTTCATTTTAGAAGATATATGTTCTTTCTGTTAATGCAGTGGTTTTTAAAAGTTTAATCTGTAGCTGTTCCACAATATCAAGTGATCATTTTAATGTTGATTGTTATCTGTTTCATTTAGCTTCGATTATTGTTACTAATAATGACTCTTTATAATAACCTTCATTTAATGTTATGATTATCTATAATCCAAGCATAGACCATTGGGGTGGCTGTTTTAGGAGGACCCTTCTAGCTAGACATAACAGATGTTTTGCTTGTCACATTGAACTCAAGGAACAAGCTTGCTGAACTCTGACCACATAATAAAATACATATAATCATTTGAACAAAGTAAACATTGGTATGTTGAATATTTAATTTTTTTCATTTTCATTATAAATATGCAATGTGTGTTATAGCAGCCAGAATGTAGGTTTTTGTTTTTTTTAAAAAAATGAATAAATAAAAATAAATATGCATTTTTTTAAGTGCATTTCATGAGATCTTCTCTTTAACTTCTTTGGGATAAAGTGATTATCTTTCATATTCTAAAGAATGTTTAGTGGATTTTCTTAGCAGCTATCAGGCTTTCCCTTGTAAGCTAGCCCAGTGGGCTGTGTTGTACTTCCTAATCCAAAATCTTTGAGTTGTAAAACATCCTAAAAGAAAACGACAGCATTTAAAAAAAACATGTACTTTATATTTTAGAGGAGTTTTAAGTTTATAGCAAAATTAAGCAGAAAGTACAGAGTTTCCATATGTCCTCCTCACCTGCTCCCACACCCCCAGCCATCCCCACCATCAACATGAACCTAACACTGACACATCTTTATCACCTAAATTCCATAGTATACATTAGGGTTCATTCTTGGTGTTGTACATTTTTGACAAATGTATAATCACATGTATCCACCATTATAGTATATCACACAGAATAGTTACACTGCCTTAAAATTCTCCTGTGCTTTACCCATTCATTCCTTCCTCCACCCAAGTCCCTAGCAACCACTGATCTTTTTACTGTTTACATAGTTTTGCCTTTTTCCAGAATGTCATATTGTTGGAATCTTACAATATGTAGCCTTTCCAGACTGGCTTCTTTCACTTAGCAGTATGCGTTTATGCTTCTTCCATGTCTTTTTGTGGCTTAATAGCACATTTATTTTTATTGCTGAATAATACTCCACTGTCTGGATGTACCACAATTTATCCATTCACCTGCTGAAGTACATCTTGATGGCATCCAAGTTTTGGCAATTATGAATAAAGCTAGGATAAGCATTCGTGTACCGGTTCTTGTGTGGACATAAGTTCTTAACTCATTTCGATAAATATCAAGGAGCAAGATTGCTGGATCGTATGGTAGGAGTATGTTGAGTTTTATAAGAAACCACCAAACTGTCTTTCAGACTGGCTGTACCATTTTGCATTCCTACCAGCAATGAATGGGAACTCCTCTTGCCCCCATACCCTCACCAGTATTTGGTGCTGTCAGAGTTCTGGATTTTGGCCATTCTAATAGGTGTGTAGTGGTATCTCGTTGTTTTAATTTAAAATTCCCTGATAATATATGATGTGGAGTATCTTTTCCTGTGCTTGTTTCCATCTGTATATGTTCTCTAGAGGGGTGTTACAGCGCATTTTAATAACAAATATTTTAATCAAGACTTTTAAAAAACTGACAATCTTTTCAAATCTTTTAAAAAAGTCATCTTCTTTGTTTTGGTTGCTGTTTCCCGTTACCAGTAATAAGAAACATTTTGTAAAATCTAAAGTCTGAAATGAAATATATGAATCAAAAATGCCTGATGTTTGGGAAGCACATTGATTAAGGAGATGGAGGACCTGGCTTCTCGTCTCATCTTGCCTCTAAGTGTGTGATCTTTTAGGCAAGTCACTTTCCTTTCTGAATCTTGGTGTCTTCTGTAAAGTAAAGGGAAGGACTAAGATGATTTCTAAAGTTCTTGCGGCTGAGTTTCTTTTGTTTTTGTATTTTATGTCAGTCGCTAGAGTTACCACTGTCAACATATAGACATCTGAGCCCTTTGACTGCCTCATGATACATTTAATATCGTTATCGTGAAAATTTTCCATGTTTCTTGTCCATGCTGAAATGAAGAGCTTTGAATGAGGCTGAAACCTAGCAACCAGCTCTCCTGAAATATCTCATTGAATTTTTTTTTTTGTAGAGAGTATTAGGAGAGAGTATAGACGGCAAAAATGGCAACGATGCTTCAGTGTTAATTTCATTTGATGACTCACCTATTCCGTCATCCAAAGATGGCATTGATCTAAATTGTGACCTTTTCTTCTATCTCATATCATTAAAATAATGCCAGTAAAAGGGCAGTGACTCACCACTGGAGCAGATTTTTCTTGAGAAAATTAGCAATGCATTGTCATGGAAAGCTTGGGCAAAGGGTCTTGTATTAACCTCACCTGGTGAGCAAGCAGCATCCTTTGCCCAGCTCATTAAGTGCCTCTTCTATAATATTTCCTGTGGATTCAATCTAGCCTGGCTATGTTATTTTGTTGATTCTCTCCCATTTTGGCAGTATTTCAGGCTTTGAATGCACAAAGTAATTTTCCACCAAATCAGTTGTTAATTGTCATTGCCTCCATAATTGGAAGGGGCTTAGGGAACTTGTTTTGCACTCTGGAACTGTCTTCATATGTAGTTTTTGGAAATAGATTTCTTTATGGACATATATATTAATTGTAGTCTCTACTTGTAGAAGTAGATACTTGGAGTGACAGAAGTGTTGAAGTTATTTTTTTCCACTTACCAAATGAGTACATCACAGGGAAAAAAAATCTAGGAGTTTGGGTCTGAAAAATATGGCCAGGTAATTATACGCAGTTTGCTTATTATTTTAACATACCCTAGTCTTATTAAATTATATGTCATGGCAATATTTAATAATAGCTGTCTCTTGTGTTTAATCTATGCTTCTCTAGCCTACCAAATTCTAGAAGACACTGGATGTAAGTGCTTATATTCCCTTTGGAAAATAGTAACATAACATTACATGTACTTGAAAACTTGATAAATACCTCACACAATTGGAAGAAACCATCTCAAAATCATCTAGTCTCACTCTTCATTGTATCGATGAGACCCAGAAGGCAGAAGTAGCTTGCTGAGGGTCACACATCAAGTCATGAAAAAGCCAGGATGACAACTTAGTTCTCCAACTCCCAGACCAGCTCTCTTGGTATCTCTTGGTATCTCCCTTGGCATCAGAGTTCTTGGGGATAATGTTGAGTGTTCAGGAGAATGTTAAATGATATTCTGTCTCATCTGCTTACGAAATGTACAACATATTTAAAAGCATTGCTATCACAAATGGTCTGACTGTATAAGCCCGTAGATTTAAAGGGAGTAAATTAAGATATTTTAAAACTTTACTTATATGTCCCTTCTTGGTCCTCAGTAAATGAGATGCTTTTAGATTTGTGCTTATAAGTCAGCAAGGTTGATTTCTACAAGATACACAAACAAATTTAATGTTACAACTTCATGGAACACCACACATGGACTTCTGCTGTGGCATAAAGTACTAAGAAAGGCTTTTCCCCAGAGTTGGTAGAAACAAAATCACTAATGTGTGATTAGAATGGATCCTTGGATCCTGCTGAATAAGGAGCCAATTAACACTTTTGGGAGGTAACATTAACTCTTGGATCCCTAGGCTAGGCTACTAGTTATTGTCTGTTCATCCTTTTCATAAATTCATTTCCTAGTAGATAGGGATTTTGTTTTCTCAAGAAGTTTACATACTTTCACAAGAAGCATGCCTGAACTAAAGATAAATAAGTTGACTATGTTTCAGAATAGTTCTAAATGAATTTTAAGAAAACTTAGGGCAATTCAATAATTGGTTGAATCATCCAACTAAAGTAAAACTTTGGAGGTTATAAATAGCAGTACTTACTGGTTTCAGTATCCATGGGGAGGAGTTGATTAGATTGAATTCCATCAGTCTCACCCCAGTCTGCGTAATTCTTGAATTCATTTTTCTGGGGCTGATGCTGTAGAGGTCAGACTTTTTATTCATTCATCCAGATACTAATTTGTGAAATATTTAGTGAGTATATTCCATGTGCCATGTGCTGGGGGTACAGAGAGGCATGAAAGACATGGTGCCTGAACATGAATAGCTCCCAGACTGGAGAGGGAAAATGGCAAGTAAATGGGGATACTGCCTTTTTTGAGGGGTTCCAATTGATGTCTGCAGGTGGTAGGCAGATGGGAGTCAATTCTATGGGGGGCACACAGGAATCAATTTCCCTAGGATCAGAGGAAGTTCACTAAAAGCTTTATAGGTGATATGACACTTAGTTGCTTGGAGAAAGTAATGGAGTTGGCAGTGGGAGGTAGGGGTGGGGTAGGATCTGGGAAAGGGCATTTCAGGTCCAGGGCAGAGGAGGAGGTGTGATACCGGGGTAGGAAAGGGTGAGAAGGACTGGGGTTGGGGAGGCAACAGGACCAGGATACAGAGAACCCTGTGGACGCTGTGCTTGGCCAAAAGGGAAGGGACTTCAAAATGGCCAGAGCAGAGCTGCAAGGAGAGAGAGGACAGGGCAGAAGTGCAGGGCTACGGGGCAGGAAAGTAGACAACAGGGAGCCAGTGAAAGGTTTTCAGCAGGAGAGGGACAAGATCAAACCTGTACTATCAGAAAGCTTCCTTACCAACAGCGAGAAGTGACACTACAAACTGTGCTGCAGTGAACATTCTGCTTGGGCATGAGGGAAACCATAGAAGAACAACCAACTTCCCTCCCAGGTGAGGAACAATGAGATGAACTATGGCCTATTCATGTGGCTGTTTACCATTCATAGTTCACAAAAGTGATACACCAGTTCTTTGTGTTTCAACATGTATAATATTGAGGGAGGAAGAGTAAGTTGAGTGTTTATGTTTAAAAGAGCTATAACTCCTAGTGGTTTTTTTTCTATTCTGAAGAAATGGAGTTATTCATCAGCAAGAACGATGTCATATATGGGTTCAGTGTTTTGCAGTTTACAACGTGCTTTCATATCCACTATTCCATTTGACCTTCAACTCTGGGAAACAGGTAAAACTGGATTCATCTGCATTTGACAGATGAAAACACTGGGACACAGAGGGGACGGTCAAAGGCTAGACTGGAACTTTGTGTCCTCTCATCCTAGGTCAGAACAGGGCTGTCCCTACGGAAGAGCATTGTCTTTAAAGGATGACATGTTTGCTTTTGTTTTTCTTTGACGTATACTCAGCTAAGAGCCCATTTTGTTTTTGTCTTCTTTAATATTGAATGCAAACTTCACGTTATTTCACATTTTAAAATCTTTCATTTCTTCTACTATTTTCATACCTAAAAACCAGACAGTAATTTGCACTGTTCACTTATTTTTTAAACAATTGCATGCAGCTGTTTCGATTCATCTTTAAAAGCTTATTTCCACAGCACATAACAAAGTTAATTAAATTGCTTTTTGAAGCAAGGCTGCTTTGTTTCCCTCTGCAAGATGACTCATGAGGTCTGACTGAGTCTCATTTATATTCCTCCCCAGCAGGTAATTTAAATGTGATTTATACAGAAAGGAAAAGAAAGAGAACAAAAAAAGAAAAAAGAAAACAAATGAAGAAAATTACCCCTTGCTCACGTCTTTAACAAGTTATTCTGGGTGTGGAGTTAGATGGGAGAAAGCTGCCATATTTCTTTCGGTGCCCAAACATTCTTGTTTACAGCAGCATTGAAAACTGGCATCTTTGTGCCCCGAGTTGTATAAATGGTGCAGGGAAGGCGGATTTTGGCTCAATCTGAAGAAACACTGATTCTCTGAGATGCCCGGTGGTGGTACCAGCTGGCTTGGGTGGCATTGAGCTCCCTAATGCATGGGTGTGATTCTCTGACAGAGAAGGTTGCTTGGTGGTGTTGGGATGGGGAGGATACCCTAAAGGACTCTTTATTTATTTAGCAATGCATGGGTCCTGGCATATTGAAGGAATAGGAAGGAGCCCAGCCAGCCTGAATGGTGGGAGACTAGGGGAGGGTAAAGTTGGGTAGTAAGGTGTGGCAGGATGGTGGAGTTTCCTGAGTAGAAACAATATCCTGAATTAAGTTGTCATTTTGTCAAACATTTTTTATTTTATAGTTAGAAACTTCTTGGCAGTTGGGAACCACACAGTAGAAGGCAACGAATGTTTGCTGAATGCACACCTGCAGGATTAGGGACAGGAAGAATGGCTGAATGAATGGACACCTGCATGACGGACAGGGGTGGAAGGAAGAGCCATGGGAGGGATTCGGGATGCCTTTTCATGAATTTGGGAAAGTTGGCTTTGAACTAGGGGAAACTTGGAGCCTGCATTCACTAATGTGGACATTGTGGTTTTGTTTTCTGAGTTGTGTATGGGCCAAGTGAGCATTTCACTGGGGTCTTCTAGTCGAAGTAGGTTTCAGGGGATGTCCAAGTAGCCTTTTTGTTTTATTTTTCCAGAAAGCCATCAAAGCGGATCTGCTGAAATATATTGCCATTCCCTTCCTAACTGCCCCATAACCCCGACAGTCTCTCCCCATCCCTGCATCTGCCACTTTTATTTTTTTCCATTTTCAAGGGGTGTGTCTGATGGAAAAGCATTAACATTAGGGGAAGTATACAGTGTCATAGGTTCCAAAGGATGCTTTTGGCTAAAAGCACTCTGTCCTTTACAGTCCTCATGGGTGAATGGAGATAACACCCACGTGTTGCACATGGATTTGTACAAAGTTCAGCCAGATGACACGTGGGAGTTGCTTTGTATGCTGCAAGGGTGAATTCAAGGTGCCTTTATTTAGATTATTAATTCTATTTGCTGATTAATGGTTCTTATTTTAAAATGGATTCTTGAAAAGTACCCAAACAAAATGAAAATCCTTTGTCAGTGCTAGCATAGTCCACTTTTTGAGATGACAGCTTTCACTCAACGGCTACATTCTTCAGAAAACAACTGCAATCTAAGAATATGAGCCTCTAATACAACTACCTTTGAGTCTGCGCCCATTTCATTACCCTTCCAACCAGAGCACAATTACCTCCCAAGCTGTTTGCTGACAATGCTTATTCACCACAGGCCTGGGAATAGACAGACAGATCCAAGTCACATCACTTTACCAGGCCCGACACTCAGATGGTACAGCAGAAACCTCTTTATCATTTCCATTGGTCATTCCTCAAGCAAACTCTAAAAGAAACCCAACATTTTCTGTGTCCACAGAAAATGTTTCTCCCCAAGAAAATGTTCCAAACTTTCCTCCCATCTGTGTCTTCTAGCTGTCAGCCCCTATGCTTTCCTTGCATGTATTTTCTTCTACATAGCGACTGAGTTCCAGCAGGCCTGACATTGGTTCTTCATCTAGTGCATTTGAGAAGTGAACCTCACTGCCACCCCAGGCCGTCAATACATAACTGCTGCTGAATATTAGGGATTAGCTGCAAAAGTCTCAGGAAGGCCTTCTCATCTTTCCGAGTATAACATTCTTTCCTACCAAGTACCTGCAAACAGTAAATAAAAGAATGATTCATAATATAATAACGACTACCCCCTCATTATTCCTTAATCTTTTATTCATCTCCTTTATGAACTAGGGGCATATGCTAAAAAAGAAGATATTATTGTTCTTCCTGCCTCCATAATAAACAACAGTAATTATCTGGTGAAATGCATCCCCCTTCTCTACGGGGAATGACTGCTTCAGGACTTAACAAAATGAGAAATTATGACATCACTGAATCTACTTTTAAAATTAATATGAAGCTCTTGTCACAAAAATATGGATCTTCCCAATGGGGAAAAATATGACTAACATCAAATGAATCAGAAATATGAAAGTGCCAGGCTGTCATTTACCTGAGCAGTTTGTTTTGGTTCTGTACGAAGGCACCTTGGAGGCATTTGGCAATTGGGAAAACAAGACCAAAAATCAAAATCAAAATCAAAACCAAACAAAAAACAGCTGCTTCCCAAATTCTTATTAGATGGCTGTATGTTCACTGACTTCTTATCAACAAAGCTGGAACCAACAAAGCTGCAGAAGAGATCACATAATCTTAGAGCCTGATGAATCTAGAAGTTTCTCAACTATTGTTTTCTCTCCTTTTGAAGAGAACCTCTTTTCCTAACAAACTTAATGCAGCATTTTGGGAGGGGAGGCCGAGGTGGGAGGATTGCCTGAGCCTGGGAGTTCGAGACCAGCCTGGGCAACATGGTAAAACCCTGTCTCTACCACAACAAATAACAAAAAATTAGCTGGGTGTGGTGGCACACGCCTGTAGTTCCAGCTACTTGGGAGGCTGAAGTGGGAGGATCGCTTGAGCTCTGGAGGCAGAGGTTGCAGTGAGCTGAGATCTTGCCACTACACTCTAGCCTGGGTGACAGAGCATGACCCTGTCACCAAAAAAACAAAAAACAAAAAAACCCCATAACGTGGAGGGTTGTTATGGGAAAGTTTAGTGAGCACAGCTACCCTGGCTGAAATGCATGCACACATGCCTGTTTGTATGTGCGTGCATGCACACATGTATTGGGGCTTCAGGGATACTCTCTCACACCCACCAATCCCACCTGCAACCCCTGAGTCTCTTTCTGGGAAGCTCATCACCTTGACGAGCTTGGAAAAAAGATTAGTCCATTGCAAACTTACCTGGTAAAGGAGGGCATGGAGCTTCTCAGCTGGCTCAGGACAGGCCTGAGTCAGCTGGCCAAACCAGAACTACAGTTGGGCTGGGCCTTCCAAGCCAGGCCCACGTACCCCAAGGTGGGCTCCCAAGCTGGCCATTGAAGGGTATCGCTATCATTAGCCAGCTTCACATTTCTGATGTTAAAAACTTCCCTGCTCTGACATTAATGTGGACCCAGTCAGAATTGAATCCTAGGTATGAATAATCAGTGGTCCTTTTGTCTTTGATTAATTTAGTGACATTTATTCTAGAAAGGAAGCTTAGAAGCTGGGAATATCCCTCCTCATTAATAATAAATTTCCAATTTTGTAATATAAACATAATTCAAGACCCAATTAAAATGTCCCACTTTTTTTTCAGTAAGAAAAAAGCATTTATAACTTGATTAAATTGCTCACAGCATTTGGAATGGAGAAGCTTTGGCAGAGCTGGGCAGTCATATTTCAGAGCCTGTGTATATGGCATTATCTGCTCTGTATAGGTGGTGATAATGGAGCCAGCTGGGATACTGGATCATGTGCTATTTTTAGTGCATTTCTGAGACATTAATTCAATTTAGTTGATCTCTCCTTCAACTCAAGTGCTTGGCCTGCCATCGTTTAATTGATGAAACCTGGGACAGAATTAAAGGCTATCAAAATAAAGCTCAGGTTAACTTTGCCGGTCAGTCTACTGTCTTGAAACTAAACTACAGAATTAATAACACACCACCAGTTCAGTTCTCTGGCTAAGAGAACCACTATAGGTGCTGTGCAATGGGCTCCCCCAGTTCTGGAGCCATTGCAAAGGAAGGTACCAGGGTCTGGGCCAGGAGTACAGCTGACCTACCCCACACCATCTGCAATGCCCTCCTCTTTCCAGATCAGCCATGCACAGTCATAATGGAACCCAACCCCACATACCATCTGGCTTGGCTCTAGGTGAGCAGTGCTATTCACTTCAGTTCAACAAATTACACCAAGTGTCTGTTGTTGACCAGGCTCTGCACATGGCATCAGGGACCTGGAGATGGATAAGCATGGCACTATGTGTGTCTAGTGAGGGGCGGAAGGACAGAGGCATAGATTGACAGGCTAATACCACTTGAAAAGTGCACCAAAGGAGGGATGGATGAGGTACTTTAGGGGCATAAGAAGAAAGCTGCTAGCTGGGCATGGTGGCTGACACCTGTAATCCCAGCACTTTGGGAGTCTGAGGCGAGCGGGTCACTTGAGCTCAGGAGCTTGAGACCAGCCTGGGCAATGTGGCGAAACCCCATCTCTACAAAAAGTACAAAAATTAGCCGGGCATGGTTGCGCGCACCTGTAGTCCCAGCTACTCAGGAGGCTGAGGTATGAGGACCACTTGAGCCCAGGAGGCGGAGACTGCAGTAAGCCAAGATCGTGCCACTACACTCCTGCCTGGGTGACAAAGCCAGACCCTGTCTCAAACCAAAAAAAGAAAAAAAAAAAAAAAGAAAAGAAGAAGAGGAGGAGTGGGGGGGAGGAGAAGGAGGGGGAGGAGGAAGAAGAGGAGGAGGAGGAAGAAGAAGAGGAGGAGGAGGAAGAGGAAGAAGAAGAGGAGAAGGAGGAGGAGGAAGAGGAAGGAGAAGGAGAAGAAGAAAAAAGAAAGAAGAAAGAAGAAGAAGAGAAAGCAGCTAACCCAGGCTTCAGGGCAACAGCAGCAAAATCAGGGGTTAAGGGAAGCTTCTGGGGCAGAATGATGCCTGGGCTGTCTTTTGTAAAAATTAAAAATACACCCCCCCCCCCTTTTTTTTTTTTTTCCATCAGAGGACATGTATTTCTGCAATGGTACAAAGCAATGACTACTTCCAAAAACGAAAAATAAAACGTTGTGATGCCAGCACCAGAGACAACCACTGCTTATATTTGAAGTGCATCCTTTCAGTCTCTCTATCATTTATCTCTCTATAGGCACAAATGCTTTAAAAATGTCATTAAGTCACTCATATAGTAAACAACTGATTTGTTGCTTCCTTTTAAAAAATCTAACAGAATGAATAAATATCTGTTCTTTTTTTTCTCTTTATGTTTTAATATACAAATAAAAATCGTATATATTTTTGGTGTACAACATGTTTTGAAATATGTATACATTGTGGAATTGCTAAATCAAGCTAATTAACATATGCATAACCTCACACACATCATTTTTTTGTGGTGAGAAAACTTCAAATCGACTCTCTTAGCAATTTTCAAGAATACAGTACATTGCTATTAACTATAATCACATGATGTACAATAATCTCTTGAATTTATTCCACTTGTCTAACTGAAATTCTGTATCTTTTGGCCAATATCACCTCATCCCCCCCTGCCTAACCCTCAGCCCCTGGTAACCACCATTCTATTCTCTGCTTCTAGGAGTTCCACTTTCTTTTTAGGTTTTACTTATGAGTGAGATCATGTGGTATTTGCCTTTCTGTGCCTGGGGTATCACAGAAGTGACTTACTGGTATGTGCCTCTTCTTCCTGGCTCTCTTGGGTTACTTGTTCTGAGAGAAGCCAACACCATGCCATGAGGACACTCAGGCAGCCCTGCGGGAGTCTATGTGGTATGGACCTGAGGACTCCTGGCAACAGCCAGCACCAATTTGCCAGCCATAGGAGTAAGCCACCTTGAAGCGGATGCTCCAGCTTCATTTAAGCCTTAAGATGACTGTAGCTCAGTAGACATCTTGACTGAGCGACCCACAGAAAATATGAAATAATCATTATTTATTGTTTCTGTAAGCCACTCAGTTTTGGGCTAATTTGCTATGCAGCAATAGATAACAAATGTAATTTTACTGTATTTTGCATTTCTTTGATTTTTTCTTTTAGTAATAAATCTTTCTTATTGTATATATTTAGGCTGTACATGATGGTGTACATGATGTCTTGATATACAAATATATATTGAAGTGATTACTACAGACAAGCAAATTAACATAACCATCATCTTATATAGTTACCTTTCCTTTTTTTGTGGCAAGAGTACAAAAACATCTACTCTCTGGGCAAATTTCAAGTATACGATATGACATTAGTAACTCTAGTCCCCATGTTGTACATTAGATCTCCAGACTCAGCCCACAGAACTGCAACTTTGTGCCCTTTGACTTTTGTCTTCCCATATCCTTTGTGCCCCTGCACCCTGCTCCTGCTAACCACCATTCTACACTATATGTATTCAGTGTTTTTCTTTGATTTTTAGTGAAGTTTACATTGATTTTCAAATGTCTACTGACCACTTTCTTTTCCTTCTCTAGTCTATACCTTTGGTCAGGGTATAGTCTTTTTGCATTGATTTTAAGATCTTTATATATTAAAAGTATTAACATTTTGCCTGTCATAAACCTGATATTTTCCCCCAGTGTTTATTTTCCTGAGATGAATCTTGAAGGCAGAAGACAAGAATGGGAGAGGCTGTGAGATTGCAGGTAGAGGTGATGGCATAAGCAAAAACATAGAGGAGAGAGGCATCCTAGGATGTGTGAGGAAGTCACGGGGAGGTAGATGAGAATAAGGAGGGAGCCAGGGAGTGGCAGGAAACTAGACCAGTGCTTCTCCAAGTGGGCATTCATAAAAATCGCAAGGAAATCTGGTTAAAATGCCAATTCAGTAGGTTTGGAGTCAGGCCTGAAGCTCCCAGGTAATGCAGATACTGCTGATCTGGGACCACACTTTGAATAGCAAAGATTTACAGAAAGAGTAGATAGTTTGTGGAGGAAATTTTTAGAAATAGAAATATGCAAAAATACAAAGTTAAAATTATGTCTAGTTTCACGGTCCAGAGATAACAACTATATACTATACCAAGGAGCAGGCCCCTCTATCGTAGAGAGGCATGGATATCTTGATATATATGTTTTGAAGGCAGCACTTAGCAATGCTTGCTGTGGGATCGACTACATTTTGGGAGTGAAGGAAAGGAGGGACTTACGGTTTTTGGTGTGAGCGACTGAGACTGATGACTGAGGGAGGAGCAGGTGATTTTGGAGGACGAAGGAGACAATGGATTCTGCTTTAGACCTTCATTAAACCTGAGGTACTTGTCAGCATATTGAGAGGGCAAGAAGATGCCCAATAGGTATTTGGTTATCCTGGTCTGGAGCTCAGGAAGCCTAGTATAGATTTTGGAGGGAAAAGCCATTACCTTGGTGCAGAGGTGAAGCATGGCATTCATGAGCTCCCCTGGGTAACTGTGTAGACTGTGAAAGGAGAACAGGACTCAGAACAGAGCCCCAGGAGTCCAGGCTTTAAGAGGCAGGTGAAGGAGAGGAGTCCAGGAAGAAGACCAAAAGGGATGAGGATCAGAGTGTGTGGCTTCAAGAAAAAGGGCATGATCGACAGTGTCAAATGATGTTTCGAGAGCCACGAGGATCAGGGCTGGCAAATGGCCATTTCTGTGAATGTGACTGGGATTCAGGTTACAGCATTAAATGGAAGTTAGACCAGTGTGGACAAGGTAAAGCTCGATTGTGGGGTGGGGGGAGGTAGGAATGAGAAGCAGTGGGGGCTGGGTAGTCATACTGGGAAATCATGTGTATCTTAGAATTCAAGTTTGTAGATTAGATAGATTTTTCTCTGAGCTTTGGGGATATAAAGGCAGCACAACTGATTTCTCAGATAATAGATTAACTTTTATTATTTCTTGAGAGAGATAGTAGCTAATAATATTTGGTACTCTGAACTGTTACTTTGTGCCAAATTATATGTGCACACGTGATCATTTTTACTCTTCCAGTACCCTCAGAGGTATAGCCCATTTAAAAGTGAAGAAATTAAGGGTCAGAGAACTGAAGCAGCTTGTCCAAGATTACACAGCCAGTATGTGGCAGAGCTGAGGTTTGGACCAAGGTCTGGCTGACTGAAATCCCTGCTCAACTTTTCTCCTTATAATGCTGCTTTGAGGGCTTGGTGGCGAGAAAGAGCCAGGGTCAGCATCCCTGGCTTGGATCACAGCAGGCAGTATTGTAGTTAAGCAGGACAGTTGTGCCACCAGATTTTGTTCATTGCACAAGATTCTTTTCCCCCACAATTTAGTCATATGCTCTGTTCTGGCAGTATATATCAGAAAAACTCTTGAAATAAGCAAGTTGTGGTTGTGTTTTGTTCTCTCAGCTTCCAGGGCTCCGTATTCTTCTGGTTTTCCTCTTACTACGCTGGCTGCTCCTTTGCCCTCACTTCTGACAGTTCCTCCCCATCTAATCTGAAGGTTAGAGAGCCATATGGTTCATTCCTTAGGCATTCTCCCTTCTCTCACTATACTCGTTGCCTTTCTAATCTTATTTAATATCATGGCTTTCAAAACCATGTATGTACTGCTCCCAAACATACATCTCCAGCCCAGGCCTCTACCATGAGCCCTAGACTTGTACACCCAGCTGTGAATTATGCACAGCCACTGGGTATGCAATAGACATCTCAAATCAAATCCCTCATCTGCTCCCCTGAATTTGCTCCATCTGCAGACTTCCACATCTCAGTAAGTAGAGGTTGTTCAGGCTAAAATCTTGCAGTTTAATTTGACCTCTCTTTCTCATACCCCAAATTCAATCCATCAATGAATTCTGTCTATGTTTCCTTCTAGATACATAGATCCACTTCTCACTACCACTCCTGCTTCCACTCCAGTTCTAGTCATCCCTACCATCTCTCGCTTGAATCACTCCAGGAGCCTCCTGGCTACTCTTCCTGCTTCTGCCTTGCCCCATTCAGTCTTTTCTCTGCACAGTTGCCAGAGTGATGTTTGAAGAGTAAGATTTACATCATGTCACTCTTCTGCACAAAACTTTAGCTTAAAGTTCAGCCAGAAGTCCTATATCATCTTTCAGCCACTCCACCCCATCTCCTGTTACTGTTCTGATTTTCTCTTCCCCTTGCACCTGAATGAACGAGGTTGGAATGGGGAATATAATTTGCTTCAAAGAAAAGGTAAGGCATGTGGAGTGTAACATCAGACATGAACCAAAGAAAGACAGAGTGGTTTGTGGTACATGCAAGACCTTTGCTTCCTAAGTACAGTCGGCCCTTTGTATACGTGGGTTCTGCATCTGTGGATTCAACCAACTGTGACTAGAAAATATTCTTAAAAAATGGATGGTTGCCTCTTTACTGAACATGTACAGACTTGTATGGTTGTCATTATTCCCTAAACAATTCAGCATAACTATTTACATAGCATTTACATTGTATTAGGTATTTTAAGTAATCTGGAAAAGATTTACATTATATGAGAGGATGTAGATAGGTTATATGCAAATATGATGCCATTATATAGAAAGGACTTGAGCATCCATGGATTTTGGTATCCTAGGGGGAGTCCTGGAACAATCCCCCATGGATACTGAGGGGCGACTCTGGTTAGGGAACCCAACGGTTCTCACAGTGATTCATGGCTAAAGAGCAACCAGGTGCCTACAGCGATGACTAGGAATTCTTTTATAGACAGAGAGAGACTTTGTTATACTGAGCTTTCGTGTGTTGTAATTTTTGCTTGCTTGTTTGCTATTGTTTTGTGTCTTTTAGTCCCCTAGCGTGTGCTACAAAAAAACTGTAATAATCAAAATAGGCTATGAACACAAAAATTTGAGGACCACTTGTCTTGATTACAGTATTCTTAAACCTGACAAAAAAAACCCCACAAGATAGTAGCAATTTTAGAGCCTGATGGCATCTGAGATTGACCAGTCTTGTCCCCTCATTTTATAGATTGGGAAGTGGTCTAAGAGAAGTGACGTTATGCAGTGTCACCTAGGGGGTCCTAGCCCATGCACGCATCCCGCCTCCTCTTGAGCTGTTGTAATGAAGTTTCCTAGCACTAGTTTGGAAATCAGTGAAGTACTCTGAAATACTTTAATATCTTCCAGATATCAATGATCTTGAAAATGGGTTCAACTTTTTTTCTAATTTCACGTGGACTTGAAGTAATTTGAGGGTAAGTGCTCTAATCAGCCACAATTCATGAGAAGTTTTGATTTAAGTATTGTCAGTTGATTTCTGCCAAGGTGGTATTTTGAAATCAGTACATTATTTCAAGTGCCAATAGAACACAGGGCTGTACTCATGTACTCTACCATCAGGGGAAGTTTAAAAGCTCCTAATGGATCAGCTGAAACGGAAGTCATTAAAATCTTTATGCAAAAATGGATCAGAAAATAATGTCATGATTGTAACTGAGTCACTTCACTTTATTTTCCACTTCTGGCTTCTTTCCTTTACTTTTGAAATGGCTTTAAAATCTGCTTGGATAGGTGAAATAACCCATTTCAGTTGGACTCACTGTCAGGCCTCACGGATACCTAGAAATGGGATGAGGGTGGGAAGGAGGACATGGGGGGAGGCACAACAGCTTGGAAAAGATACTTATCTTGCTGTCTTCCCCATGGCCTCTGCCTAGGGCTTCTGGCACCTCTAAGGACTGAGTCTCAACTAAGGCACTGCCTTGTGAATTTGGACCAGTCCTTTGTGGGACCAGATGGTTTCTAGGAGCCCTTGCAGCCCTGAAAGTCCATAGGTCCAAGCCTCAAAGTTTCTTACCAGTAATAGGCTGCCCAATGCGGGAATGGTGCTTTTCCCAGGGACCAGATTATGTGCTTGGCGGGTGTTATGGGCTGAATTGTATTCCCCCCAAAAAAGATAAATTGGAGTCCTAACCACAGTAGGTGACTCAGCTCAGAATGTTAGTTTATTTGGAGATAGTGTCTTTATAGAGATAATCAGGTTAAAATGAGGGTATTAGGGTGGGCTGTAATCCACTATGACTGGTGTCCTTATAGAAGGAGAAAATCTGCACACAGAGACAGACATATGCACGGGAAGACTGCCATGTGAACACACAGGTAGAAGATGGCCATCTACAAGCCCAGGAGAGAGAGGCCTGGAACAGATGGTTCCCTTGCAGCCTTCTGAAGGAACCAACCCTCTGGAGACCTTGATTTCCAACTTATTACCTCCAAAACTGTGAGACAATACATTTCTGTTGTTTAAATCACCCAGTATGTGGTACTTAATTACAAGTAGCCCTAGAAAACCAATAGAGCAGGTAAAGCAGGCCTCCATCTCAGTGGTCATTTCTGTCTCTTTTTACCAGGTAGATTCTAGAAATGGAAGGAAGGAAAAAAGGCTGGTGATGAAGGCTTTCTTTTACAAAGGATTCCAAGCAACTTTCTTGGTACAGGGACTGCATCAAGTATCCTCATCTCAATGATTCATCGCTATAGCACCAGAGCCTCTCGGAGAGAAGGGAGCTTTTCTGATTTACACAAACCTCTTAATGCATTCTTGTCACTTACAAGGGGAACTAAAATTCAGTGCTGACATGGAGGGGCTGTTCTAAGGAACTTAGAATGCTAAAGACTTAATCATATGGACTCTTGATGTTCCCTAATCAGTATCACTTGGCCATTGCTAAGGTTTTAGTAAGTCCATCAACAGCCTCTCACCTCCTCTCAGTTCATTATTCTGTGCAGCTAGAGTGCCTATTATGGGAAATATGCACTGTCATCAGCAGCTTAGACATAAAATTATGCTCTGTATATGGTTGGCCAAAGCACCTCTACTCAGCTTATCACAATTTTTCAACTAGGACCAAGGAAATTACTGTCTGATTATTCTCTTCAGTTTTCCAATCCAGTGTCTAAAGACTTGACCAAAATAGGTTTTTGTCTAAAAAGCTTGATCTTGATAAATGAGATAAAGAGCTTTTCAAAGTGGTTTAGGGAACAAATTTCATCTCATCAAAGAAAAGTGTCTTCCTCACAAATTCTTTTTGGCTTAATTTGTCTCCAGTAAGTTCCCCTGCCTGAATTTGTGCAAAATGTATAGCAGTTGTGGTAGCAAAGATGTCATATTAGAAATTACATCAAATATGTTGATTTTCTACTGGAATACTGGTGTTTTTTCAAAGTTTTTTTTTTTTTTTTCAAAGAACTATCACAGAGAAGCAGCAAGGTGAGCATTAAACAAGTTACCCAATTTTGTGTTTACTAAGTGGTTCTGTCTTCAGTGGGTCAGTCCTGTTGTTTCTCTCCAGTCTATCCTAGGCCATCTTGTCTACTCCCCAGTCACCATCTTTATGCCATAATGCCCAAATACATGCCTCCAGCCCAGACCTCTCCTTTGAATGCCAGACGTGAAAAGCCACCTGCCTTTTAGGTATCTCCACTCAGTTGTCCCCCACACTCCTCAATCGCCATCATCCTGTCCCACCCAACCTACTTCTCTTCGACTATGTAGCATCTCAGGGAATGGCACCCATTGCCTTGCCAAGCACTTAGCAAATCCTTCACCAATTCCCATCTTTAACAACCTTCTCTTCATCCCCTTATCAGTAGCCAAACCTCGTAAACTCAATCTTCTAAATCCCTTTCCAGTCCTCCCACTCGTCTCTGTCTTTGATCTCTCTACAGTTAGTGTTGTGCCCTGAGCAAGGTGATAATCATCTGGGATTCACATTTGCTGTGGAGGATTCAGATAATGGCCTCATGTATGAGAATAACCTCAAGTTTCTGTAGGTAGGCATTCCCACAGAGCCTTTCCCACCAGCAGGCATGAAGAATGGGTTTTTCCTTCTTAAGCGGAGGTACGGGGCAAGAGGAAAAGAGAGAAGCTCTTCCGTGTGGCACGAGAGAAGGATGAATGGTGCTGGCATTGTACCCTTCCACCCCTAGACCCTGGAACTCTACCAGAGGAAGATGGAGTAGGAGCCAACATATTCTCTTCCCGCTCGGGAGGCATTTTCCATCTGGTATCTGGGAGAAAGTATGGGAGACAGGACGGGGCCTGATCCTAAATTAGGAAATATGTGGGGTTTGTCTTTGGTGTCTCCCACCTTCCTTTCTTTATTGTCTTTTGCAGTACCCTAGGCACATAGCACCCTCCTGCTGGTCTTAGGTGCCCACAGCCCTTGATTGCTGCCTGACCTACCTCTTCAAAGCTGTCCTGGATCCTAAATTAACTCCTTCACCTCCTCCATGTATTCCTCTGTGGGATGGTGAATGGCTTTGGGTAGGCAGTGGAGGTCAGCATTGTGATCACACCTGAGAATGGTCATGGCAAAGGTCTGATGGCTCACAGCTCTAACAGAGCCTGATTCTTCTTTAAAGGAGAAGGAGTGTCTCTAGCCCATCTTTCACCACCTTTCTTCCTCCTACTTCTCTATTCCAGCTGTAGTGTCCAGAATTTGGGCTGTACTAGAGAAGTGTTTGTGGTTGATTGACCTTGTTCCCAGGGCTTTGTTTTCTATTCTCAGCCCTACCTCGAGAGAATACCAACATGGAGGAGTTTAAGGTGAGATCAGAGAAACTGGGCTGTCGGCCGGGCACAGTGGCTCATGCCTGTAATCCTAGCACTTTGGGAGGCTGAGGCAGGCGGATCACGAAGTCAAGAGATCGAGACCATCTTGGCCAACATGGTGAAACCCCATCTCTACTAAAAATACAAAAAATTAGCTGGGCATGGTAGTGCGTGCCTGTAGTCCCAGCTACTCGGGAGGCTGAGGCAGGAGAATTGCCTGATCCTGGGAGGTGGAGGTTGCAGTGAGCTGAGATTGCGCCACTGCACTCCATCCTGGTGACAGAGCGAGACTCTGTCTAAAAAAAAAAAAAAAAGAGAAAGAAAGAAAAGAAAAGAAAGTGGGCTGTCATCTGAGCTTACTTCTCTTCAAGTTACTAATGAAATGCTAGCCCCAAGGGCTTGGCATTCACATGGCATAGTCCTTTTCTATACACATTGGCAGTCAAGTACACTGGCAGATGACCTGGTTGGGTAGACAGCAGCAATGGCATGCTACTGCCGCTTACTTGCTCCCAAACTCAGCTTCTCTACAACCGTTCTCTTTTCTATCCCACCTGATGATTTACCAGTCCTTTGGCTTATGTTAAAAAAAAAAAAAAGGCTAATTTTAGAGCACTCTTAGGTTCACAGCAAAATGGAGAGGAAGATACAGAGATAGCCCATATACTCCCTGCCCCTGTACATGCATAGCCTCTCCCACAGTCAACATCCCCAACCAGTGTGGGGCATTTGTTATGATCAGATTAATTTTTAAATTATGAAATATGTTAGACATACAAATGAGCAAAAAAAGAGTAATGCAACCAAAGCTTACATACCCACTGCTCAGCTTTTGTAATGAAACAGTACAAATGCAGTTGAAGTCTCTCATCCACCCAACTCTGATTTCATTTTCCTGCCTCCTCCCCAAAGTAATCACTATTCTGAATTTAGTGGTCTTCATTCCCATGCATTTCTCCATACTTTTACTCAAAATTTATGTGTCCATAAAATATGTAATATTATTTTAAGTGTTTTTAAGCCTCACAAAATAGTATCATGCTATAAATTACCCTTCTGCAACTTGCTTTATGTCACTCATTATCTGCTCTTAAGATCCATCCATGTAGACATATATACTTTTAGTTCATGTATTTTAACTACTGTATAGTATTCCATTGTAGGAATGTACCACAATGTATTATATATTCTCCTCTTGATGGACTTTTTAGTGTTTCTAGTTTTCTGAACTTACAAACAAGTGTTGCTGTGAATATTCTTATTCACATCTCTTCGTGCAATAATTTCTCTAGGGCAGTTCTTTCTTCTTTTTAAAAAACTTTTTTTTGAAATAATTTTGGACTTACAGAAAAGTTGCAAAAACTGTACAGAGTTCCTATATAATGTTCACTCAGTTTCCTCTAATATTAATATCACATAACTATAGTACAATAATCAAAACCAAAAAATTAACATTGGCACACTACTATTACTAACTTAAAGACTTTATTAGAATTTCAGCAGTTAGGGCATTGATTTCCAAAGTTCACGTTGTGGCCCATTATTGCAGTGATTCCCAACTTTGGCTACACATTGGAACCATCTGGGGAACTTCAAAAACTACTGATGCTGGGGTCACCCCCTGAGATATTCTAACTTAATTTGTTTGGGTTGTGACCTCAGCAATGGAAATTTAATAGCTCCCCCAGACGATTGTAATATGCAGCCAAAGTTGAGAAACACTGCATTAGTATATCATGAGATCAATTTAGTAGTTAAAAAAAAATGGAATAGAAAATATCAGAAAGCTTTTCATGCAGGATAAAAATTCTTATAGAACATTTTTGCTTCAACTATAAATATATATATATTAGGCTACAATGTAAAATGAATTTCATACTATGACTCATGAACCAAAACGATTTTAAGCTGCGATCTAGGTTATACATCTAGAAATAAAATTGTTGGGTCACAAAATATATGCATCTTCCATTTTACTGGTTGTTGCCAAATAGAGTTTTGAAGTGTTTCTACTAAATTACACACTACCAGCAGTGTATGGGAGCCCCAGTTGTCCCACTTCCTTGCCAGCACCTGGTATTTTCAGACCTTTAAAATTTTTGCCCTGCTGGGCGTGTTGGCTCACGCCTGTAATTCCAGCATTTTAGGAGGCCAAAGCAGGAGGATCACTTGAACTCAGGAGTTCAGGACCAGCCTGGGCAACATGGTGTAACCCCATCTCTACAAAAAAATACAAAAGACTTAGCTGGGCTTGGTGGCGCATGCCTGTAGTCACAGCTACTCGAGAGGCTGAAGTGGGAGGATCACCTGGGCCCAGGAGGTTGAGCCTGCAGATAGCTGTGATCTCTGCCATTGCACTCCAGCCTGGGCAACAGAGGGAGACACTGTCTCAAAATAATAATAAAGTTTTTGCCAATCTGGTGGGTGTGAAATGGTTTCTTGTGCTTTAGTGGGCATTTCTCAGGTATCTAGGATAGTTCATAAACTTTTTACATGTACATTGCTCAGGGTTCCTCTTTGAGGAATCGCATGTTTGTGTCTTTTGCCCATTTTTTTAAAAAAATAGATTGTTTTGTAGTTTATTGGTCTATATTCTGGATACCGATCCTTTGTTAAATCCTGTACTGCACATATCTTCTAGCACTCTGTGGCTTGTCTTTTCACGTTTGAAATGCTATTTGTTGCACAGAATTTTTGTTTGAATGTAGTTACATGTATTAATCATTAACTTTATGGTTTGTGCTACTTATGTTTCTAAAAGAAATCTTTCCTTATCCTGAGGTCATGAAGACATTCACCTCTATTTCCTTTTAAAAGCCTTAAAGTCATGTTTCTCACAACTGACTGTTGTGTCTTTAATGCCTCCTTCAATTTTATTTTTTAATGAGGTCAATGTAGATTAACATGCAGTTGTAAGAAATTATACAGCAATCCCTTGTACACTTTGCCCAATTTCCCCATATGTAGTTTCCCCATTATAGAGTAGATCAGTCCACTGATCTTATTCACATTTTTCAGTTTTACTTGTGCACGCGTTTGTGTGTGTGTGTGTGTGTGTGTACATGTTAAATTCTGTAACATTTTATGCCCTGGATAATTATTAATGATGACCATCAAGACACTGAGCAGTTCTTTCATTATTGTCACCAGGAACCCTTCTGTTGCCCTTTATAACCACACCCACCTCTCTCCAGCATCCACACTCTGGTCCCATTCCTAATCTATGTCAAACACTAACCTTCTCTTCATCTCTACAATGTTGACATTTCAAGAATGTTATATAAATGGAATCATACAGTATGTAAGTTTTCATGTTTGGCTTTTTTACTCGGCATAAATCTTTGTAGATTCATTCAGGTTGTTGCATGTATTGTAAGTTTATTTCTTGTTTTTGGTGAGTAGAATCCCATAGTAGGACTGTATATCAGTTTGTTTATCCAGTCAGCCATTGAAGGACATCTGGGTTGCTTCCAGTTTAGGGCTATTACAAATAAAGCTTTTATAAACATTCATGTACAGGGTTTTGTATGAACATACATGTTCATGTCTCTGGGATAAATGCCCAAGAGTGCAATTGCTGGGTCGTGTGGGAGTTGCATGCTTAGTTTTATAAGAAATTGCCAAACACTTTTCCAGAGTGGCTATACCATTTATATTCCCACCAGTAATGAAGGAGTGATCCAGTTTCTCTGCATCCTCACCAACATTTGGTGTTGTTACTACTTTTTATTTTAGCCATTCTTATAGGCATGCAATGATATCTCATCAAGGTTAGAATTTGCATTATCTCATGGCTAATGATGTTGAGCATTTTTGCATGTGCTTTCTGCCTTCTGTATATCCTTTTTGGTGAAATGTCTTTTGTTGTCTTTTTCTAACTGGATTATTATGTTTTATTGTTGAGTTTTGAGAGCTCTTCATATATGCCAGATACAAGTCCTTTGTCAGATATGTGGTTTTGAAAATATTTTTTTCCAGCCTGCAGCTTATCTTTTAATCTTCTTCATATGGGCTTTTGCAAAGCAAAAGTTTTAAACTTTGATCAGGTTCAATTTATTGACTTTCTTTTCCATTTATAGATATGCTTCTGGTGTCAAATCTATGAAATTTTTGCCTAGTCCAAAATCCCAAGAGTTTTCTCTTATTTTTTCCTAAAGTTTTATGTTTTACATTTAACGTCGTGATCTATTTTGAGTTGATTTTTATATATGGTATGAAGTGTTGGTGTATGTTCATTTTTTTGCCTATAGATGTCCAATTGCTCCAGCACCATTTGTTGAAAAAGCTGTCCTTACTCCATTGAATTCATTTTGCACCTTGCCAAAAATCAATCAGGCACATTTTTAAGGGCCTCCTTGGGTTTTTAACCTATTTAAGGTTTTTACTTAAAACCTTATACATAGGTCCCAATATACATAGCTTAATTTCCTCTGAGATATATAAAAAGTGAATCATCATTTTGTAATAATACCAACATGGTAATTAACATGAATTTTGCAACAATACCTAATTAAATACTGATCATGTAGTGTGCATTTAACTTGATCATTGTTGGTCTCTCTCAACTCCTCAGGGGTCTAATTTTAACAATTAAATTAGCCTGGAGCCACAGAGAATTGTGAGATGAATCAGAACTCAAATGTAGAAAAATACAATGTTTTATTTTACTTTGAGTGACTAAGAAGGAAAACTTCAAAACTGTTAGATCATAGAAATATCAAATGGGAAAACAGCAGGTGGAAGTGGCCTGGCTATGAGGTTCTGTCAGCAACTAAAACTAAAGGACTTTTTCTATTCTACCTACCAAGTGGGCCTTTACTTAGTTATGGTTATATTGCCCTACACAGCAGTTGTGTTCTTGGAAATTGGTGTGTATGTCACCCTCTAATGTGTAATGTACTAGAAAGAACCCTTTCTATACTAGGAAACAGCAGACGTGGCATCTAGTCCCAGTTGTGACTCTAACCCACTGTGTGACCTTAAACAACAGCTTAGATCTCTGGACTTCTTTTAGCTCTGTACAGTGCAGTTCAATTTAGCAAATATCTTGAATGTCAACTCCAAGACAGATCCTGCAAGATACACTGAGATGAGCAAAACACACTTTTTTTTTTTTGAGACAGAGTTTCGCTCTTGTTGCCCAAGCTGGAGTACAATGGCGTGATCTTGGCTCACCGCAACCTCTGCCTCCTGGGTTCAAGCAATTATCCTGCCTCAGCTTCCCGAGTAGATGGAATTACAGGCATGCACCACCATGCCCAGCTAATTTTGTATTTTTAGTATAGACAGGGTTTCTCCATATTTGTCAGGTTGGTCTCAAACTCCCAACCTCAGGTGTTCCGCCCACCTCAGCCTCCCAAAGTGCTGGGATTACAGGCATGAGCCACTGCACATGGTCGCAAAACACATGTCTTAATTTCAAGTGACTTTCTGGCTTATAGGTTACGCCTACAATTTGCTGAGCACAATAGGTTAGCTGTTATGCTAAGTACTTTACATGTCTTAGGTCCCTTAATCTTCACACTAATCTTGTGAGGTAGGAGCTAATATCATTCCCATTTTACAAATGTGAAAACTAAGGCTTCGAGGGGTTAAACAGCTTGTCCATGGTCATGCACTGGATGGCTCTTCATGGACAGAATATTAACAGCTCACTTTGATCTGGGCTTCATATGCAAGTCAAGATCTTAATCTGATAGGACTGAGTGGAGCATTTTGACCAGCAGAAGGAAAAAGAGAAGTTAGATATATTTATTAGCACTTTACAGATGGAGAAGTTTAAGTATGAAAAAGTTGTATAGCTTGCCCGAAGTCCCAAGATAGTCCGGGACTCAAAGCCATGCTGTTCTTTCTTCCATAGGGGAATAAGGGCTCCTGCTCCAGGCTAAAGCCAACCTCTTCACTTGTACTGTGGATTTCAACTCCTTCTCCTTCTTGAGGACCTGGCTCTTCATCAGTTATTCTTTGTCATCTATGGGAGTCATCTCTTTCTCTGAGCTGTCTCTCTTCCCCACAAGAAATTAAATATAAGTATGTCCAAAAATCTTCCTGTGTTAAATATCCCTCCTCTCATCCTGACCTGAACTGCCTCTGAAGCTACTGAGCTATCTCCTACTTTCACGTGCTTCTGGAAGGAGTTGTCTACCTTCGTTCAGTGTCTCTAATTCCTCCTCTGCCACTCACTCCCCTCTCACTGCAATCTGGCTTCTGTCCCCAACACTCTTACCAAAGTCATCAATTACATCCTTGTCATTAAGCACATATTTCCTTTTTCATCTTGCTTGATTTTTCTGCAACAGTCAATGAACTTGACTATTGCCTCTCTTCTGAAACAGTTTTTCCCTTGGCTTATGATATAGTTTGGGTATATTTTCTCCTCAAATTTCATGTTGAAATTTGATCCCTAATGTTGGAGGTGGGCCCTAAAAGGAAGTGTTTGGGTCATGGGGGCAGATCCCTCATAAATGGCTAGGTGCTGTCACCACATGGTAATGAGTGATTTCTCACTCTGTTAGTTCCCATGAGAACTGCTTGTTAAAAAGAGGCTGGCACCTTCCTCCTCTCTTTCTTGCTTCCACTCTCATCATGTCATGCCTTCTTCCCTTTGCCTTCAGCCACAAGCAGAAGCAGTCGGAGGCCCTCAGAAGAAGCAGGTGCTGGTGCCACACTTCTTGTACAGCCTGCAGAACTGTGAACCAAATAAACCGCTTCATATTGCAAATTACCCAGCCTCAGGTGTTCCTTTATAGCAATACAAAGTGATTAAAACAGCTTATAAGATATAGTGTTCTTCTGTATTTTTCTTCCTTCTTATCTCTCGCTCTTCTTCCCTGTCCCCTTTATAGGTTCACTGTCTCCCCATTTAGTCATGTTGTATTATTCTTTTTATGTATTGCTGCATTCAATCTACTTTGATTTTGTTAAGGACTTATATTTCTGGCCATAAAGGATATTGGTCCATAGTTTTCTTTCCTTGTAATGTCTTTGTCTTGTTTTCTTATCACAGGGTAATACTAACTTCTTAAAGTTAGAATGTGTTTTTCTTCTTTTATTTGCTGGAAGAGATTGTGTAGAATTGGTGTTAATTCTTTAAATGTTTGGTAGAATTTTCTAGTGAAACTATTTGGGCCTGGAGAGTTCTTTTATGGGGCTTTTAAATTTTGATTTGAGTTTATGTAATAATTATAGAGGCTGGGTGCAGTCGCTCATGCCTATAATCCTAGCACTTTGGAAAGCTGAGGTGAGTGGATCGCTTGAGCCCAGGAGTTCGAGACCAGCCTGGGCAACATGGCGAAAACCCATCTTTACAAACAATACAAAAATTAGCCTAGCATGGTGGCACACACCTGTAGTCCCAGTGACTGGGGAGGCTGAATTAGGAGGATCCCCTGAGCCCAGGAAGCCAAGGCTGCAGTGAGCCATGATTGCACCACTGTACTCCAGCCTGGGCTACAGAGTGAGACCCTGTCTCAAAAAGAAAAAAAAAAAAAGAGCTATGGAGCCATTTACATCATCTGTAATATGGTTTGGCTGTGTCCTCACCCAAATCTCATCTTGAATTGTAACTCCCACAATTCCCATGTGAGAAAGAACCCAGTGGGAGGTAATTGAATCATGGGGGCAGGTCTTTCCCATGCTGTTCTCATGATAGTGAATAAGTCTCTCACCAGAGCTGACGGTTTTAAAAGCAGGAGTTTCCCTGCACGAGCGCTCCCTTTGCCTGCCACCATCCACGTAAGACGTGACTTGCTCCTCCTTGCCTTCCACCATGATTGTGAGGCTTCCCCAGCCATGTGGAACTGTAAGTTCATTAAACCTCTTTCTTTTGTAAATTGAGCAGTCTTGGTTATGTCTTTATCAGCAGCGTGAAAACAGACTAATCCAATCTATTTCATACTGAATGAGTCATGGTAGTTTGTGGTTTTTAAAGAATGTGGTCTATTTGTCTATATTATCAAATTTATATGCGTAGAGTTGTTTGTAATATACTTACTATCATTTTGATGTCTTCAGGGTCTCTCATGACATCCCTTGTTTTATTCGTGATATTGGTCATTTGTGTTTTCTCTCTTTTCTTTTTGTTGTCTGCCTTGCTAGAGGTTTGTCAATTTTATTGATCTTTGCAAATATCCCATTCTTTTTTTATCTTTCTATTGTTTTTCTGTCATCAATTTCATTGATTTCTGCTTTTATCTTTATTACTTCTTTCCTTCTGCTTGCTTGAAGTTTATTTTGCTCTTTTTTTCTGTATTCTTAAGATGGGAGCATAGGTTATTGATTTGAAGCTTTTCCCTTCCTTCCAATATGTGCATTTAGTGCTAAAAAGTTTTCTCTAAGTTCTTCTTTAGCTATTTCCCACAAATTTTGATATGTTGTATTTTCATTTTCATTCAGTTCAGTGTATTTTTTATTTCCCTGATATTTCTTTTTTTGACCCATGGACTTCTTTTTAGACCCATTTAGAAATGTGTTGTTTAGCTTCTGTGTATTCATAGATTTTTAAAATTATCTTTCTGTTACTGATATCTAGTGTAATGATTAATACTGAGTGTCAACTTGATTGGATTGAAGGATACAAAGTATTGATCCTGTGGGTGTCTGTGAGGGTGTTGTCAAAGGAGATTAACATTTGAGTCAGCGGGCTGGGAAAGGCAGACCCAACCTAATCTGGGTGGGCACAATCTAATCAGCTGCCAGCACAGCTAGAATATAAGCAGGCAGAAAAATGTGAAAAGGGAGACTGGCCTAGCCTCCCAGCCTACATCTTTCTCCCTTGCTGGATGCTTCCTGCCCCTTGAACATCGGACTCCAAGTTCTTTTTTTTTTTTTTTTGAGACGGAGTCTCACTCTGTCGCCCAGGCTGGAGTGCAGTGGCGGGATCTCGGCTCACTGCAAGCTCCGCCTCCCGGGTTCACGCCATTCTCCTGCCTCAGCCTCCCAAGTAGCTGGGACTACAGGCGCGCGCCACTACGCCCGGCTAATTTTTTGTATTTTTAGTAGAGACGGGGTTTCACCGTGTTAGCCGGGATGGTCTCGATCTCCTGACCTCGTGATCCGCCCGCCTCGGCCTCCCAAAGTGCTGGGATTACAGGCGTGAGCCACCACGCCCGGCCCCCAAGTTCTTTAGTTTTGGAACTTGAACTGGCTCTCCTTGCTCCTCAGCCTGCAGATGGCCTATTGTGGGACCTTGTGATCGTGTGAGTTAATACTTAATAAACTCCCCTTTATGTGTGTGTGTGTGTGTATATATATATATATATATATATATATATATATATATATATATATATATATATATATATTCCATTAGTTCCATCCCTCTAGAGAACCTTGACTAATACAACTTTTGGTACCAGGAGTGGAGTGTTGCTGAAAAGATATCCAAAAATGTGGAAGTGACTTTGGAACTGGGTAACAGGCAGTGGTTGGAACAGTTTGGAGGGCTCAGAAAAAGACAGGAAAATGTGAGAAAGTTTGGAACTTCTTAGATACTTGTTGAATGGCTTTGCCCAAAATGCTAGTAGTGATATGGACAATAAGGTTCAGGGTGAGGTGGTCTCAGATGGAGATGAGGAACTTATTGGGAACTGCAGTAAAGGTGACTCTTGTTACATTTTAGCAAAGAGACTGGCAGCATTTGCCCCTGCCCTAGAGATTTGTGGAACTTTGTACTTGAGAGAGATGATTTAGGGTATCTGGCTGACGAAATTTCTAAGTAGTAAAGCATTCAAGAGGTGACTTGGGTGCGTGTAAAAGCATTCAGTTTTAAAAGGGAAACAAAGCATAAGTTTGAAAAATTTGCAGCCTGACAATGCGATAGAAAAGAAAATCCCATTTTCTGGGGAGAAATTCAAGCAGGCTGCAGAAGTTTGCATAAGTGACAAGGAGCCAAATGTTAATCTCCAAGACAATGGGCAAAATGTCTCCAGGGCATGTCAGAGGTTTTCACAGCAGCCCCACCAATCACAGGGCCAGAGGCCTAGGAGCAAAATGTGGTTTTGTGGGCCGGGCCCAGGGTCCCTGAGCTGTGTGCAGCCTAGGGACTTTGTGCCCTGCATCCCAGCCGCTCCAGCCATGGCTGAAAGGGGCCAACATAGAGCTCGGGCTGTGGCTTTAGATGGTGCAAGCACCAAGCCTTGGAAGCTTCCATATGGTGTTGAGCCTACGGGTACACAGAAGTCAAGAATTGAGGTTTGGGAACCTCCACCTAGATTTCAGAAGATTTATGAAAACGCCTGGATGCCCAGGCGGAAGTTTGCTGCAGGGGTGGGGCTCTCATGGAGAACCTCTGCTAGGGTGGTGCAGAAGGGAAATGTGGGGTGAGAGCCCCCACACAAAGTCCCTGCTGGGACACTGCCTAGTGGAGTTGTGAGAAGAGGGCCATCATCCTCCAGACCCCAGAATGGTAGATCCACTGACAGCTTGAGCCATGTGCCTGGAAATACATCTAGCTTGACTCCATTTTGGTCAGAAAACACACTCACTATATGAGTTCAATTCTTTTAAATTTGTTGGGGTTTGCTTTTGTATCCTAAAACAGAGTATATCTTAGTATATGTTACATGGGCCTTTGATGTCAGATAATGTCAGTTTTTTGACTTTGTTCTCTTTTTCTAAAAATGTATTTGCTATTCTAGTTCCCTAGACTGCCTATATAAATTTTTGAATTTGTTTTTTATATCTACTATGTCTACTAAAAATTTCCTGAGATTTTTATTGTGATTGCTTTGAATCCATAGATCAATTTGGGGAAATTTCACATCTTAGCAATATTGTCTTTCAAACCATGGATATGATATCAATCCATTTAGTTAGGATTTCTTTCATTTCTTTTACTAGTGTTTTGTAGTTTTCAACCTGTGGATCCTGCACCTATATTTTACCTTTTTCATTACTTATACCTTTTTCATTTTTTTATGCTTTTGTAAATGATACTTTTAAAACTGTAAATTCCAATTACCATTACTAGTACATGGAAGTACAATTAATTTTTATATGTAGTGCTTTTCTCATCAGCCTTATGAAACTTAGTAGTTCTAGGAGATTTTTGGTAGATGCTTTGGGATTTTCTATGTAAACATGTCATCTGGAAGTAGAGACAGTTTTATTTCATTTCTTTTAATCTGTTTGCTCTTCTTTTTCTTTTTCTTCTTTTACTTTATTTTATGGGCTAGGACTTGCAGTACAATGATGAATAGGAATGGTGATAGTGGACATCCTTGCCTTTTTTCAAATCTTAATGGGGATAACATTCAGTCATTCATCATTAATTATAGTGTTGACTATGGATACTTTTGCAGATTATCTTTATTGGGTTCATGAAGTTACCTTATATTTCTAGTTTACGTAAAGTTTTATCATGAATAGATGCTGCATTTTATGCAGGGCTTTCTGTGAATCTATGGAGATGGTCACAGTCACAGCTATTTTTTCTGCAGTCTATTAATATGGTAAATTGATTGATTTTTGAATGTTGAACCAGCCTCAACTCCCTGGGATAAACCTCACTTAATCATGTTGTATTATTCTTTTTATAATTTGCTGGATTCAATCTGCTATTATTTTGTTAAGGGCTTTTATATTTTTGTTTATGAGGGATATTGGTCTTTAATTTTCTTTTCCTGTAAGTCTTTGATTTTAGTACAAGGGTAATTTTGACCTTAGAAAGTAAGATTGGAAGTGCTCTCTCCTCTTCTATCTTTTGAAAGAAAATGGGTAGAATTATTATTTTTTATTCCTTAAATGTTTTATAAAATTCACTAGTGAATCCATCTAGCCCTGGAGTTTTTCCTTTATTGGAAAATTTTAAACTATGAATTCATTTTTTATAGATATAGGACAATTTAGGATATAA